>NC_000019.10:26538821-26864847 GCF_000001405.40 Homo sapiens
GACAGAATCATTCCCACAAACTGCGTTGTGATGTGTTCGTTCAACTCACAGAGTTTAACCTTTCTGTTCATAGAGCAGTTAGGAAACACTCTGTTTGTAAAGTCTGTAAGTGGATATTCTGACATCTTGTGCCCTTCGTTGGAAACGGGATTTCTTCCTATTCTGGTAGACAGAAGAATTCTCAGTAACTTCCTTGTGTTGTGTGCATTCAACTCACAGAGTTGAACGATCCTGTACACAGAGCAGACTTGAAACACTCTTTTTGTGGAATTTGCAAGTGGAGATTTCAGCCGCTTTGAGGTCAATGGTAGAAAAGGGAATATCTTCGTATAGAAACTAGACAGAATGATTCTCAGAAACTTCTTGGTGATGTGTGCGTTCAACTCACAGAGTTTAACCTTTCTTTTCATAGAGCAGTTAGGAAACACTCTGTTTGTAAACTCTGCAAGTGGATATTCAGACCTGTTTGAGGCCTTCGTTGGAAACGGGATTTCTTCATACTATGCTAGACAGAAAAATTCCCAGTAACTTCCTTGTGTTGTGTGTGTTCAACTCACAGAGTTGAACTTTCATTTACACAGAGCAGATTTGAAACACTCTTTTTGTGGAATTTGCAAGTGGAGATTTCAAGCGCTTTGAGGCCAAAGGCAGAAAAGGAAATATCTTCGTTTCAAAACTAGACAGAATCATTCTCAGAAACTGCTCTGCGATGTGTGCGTTCAACTCTCAGAGTTTAACTTTTCTTTTCATTCAGCAGTTTGGAAACACTCTGTTTGTAAAGTCTGCACGTGGATATTTTGACCACTTAGAGGCCTTCGTTGCAAACGGGTTTTTTTCCTGTAAGGCTAGACAGAAGAATTCCCAGTAACTTCCTTGTGTTGTGTGCATTCAACTCACAGAGTTGAACGTTCCCTTAGACAGAGCAGATTTGAAACACTCTATTTGTGCAATTTGAAAGTGTAGATTTCAAGCGCTTTAAGGTCAACGGCAGAAAAGGAAATATCTTCGTTTCAAAACTAGACAGAATCATTCCCACAAACTGCGTTGTGATGTGTTCGTTTAACTCACGGAGTTTAACCTTTCTGTTCATAGAGCAGTTAGGAAACACTCTGTTTGTAAATTCTGCAAGTGGATATTCAGACCTCTTTGAGGCCTTCGTTGGAAACGGGATTTCTTCATATTATGCTAGACAGAAGAATTCTCAGTAACTTCCTTGTGTTGTGTGTATTCAACTCACAGAGTTGAATGATCCTTTACACAGAACAGTCTTGAAACACTCTTTTTGTGGAATTTGCAAGTGGAGATTTCAGCCGCTTTGAGGTCTATGGTAGAATAGGAAATATCTTCCTATAGAAACTAGACAGAATGATTCTCAGAAACTCCTTTGTGATGTGTGCGTTCAACTCACAGAGTTTAACCTTTCTTTTCATAGAGCAGTTAGGAAACACTCTGTTTGTAAAGTCTACAAGTGGATATTCAGACATCTTTGAGGCTTTCGTTGGAAACGGGATTTCTTCATATTCTGCTAGACAGAAGAATTCTCAGTAACTTCTTGTGTTGTGTGTATTCAACTGACAGAGTTGAACTTTCATTTAGACAGATCAGATTTGAAACACTGTTTTCGTGGAATTTGCAAGTGGAGGTTTCAAGCGCTTTGAAGCCAAAGGCAGAAAAGGAAATATCTTCCTATAAAAACCAGACAGAAACATTCTCAAAAACTGCTCTGTGATGTGTGCGTTCAACTCTCAGAGTTTAATTTTCTTTTCATTCAGCAGTTTGTAAACACTCTGTTTGTAAAGTCTGCACGTGGATATTTTGACCACTTAGAGGCCTTCGTTGGAAACGAGTTTTTTTCATGTAAGGCTAGACAGAAGAATTCCCAGTAACTTCCTTGTGTTGTGTTCATTCAACTCACAGAGTTGAACGTTCCCTTAGACAGAGTAGATTTGAAACACTCTTTTTGTGCAATTGGCAAGTGGAGATTTCAAGCGCTTTAAGGTCAATGGCAGAAAAGGAAATATCTTCGTTTCAAAACTAGACAGAATGATTCTCAGAAACTTCATTGTGACGTGTGCGTTCAACTCACAGAGTTTAACCTTTCTTTTCATAGAGCAGTTAGGAAACAGTCTGTTTGTCAATTCTGTAAGTGGATATTCTGACATCTTCTGGCCTTCGTTGGAAACGGGATTTCTTCATATTCTGCTAGACAGAAGAATTCTCAGAAACTTCCTTGTGTTGTGTGTTTTCAACTCACAGAGTTGAACGATCCTTTACACAGAGCAGACTTGAAACACTCCTTTTGTGGAATTTGCAAGTGGAGATTTCAGCCGCTTTGAGGTCAATGGTAGAATAGGAAATATCTTCCTATAAAAACTAGACAGAATGATTCTCAGAAACTTCATTGTGATGTGTGCGTTCAACTCACAGACTTTAACCTTTCTTTTCATAGAGCAGTTAGGAAACACTCTGTTTGTAAAGTCTGCAAGTGGATATTCAGACCTCTTTGAGGCCTTCGTTGGAAACTGGTTTTTTTCATGTAAGGCTAGACAGAAGAATTCCCAGTAACTTCCTTGTGTTGTGTGTGTTCAACTCACAGAGTTGAACTTTCATTTACACAGAGCAGATTTGAAACACTCTTTTTGTGGAATTTGCAAATGGAGATTTCAAGCGCTTTGAGGCCAAAGGCAGAAAAGGAAACATCTTCGTATAAAAACTACACAGAATCATTCTCAGAAACTGCTCTGCGATGTGTGCGTTCAACTCTCAGAGTTTAACTTTGCTTTTCATTCAGCAGTTTGGAAACACTCTGTTTGTAAAGTCTGCACGTGGATAATTTGACCACTTAGAGGCCTTCGTTGGAAACGGGTTTTTTTCATGTAAGGCTAGACAGAAGAATTCCCAGTAACTTCATTGTGTTGTGTGCATTCAACTCACAGAGTTGAACGTTCCCTTAGACAGAGCAGATTTGAAACACTCTATTTGTGCAATTTGCAAGTGTAGATTTCAAGCGCTTTATGGTCAACGGCAGAAAAGGAAATATCTTCGTTTCAAAACTAGACAGAATCATTCCCACAAACTGCGTAGTGATGTGTTCGTTCAACTCACAGAGTTTAACCTTTCTGTTCATAGAGCAGTTAGGAAACACTCTGTTTGTAAAGTCTGTAAGTGGATATTCTGACATCTTGTGGCCTTCGTTGGAAACGGGATTTCTTCATATTCTGCTAGACAGAAGAATTCTCAGAAACTTCCTTGTGTTGTGTGTATTCAACTCACAGAGTTGAACGATCCTTTACAGAGAGCAGACTTGAAACACTCTTTTTGTGGAATTTGCAAGTGGAGATTTCAGCCGCTTTGAGGTCAAAGGTAGAATAGGAAATATCTTCCTACAGAAACTAGACAGAATGATTCTCAGAAACTCCTTTGTGATGTGTGCGTTCAACTCACAGAGTTTACCCTTTCTTTTCATAGAGCAGTTAGGAAACACTCTGTTTGTAAAGTCTGCAAGTGGATATTCAGACGTCCTTGAGGCTTTCGTTGGAAACGGGATTTCTTCATATTCTGCTAGAAAGAAGAATTCCCAGTAACTTCCTTGTGATGTGTGTGTTCAACTCACAGAGTTGAACTTTCATTTACACAGAGCAGATTTGAAACACTCTTTTTGTGGAATTTGCAAGTGGAGATTTCAAGCGCTTTGAGGCCAAAGGCAGAAAAGGAAATATCTTCGTATAAAAACTACACAGAAATCATTCTCAGTAAACTGCTGCGTGATGTGTGCGTTCAACTCTCAGAGTTTAACTTTTCTTTTCATTCAGCAGTTTGGAAACACTCTGTTTGTAAAGTCTGCACGTGGAAATTTTGACCACTTAGAGGCCTTCGTTGGAAACGGGTTTTTTTCATGTAAGGCTAGACAGAAGAATTCCCAGTAACTTCCTTGTGTTGTGTACATTCAACTCACAGAGTTGAACGTTCCCTTAGACAGAGCAGATTTGAAACACTCTTTTTGTGCAATTGGCAAGTGGTGATTTCAGCCGCTTTGAGGTCAATGGTATAAAAGGAAATATCTTCGTATTAAAACTAGACAGAATCATTCTCAGAAACTGCTCTGCGATGTGTGCGTTCAACTCTCACAGTTTAACTTTTCTTTTCATTCAGCAGTTTGGAAACACTCTGTTTGTAAAGTCTGCACGTGGATAATTTGACCACTTAGAGGCCTTCGTTGGAAACGGGTTTTTTTCATGTAAGGCTGGACAGAAGAATTCTCAGTAACTTCCTTTTGTTGTGTGTATTCAACTCACAGAGTTGAACGATCCTTTACACAGAGCAGACTTGTAACACTCTTTTTGTGGAATTTGCAAGTGGAGATTTCAGCCGCTTTGAAGTCAAAGGTAGAAAAGGAAATATCTTCCTATAAAAACTAGACAGAATGATTCTCAGAAACTTCTTTGTGATGTGTACGTTCAACTCACAGAGTTTAACCTTTCTTTTCATAGAGCAGTTAGGAAACACTCTGTTTGTAAACTCTGCAAGTGGATATTCAGACCTCTTTGAGGCCTTCGTTGGAAACGGGATTTCTTCATACTATGCTAGACAGAAGAATTCTCAGTAACTTCCTTGTGTTGTGTGTATTCAACTCACAGAGTTGAACGATCCTTTACACAGAGCAGTCTTGAAACACTCTTTTTGTGGAATTTGCAAGTGGAGATTTCAGCCGCTTTGAGGTCAATAGTAGAAAAGGAAATATCGTCGTAGAAAAACTAGACAGAAATCATTCTCAGAAACTGCTCTGCGATGTGTGCGTTCAACTCTCAGCGTTTAACTTTTCTTTTCATTCAGAAGTTTGGAAACACTCTGTTTGTAAAGTCTGCACGTGGATAACTTGACCACTTAGAGGCCTTCGTTGGAAACGGGTTTTTTTCATGTAAGGCTAGACAGAAGAATTCCCAGGAACTTCCTTGTGTTGTGTACATTCAACTCACAGAGTTCAACGTTCCCTTAGACAGAGCAGATTTGAAACACTCTTTTTGTGCAATTGGCAAGTGGTGATTTCAGCCTCTTTGAGGTCAATGGTAGAAAAGGAAATATCTTCGTATAAAAACTAGACAGAATGATTCTCAGAAACTTCTTTGTGAAGTGTGCGTTCAACTCACAGTGTTTAACCTTTCTTTTCATAGAGCAGTTAGGAAACACTCTGTTTGTAAACTCTGCAAGTGGATATTCAGACCTCTTTGAGGCCTTCGTTGGAAACGGGATTTCTTCATACTGTGCTAGACAGAAGAATTCTCAGTAGCTTCATTGTGTTGTGTGTATTCAACTCACAGATTTCAACGATCCTTTACACAGAGCAGACTTGAAACCCTCTTTTTCTGGAATTTGCAAGTGTAGATTTCAGCCGCTTTGAGGTCAATGGTAGAATAGGAAATATCTTCCTATAGAAACTAGACAGAATGATTCTCAGAAACTCCTTTGAGATGTGTGTGTTCAACTCACAGAGTTTAACCTTTCTTTTCATAGAGCAGTTAGGAATCACTCTGTTTGTAAAGTCTGCAAGTGGATATTCAGACCTCTTTGAGGCCTTCGTTGGAAACGGGTTTTTTCATATAAGGCTAGACAGAAGAATTCTCAGTAACTTCCTTGTGTTGTGTGTATTCAACTCACAGAGTTGAACGATCCTTTACACAGAGCAGATTTGTAACACTCTTTTTGTGGAATTTGCAAGTGGAGATTTCAAGCGCTTTGAGGCCAAAGGCAGAAAAGGAAATATCTTCGTTTCAAAACTAGACAGAATCATTCTCAGAAACTGCTCTGTGATGTGTGCGTTCAACTCTCAGAGTTTAACTTTTCTTTTCATTCAGCAGTTTGGAAACACTCTGTTTGTAAAGTCTGCACGTGGATAATTTGACCACTTAGAGGCATTCGTTGGAAACGGGTTTTTTTCATGTAACGCTAGACAGAAGAATTCCCAGTAACTTCCTTGTGTTTTGTGCATTCAACTCACAGAGTTGAACGTTCCCTTAGACAGAGCAGATTTGAAACACTCTATTTGTGCAATTTGCAAGTGTAGATTTCAAGCGCTTTAAGGTCAATGGCAGAAAAGGAAATATCTTCGTTTCAAAACTAGACAGAATGATTCTCAGAAACTCCTTTGTGATGTGTGCGTTCAACTCACAGAGTTTAACCTTTCTTTTAATAGAGCAATTAGGAAACACTCTGTTTCTAAAGTCTGCAAGTGGATATTCAGACCTCTTAGCGGCCTTCGTTGGAAACGAGATTTCTTCATATTTTGCTAGACAAAAGAATTCTCAGTAACTTCCTTGTGTTGTGTGCATTCAACTCACAGAGTTGAACGATCCTTTACACAGAGCAGATTGGAAACACTCTTTTTGTGGAATTGCAAGAGGAGATTTCAGCTGCTTTGAGGTCAATGGTAGAAAAGGAAATATCTTCGTATGAAAACTAGACAGAATGATTCTCATAAACTCCTTTGTGATGTGTGCGTTCAACTCACAGAGTTTAACCTTTCTTTTCATAGAGCAGTTAGGAAACACTCTGTTTGTAAAGTCTGCAATTGGATATTCAGACCCCTTTGAGGCCTTTGTTGGAAACGGGATTTCTTCATATTATGCTAGACAGAAGAATTCTCAGTAACTTCCTTGTGTTGTGTGTATTCAACTGACAGAGTTGAACTTTCATTTAGAGAGAGCAGATTTGTAACACTGTTTTTGTGGAATGTGCAAGTGGAGATTTCAAGCGCTTTGGGGCCAAAGGCAGAAAAGGAAATATCTTCGTATAAAAACTAGACAGAATCATTCTCAGAAACTGCTCTGCGATGTGTGCGTTCAACTCTCAGAGTTTAACTTTTCTTTTCATTCAGAAGTTTGGAAACACTGTGTTTGTAAAGTCTGCACGTGGATAACTTGACCACTTAGAGGCCTTCGTTGGAAACGGGTTTTTTTCATGTAAGGCTAGACAGAAGAATTCCCAGTAACTTCCTTGTGTTGTGTGCATTCAACTCACAGAGTTGAACGTTCCCTTAGACAGAGCAGATTTGAAACACTCTATTTGTGCAATTTGCAAGTGTAGATTTCAAGCGCTTTAAGGTCAATGACAGAAAAGGAAATATCTTCGTTTCAAAACTAGACAGAATCATTCCCACAAACTGCGTTGTGATGTGTTCGTTCAACTCACAGAGTTTAACCTTTCTGTTCATAGAGCAGTTAGGAAACACTCTGTTTGTAATGTCTGTAAGTGGATAATCTGACATCTTGTGGCCTTCGTTGGAAACGGGATTTCTTCATATTCTGCTAGACAGAAGAATTCTCAGTAACTTCCTTGTGTTGTGTGTATTCAAATCACAGAGTTGCACGATCCTTTACACAGAGCAGACTTGAAACACTCTTTTTGTGGAATTTGCAAGTGGAGATTTCAGCCGCTTTGAGGTCAATGGTAGAATAGGAAATATCTTCCTATAGAAACTAGACAGAATGATTCTCAGAAACTCCTTTGTGATGTGTGTGTTCAACTCACAGAGTTTAACCTTTCTTTTCATAGAGCAGTTAGTAAACACTCTGTTTATGAAGTCTGCAAGTGGATATTCAGACCCCTTTGAGGCCTTCGTTGGAAACGGGATTTACTTCATATTCTGCTAGACAGAAGAATTCCCAGTAACTTCCTTGTGTTGTGTGTGTTCAACTCACAGAGTTGAACTTTCATTTACACAGAGCAGATTTGAAACACTCTTTTTGTGGAATTTGCAAATGGAGATTTCAAGCGCTTTGATTCCAAAGGCAGAAAAGGAAATATCTTCGTTTCAAAACTAGACAGAATCATTCTCAGAAACTGCTCTGCGATGTGTGCCTTCAACTCTCAGAGTTTAACTTTTCTTTTCATTCAGCAGTTTGGAAACACTCTGTTTGTAAAGTCTGCACGTGGATATTTTGACCACTTAGAGGCCTTCGTTGGAAATGGGTTTTTTTCCTGTAAGGCTAGACAGAAGAATTCCCAGTAACTTCCTTGTGTTGTGTACATTCAACTCACAGAGTTGAACGTTCCCTTAGACAGAGCAGATTTGAAACACTCTTTTTGTGCAATTGGCAATTGGAGATTTCAAGCGCTTTAAGGTCAATGGCAGAAAAGGAAATATCTTCGTTTCAAAACTAGACAGAATCATTCCCAAAAACTGCGTTGTGATGTGTTCGTTCATCTCACAGAGTTTAACCTTTCTTTTCATAGAGCAGTTAGGAAACAGTCTGTTTGTAAATTCTGTAAGTGGATATTCTGACATCTTGTGGCCTTCGTTGGAAACGGGATTTCTTCATATTCTGCTAGACAGAAGAATTCTCAGTAACTCCCTTGTGTTGTGTGTATTCAACTCACAGAGTTGAACGATCCTTTACACAGAGCAGACTTGAAACACTCTTTTTGTGGAATTTGCAAGTGGAGATTTCAGCCGCTTTGAGGTCAATAGTAGAAAAGGAAATATCTTCGTAGAAAAACTAGACAGAATGATTCTCATAAACTCCTTTGTGATGTGTGCGTTCAACTCACAGAGTTTAACCTTTCTTTTCATAGAGCAGTTAGGAAACACTCTGTTTGTAAAGTCTGCAAGTGGATATTCAGACCTCCTTGAGGCCTTCGTTGGAAACGGGATTTCTTCATATTATGCTAGACAGAAGAATTCTCAGTAACTTCCCTTGTGTTGTGTGTATTCAACTGACAGAGTTGAACTTTCATTTAGAGAGAGCAGATTTGAAACACTGTTTTTGTGGAATTTGCAATTGGAGATTTCAAGCGCTTTGGGGCCAAAGGCAGAAAAGGAAATATCTTCGTATAAAAACTAGACAGAATCATTCTCAGAAACTGCTGCGTGATGTGTGCGTTCAACCCTCAGAGTTTAACTTTTCTTTTCATTCAGCGGTTTGGAAACACTCTGTTTGTATAGTCTGCACGTGGATATTTTGACCACTTAGAGGCCTTCGTTGGAAACGGGATTTTTTCATGTAAGGCTAGACAGAAGAATTCCTAGTAACTTCCTTGTGTTGTGTACATTCAACTCACAGAGTTGAACGTTCCCTTAGACAGAGCAGATTTGAAACACTCTTTTTGTGCAATTGGCAAATGGAGATTTCAAGCGCTTTAAGGTCAATGGCAGAAAAGGAAATATCTTCGTTTCAAAACTAGACAGAATGATTCTCAGAAACTCCTTTGTGATGTGTGCGTTCAACTCACAGAGTTTAACTTTTCTTTTCATAGAGCAGTTAGCAAACACTCTGTTTGTAAAGTCTGCAAGTGGATATTCAGACCTCTTTGAGGCCTTCGTTGGAATCGGGATTTCTTCAAATTCTGCTAGGCAGAAGAATTCTCAGTAACTTCCTTGTGTTGTGTGTATTCAACTCACAGAGTTGAACGATCCTTTACACAGAGCAGACTTGATACACTCTTCTTATGGAATTTGAAAGTGTAGATTTCAGCCGCTTTGAGGTCAATGGTAGAATAGGAAATATCTTCCTATGGAAACTAGACAGAATGATTCTCAGAAACTCCTTTGTGATGTGTGCGTTCAACTCATAGAGTTTAACCTTTCTTTTCATAGAGCAGTTAGGAAACACTCTGTTTGTAAAGTCTGCAAGTGGATATTCAGACCTCTTTGAGGCCTTCGTTGGAAACGGGTTTTTTTCATATAAGGCTAGACAGAAGAATTCTCAGTAACTTCCTTGTGTTTTGTGTATTCAACTGACAGAGTTGAAGTTTCATTTAGAGAGAGCAGATTTGAAACACTGTTTTTGTGGAATTTGCAAGTGGAGATTTCAAGCGCTTTGGGACCAAAGGCAGAAAAGGAAATATCTTCGTATAAAAACTAGACAGAATCATTCTCAGAAACTGCTCTGCGATGTGTGCGTTCAACTCTCAGAGTTTAACTTTTCTTTTCATTCAGCAGTTTGGAAACACTCTGTTTGTAAAGTCTGCACCTGGATATTTTGACCACTTAGAGGCCTTCTTTGGAAACGGGTTTTTTTCATGTAAGGCTAGACAGAAGAATTCCCAGTAACTTCCTTGTGTTGTGTGCATTCAACTCACAGAGTTGAATGTTCCTTTAGACAGAGCAGATTTGAAACACTCTTTTTGTGCAATTTGCAAGTGGAGATTTCAAGCGCTTTAAGGTCAATGGCAGAAAATGAAATATCTTCGTTTCAAAACTACACAGAATCATTCCCACAAACTGCGTTGTGATGTGTTCGTTCAACTCACAGAGTTTAACCTTTCTTTTCATAGAGCAGTTAGGAAACAGTCTGTTTGTAAATTCTGTAAGTGGATATTCTGACATCTTGTGGCCTTCGTTGGAAACGGGATTTCTTCATACTGTGCTAGACAGAAGAATTCTCAGTAACTTCTTTGTGTTGTGTGTATTCAACTCACAGAGTTGAACGATCCTTTACACAGAGCAGACTTGAAACACTCTATTTGTGGAATTTGCAAGTGGAGATTTCAGCCGCTTTGAGGTCAATGGTAGAATAGGAAATATCTTCCTATAGAAACTAGACAGAATGATCCTCAGAAACTCCTTTGTGATGTGTGCGTTCAACTCACAGAGTTTAACCTTTCTTTTCATAGAGCAGTTAGGAAACACTCTGTTTGTAAAGTCTGCAAGTGGATATTCAGACCTCCTTGAGGCCTTCGTTGGAAACGGGATTTCTTCATATTATGCTAGACAGAAGAATTCTCAGTAACTTCCTTGTGTTGTGTGTATTCAACTGACAGAGTTGAACTTTCATTTAGAGAGAGCAGATTTGAAACACTGTTTTTGTGGAATTTGCAAGTGGAGATTTCAAGCGCTTCGGGGCCAAAGGCAGAAAAGGAAATATCTTCGTATAAAAACTAGACAGAATCATTCTCAGAAACTGCTCTGCGATGTGTGCGTTCAACTCTCAGAGTTTAACTTTTCTTTTCATTCAGCAGTTTGGAAACACTCTGTTTGTAAAGTCTGCACGTGGATAATTTGACCACTTAGAGGCCTTCTTTGGAAACGGGTTTTTTTCATATAAGGCTAGACAGAAGAATTCCCAGTAACTTCCTTGTGTTGTGTGCATTCAACTCACAGAGTTGAACGTTCCCTTAGACAGAGCAGATTTGAAACACTCTATTTGTGCAATTTGCAAGTGTAGATTTCAAGCGCTTTAAGGTCAACGGCAGAAAAGGAAATATCTTCGTTTCAAAACTAGACAGAATCATTCCCACAAACTGCGTTGTGATGTGTTCGTTCAACTCACAGAGTTTAACCTTTCTGTTCATAGAGCAGTTAGGAAACACTCTGTTTGTAAAGTCTGTAAGTGGATATTCTGACATCTTGTGGCCTTCGTTGGAAACGGGATTTCTTCATATTCTTCTAGACAGAAGAATTCTCAGTAACTTCCTTGTGTTGTGTGTATTCAACTCACAGAGTTGAACGATCCTTTACACAGAGCAGACTAGTAACACTCTTTTTGTGGAATTTGCAAGTGGAGATTTCAGCCGCTTTGAAGTCAAAGGTAGAAAAGGAAATATCTTCCTATAAAAACTAGACAGAATGATTCTGAGAAACTCCTTTGTGCTGTGTGCATTCAACTCACAGAGTTTAACCTTTCTTTTCATAGAGCAGTTAGGAAACACTCTGCTTGTAAAGTCTGCAAGTGGATACTCAGACCTCCTTGAGGCCTTCGTTGGAAACGGGATTTCTTCCTATTATGCTAGACAGAAGGATTCCCAGTAACTTCCTTGTGTTGTGTGTGTTCAACTCACAGAGTTGAACTTTCATTTACAAAGAGCAGATTTGAAACACTCTTTTTGTGGAATTTGCCAGTGGAGATTTCAAGCGCTTTGAGGCCAAAGGCAGAAAAGGAAATATCTTCGTATAAAAACTAGACAGAATCATTCTCAGAAACTGCTCTGCAATGTGTGCGTTCAACTCTCAGAGTTTAACTTTTCTTTTCATTCAGCAGTTTGTAAACACTCTGTTTGTAAAGTCTGCACGTCGATGTTTTGACCACTTAGAGGCCTTCGTTGGAAACGGGTTTTTTTCCTGTAACGCTAGACAGAAGAATTCCCAGTAACTTCCTTGTGTTGTGTACATTCAACTCACAGAGTTGAACGTTCCCTTAGACAGAGCAGATTTGAAACACTCTTTTTGTGCAATTGGCAAGTGGTGATTTCAGCCGCTTTGAGGTCAATGGTAGAAAAGGAAATATCTTCGTATAAAAACTAGACAGAATCATTCCCACAAACTGCGTTGTGATGTGTTCGTTCAACTCACAGGGTTTAACCTTTCTGTTCATAGAGCAGTTAGGAAACACTCTGTTTGTAAAGTCTGTAAGTGGATATTCTGACATACTTGTGGCCATCGTTGGAAACGGGATTTCTTCATATTCTGCTAGACAGAAGAATTCTCAGTAACTTCCTTGTGTTGTGTGTATTCTACTCACAGAGTTGAACGATCCTTTACACACAGCAGACTTGAAACACTCTTTTTGTGGAAATTGCAAGTGGAGATTTCAGCCGCTTTGAGGTCAATGGTAGAATAGGAAATATCTTCCTATAGAAACTAGACAGAATGATTCTCAGAAACTCCTTTGTGATGTGTGTGTTCAACTCACAGAGTTTCACCTTTCTTTTCATAGAGCAGTTAGGAAACACTCTGTTTGTAAAGTCTGCAAGTGGATATTCAGACCTCCTTGAGGACTTCGTTGGAAACGGGATTTCTTCATATTCTGCTAGACAGAAGAATTCTCAGTAACTTCCTTGTGTTGTGTTTATTGAACTGACAGAGTTGAACTTTCATTTAGAGAGAGCAGATTTGAAACACTGTTTTTGTGGAATTTGCAAGTGGAGATTTCAAGCGCTTTGGGGCCAAAGGCAGAAAACGAAATATCTTCGTATAAAAACTAGACAGAATCATTCTCAGAAACTGCTGCGTGATGTGTGCGTTCAACTCTCAGAGTTTAACTTTTCTTTTCATTCAGCGGTTTGGAAACACTCTGTTTGTAAAGTCTGCACGTGGATATTTTGACCACTTAGAGGCCTTCGTTGGAAACGGGTTTTTTTCATGTAAGGCTAGACAGAAGAATTCCCAGTAACTTCCTTGTGTTGTGTACATTCAACTCACAGAGTTGAACGTTCCCTTAGACAGAGCAGATTTGAAACACTCTTTTTGTGCAATTGGCAAGTGGAGATTTCAAGCGCTTTAAGGTCAATGGCAGAAAGGGAAATATCTTCGTTTCAAAACTAGACAGAATCATTCCCACAAACTGCGTTGTGATGTGTTCGTTCAACTCACAGAGTTTAACCTTTCTTTTCATAGAGCAGTTAGGAAACACTCTGTTGGTAAATTCTGTAGGTGGATATTCTGACATCTTGTGGCCTTCGTTGGAAACGGGATTTCTTCATATTCTGCTAGACAGAAGAATTCTCAGAATCTTCCTTGTGTTGTGTGTATTCAACTCACAGAGTTGAACGATCCTTTACACAGAGCAGACTTGAAACACTCTTTTTGTGGAATTTGCAAGTGGACATTTCAGCCGCTTTGAGGTCCATGGTAGAAAAGGAAATATCTTCGTACAAAAACTAGACAGAATGATTCTCAGAATCTTCTTTGTGATGTGTGCGTTCAACTCACAGAGTTTAACCTTTCTTTTCATAGAGCAGTTAGGAAACACTCTGTTTGTAAATTCTGCAAGTGGATATTCAGACCTCATTGAGGCCTTCGTTGAAAACGGGATTTCTTCATACTATGCTAGACAGAAGAATTCCCAGTAACTTCCTTGTGTTGTGTGTGTTCAACTCACAGAGTTGAACTTTCATTTACACAGAGCAGATTTGAAACACTCTTTTTGTGGAATTTGCAAATGGAGATTTCAAGCGCTTTGAGACCAAAGGCAGAAAAGGAAATATCTTCGTATAAAAACTAGACAGAATCATTCTCAGAAACTGCTGCGTGATGTGTGCGTTCAACTCTCAGAGTTTAACTTTTCTTTTCATTCAGCAGTTTGGAAACACTCTGTTTGTAAAGTCTGCACGTGGAAATTTTGACCACTTAGAGGCCTTCGTTGGAAACGGGTTTTTTTCATGTAAGGCTAGACAGAAGAATTCCCAGTAACTTCCTTGTGTTGTGTACATTCAACTCACAGAGTTGAACGTTCCCTTAGACAGAGCAGATTTGAAACACTCTTTTTGTGCAATTGGAAAGTGGAGATTTTAAGCGCTTTAAGGTCAATGGCAGAAAAGGAAATATCTCCGTTTCAAAACTAGACAGAATCATTCCCACAAACTGCGTTGTCATGTGTTCGTTCAACTCACAGAGTTTAACCTTTCTTTTCATAGAGCAGTTAAGAAACAGTCTGTTTGTAAATTCTGTAAGTGGATATTCTGACATCTTGTGGCCTTCGTTGGAAACGGGATTTCTTCATATTCTGCTAGACAGAATAATTCTCAGTAACTTCCTTGTGTTGTGTGTATTCAACTCACAGAGTTGAACGATCCTTTACAGAGAGCAGACTTGAAAAACTCTTTTTGTGGAATTTGCAAGTGGAGATTTCAGCCGCTTTGAGGTCAATGGTAGAAAAGGAAATATCTTCGTATAAAGAATAGACAGAATGATTCTCAGAAACTTCATTGTGATGTGTGCGTTCAACTCACAGAGTTTAACCTTTCTTTTCATAGAGCAGTTAGGAAACACTCTGTTTGTAAACTCTGCAAGTGGATATTCACACCCCTTTGAGGCCTTCGTTGGAAACGGGATTTCTTCATACTGTGCTAGACAGTAGAATTCTCAGTAACTTCCTTGTGTTGTGTGTATTCAACTCACAGAGTTGAACGATCCTTTACACAGAGCGGACTTGAAACACTCTTTTTGTGGAATTTGCAAGTGGAGATTTCAGCCGCTTTGAGGTCAATGGTAGAAAAGGAAATATCTTCGTATAAAAACTAGACAGAATCATTCTCAGAAACTGCTCTGCGATGTGTGCGTTCAACTCTCAGAGTTTAACTTTTCTTTTCATTCAGCAGTTTGGAAACACTCTGTTTGTAAAGTCTGCACGTGGATATTTTGACCACTTAGAGGCCTTTGTTGGAAACGGGTTTTTTTCCTGTAAGGCTAGACAGAAGAATTCCCAGTAACTTCCTTGCGTTGTGTACATTCAACTCACAGAGTTGAACGTTCCCTTAGACAGAGCAGATTTGAAACACTCTTTTTGTGCAATTGGCAAGTGGAGATTTCAAGCGCTTTAAGGTCAATGGCAGAAAAGGAAATATCTTCGTTTCAAAACTAGACAGAATCATTCCCACAAACTGCGTTGTGATGTGTTCGTTCAACTCACAGAGTTTAACCTTTCTGTTCATAGAGCAGTTAGGAAACACTGTGTAAAGTCTGTTAGTGGATATTCTGACATCCTTGTGGCCTTCGTTGGAAACGGGATTTCTTCATATTCTGCTAGACAGAATAATTCTCAGTAACTCCCTTGTGTTGTGTGTATTCAACTCACAGAGTTGAACGATCCTTTACACAGAGCAGACTTGAAACACACTTTTGGTGGAATTTGCAAGTGGAGATTTCAGCCGCTTTGAGGTCAATGGTAGAAAAGGAAATATCTTCGTATAAAGACTAGACAGAATGATTCTCAGAAACTCCTTTGTGATGTGTGTGTTCAACTCACAGAGTTTAACCTTTCTTTTCATAGAGCAGTTAGGAAACACTCTGTTTGTAAAGTCTGCAAGTGGATATTCAGACCTCTTTGAAGCCTTCGTTGGAAACGGGTTTTTTTCATATAAGGTTAGACAGAAGAATTCTCAGTAACTTCCTTGTGTTGTGTGTATTCAACTGACAGAGTTGAACTTTCAGTTGGAGAGAGCAGATTTGAAACACTGTTTTTGTGGAATTTGCAAGTGGAGATTTCAAGCGCTTTGGGGCCAAAGGCAGAAAAGGAAATATCTTCGTATAAAAACTAGACAGAATCATTCTCAGAAACTGCTGCGTGATGTGTGCGTTCAACTCTCAGAGTTTAACTTTTCTTTTCATTCAGCGGTTTCGAAACACTCTGTTTGTAAAGTCTGCACGTGGATATTTTGACCACTTAGAGGCCTTCGTTGGAAACGGGTTTTTTGCATGTAAGGCTAGACAGAAGAATTCTCAGTAACTTCCGTGTGTTGTGTGTATTCAACTCAAAGAGTTGAACGATCCTTTACACAGAGCAGACTTGTAACACTCTTTTTGTGGAATTTGCAAGTGGTGATTTCAGCCGCTTTGAAGTCAAAGGTAGAAAATGAAATATCTTCCTATAAAAACTAGACAGAATCATTCCCACAAACTGCGTTGTGATGTGTTCGTTCAACTCACAGAGTTTAACCTTTCTTTTCATAGAGCACTTAGGAAACAGTCTGTTTGTAAATTCTGTAAGTGGATATTCTGACATCTTGTGGCCTTCGTTGGAAACGGGATTTCTTCATATTCTGCTAGACAGAAGAATTCTCAGAAACTTCCTTGTGTTGTGTGTTTTCAACTCACAGAGTTGAACGATCCTTTACACAGAGCAGACTTGAAACACTCTTTTTGTGGAATTTGCAAGTGGAGACTTCAGCCGCTTTTAGGTCAATGGTAGAATAGGAAATATCTTCCTATAAAAACTAGACAGAATGATTCTCAGAAACTCCTTTGTGATGTGTGCGTTCAACTCACAGAGTTTAACCTTTCTTTTCATAGAGCAGTTAGGAAACACTCTGTTTGTAAAGTCTGCAAGTGGATATTCAGACCTCTTTGAGGCCTTCGTTGGAAACGGGTTTTTTACAAGATAAGGCTTGACAGAAGAATTCCCAGTAACTTCCTTGTGTTGTGTGTGTTCAACTCACAGAGTTGAACTTTCATTTACACAGAGCAGATTTGAAACACTCTTTTTTTGGAATTTGCAAGTGGAGATTTCAAGCGCTTTGAGGCCAAAGGCAGAAAAGGAAATGTCTTCGTTTCAAAACTAGACAGAATCATTCTCAGAAACTGCTCTGCGATGTGTGCGTTCAACTCTCAGAGTTTAACTTTTCTTTTCATTCAGCAGTTTGGAAACACTCTGTTTATAACGTCTGCACGTGGATAACTTGACCACTTAGAGGACTTCGTTGGAAACGGTTTTTTTTCCTGTAAGGCTAGACAGAAGAATTCCCAGTAACTTCCTTGCGTTGTGTACATTCAACTCACAGAGTTGAACGTTCCCTTAGACAGAGCAGATTTGAAACACTCTTTTTGTGCAATTGGCAAGTGGAGATTTCAAGCGCTTTAAGGTCAATGGCAGAAAAGGAAATATCTTCGTTTCAAAACTAGACAGAATGATTCTCATGAACTCCTTTGTGATGTGTGCGTTCAACTCACAGAGTTTAACCTTTCTTTTCATAGAGCAGTTAGGAAACACTCTGTTTGTAAAGTCTGCAAGTGGATATTCAGACCTCCTTTTGGCCTTCGTTGGAAACGGGATTTCTTCATATTCTGCTAGACAGAAGAATTCTCAGTAACTTCCTTGTGTTGTGTTTATTCAACTCACAGAGTTGAATGATCCTTTACACAGAGCAGACTTGAAACACACTTTTTGTGGAAATTGCAAGTGGAGATTTCAGCCGCTTTGAGGTCAATGGTAGAAAAGTAAATATCTTCGTATAAAGACTAGACAGAATGATTCTCAGAAACTCCTTTGTTATGTGTGCGTTCAACTCACAGAGTTTAACCTTTCTTTTCATAGAGCAGTTAGGAAACACTCTGTTTGTAAAGTCTGCAAGTGGATATTCAGACCTCTTTGAGGCCTTCGTTGGAAACGGGTTTTTTTCATATAAGTCTAGACAGAAGAATTCCCAGTAACTTCCTTGTGTTGTGTGTGTTCAACTCACACAGTTGAACTTTCATTTACACAGAGCAGATTTGAAACACTCTTTTTGTGGAATTTGAAAATGGAGATTTCAAGCGCTTTGAGGCCAAAGGCAGAAAAGGAAATATGTTCGTATAAAAACTAGACAGAATCATTCTCAGAAACTGCTCTGCGATGTGTGCGTTCAACTCTCAGAGTTTAACTTTTCTTTTCATTCAGCAGTTTGGAAACACTCTGTTTGTAACGTCTGCACGTGAATAATTTGACCACTTAGAGGCCTTCGTTGGAAACGGGTTTTTTTCATGTAAGGCTAGACAGAAGAATTCCCAGTAACTTCCTTGTGTTGTGTGCATTCAACTCACAGAGTTGAACGTTCCCTTAGACAGAGCAGATTTGAAACACTCTATTTGTGCAATTTGCAAGTGTAGATTTCAAGCGCTTTAAGGTCAATGGCAGAAAAGGAAATATCTTCGTTTCAAAACTAGACAGAATGATTCTCATAAACTCCTTTGTGATGTGTGCATTCAACTCACAGAGTTTCACCTTTCTTTTCATAGAGCAGTTAGAAAAAACTCTGTTTGTAAAGTCTGCAAGTGGATATTCAGACCTCCTTGAGGCCTTCGTTGGAAACGGGATTTCTTCATATTATGCTAGACAGAACAATTCTCAGTAACTTCCTTGTGTTGCGTGTATTCAACTCACAGAGTTGAACGATCCTTTACACAGAGCAGACTTGAAACACTCTTTTTGTGGAATTTGCAAGTGGAGATTTCATCCGCTTTGAGGTCAATGGTGGAAAAGGAAATATCTTCGTATAAAGACTAGACAGAATGATTCTCAGAAACTCCTTTGTGATGTGTGTGTTCAACTCACAGAGTTTAACCTTTCTTTTCATAGAGCAGTTCGTAAACACTCTGTTTATAAAGTCTGCAAGTGGATATTCAGACCCCTTTGAGGCCTTCTTTGGAAACGGGATTTCTTCATATTATGCTAGACAGAAGAATTCCCAGTAACTTCCTTGTGTTGTGTGTGTTCAACTCACACAGTTGAACTTTCATTTACACTGAGCAGATTTGAAACACTCTTTTTGTGGAATTTGCAAATGGAGATTTCAAGCGCTTTGAGGCCAAAGGCAGAAAAGGAAATATCTTCGTATAAAAACTAGACAGAATCATTCTCAGAAACTGCTCTGCGATGTGTGCGTTCAACTCTCAGAGTTTAACTTTTCTTCTCATTCAGCAGTTTGGAAACACTCTGTTTGTAAAGTCTGCACGTGGATAATTTGACCACTTAGAGGCCTTCGTTGGAAACGGGTTTTTTTCATGTAAGGCTAGACAGAAGAATTCCCAGTAACTTCCTTGTGTTGTGTGCATTCAACTCACAGAGTTGAACGTTCCCTTAGACAGAGCAGATTTGAAACACTCTATTTGTGCAATTTGCAAGTGTAGATTTCAAGCGCTTTAAGGTCAACGGCAGAAAAGGAAATATCTTCGTTTCAAAACTAAACAGAATCATTCCCACAAACTGCGTTGTGATGTGTTCGTTCAACTCACAGAGTTTAACCTTTCTGTTCATAGCGCAGTTAGGAAACACTCTGTTTGTAAAGTCTGTAAGTGGATATTCTGACATTTTGTGGCCTTCGTTGGAAATGGGATTTCTTCATATTCTCCTAGACAGAAGAATTCTCAGTAACTTCCTTGTGTTGTGTGTATTCAACTCACAGATTTGAACGATCCTTTACACAGAGCAGACTTGAAACGCTCTTTTTGTGGAATTTGCAAGTGGAGATTTCACCCGCGTTGAAGTCAATGGTAGAAAAGGAAATATCTTCGTATAAAAACTAGACAGAATGATTCTCAGAAACTCCTTTGTGATGTGTGCGTTCAACTCACAGAGTTTAACCTTTCTTTTCATAGAGCAGTTGGGAAACACTCTGTTTGTAAAGTTTGCAAGTGGATATTCAGACATCCTTGAGGCTTTCGTTGGAAACGGGATTTCTTCATATTCTGCTAGAAGGAAGAATTCCCAGTAACTTCCCTTGTGTTGTGTGTGTTCAACTCACAGAGTTGAACTTTCATTTACACAGAGCAGATTTGAAACTCTCTTTTTGTGGAATTTGCAAATGGAGATTTCAAGCGCTTTGAGGTCAAAGGCAGAAAAGGAAATATCTTCGTATAAAAACTAGACAGAATCATTCTCAGAAACTGCTCTGCGATGTGTGCGTTCAACTCTCAGAGTTTAACTTTTCTTTTCATTCAGCAGTTTGGAAACACTCTGTTTGTAAAGTCTGCACGTGGATATTTTGACCACTTAGAGGCCTTCATTGGAAACGGGTTTTTTTCCTGTAAGGCTAGACAGAAGAATTCCCAGTAACTTCCTTGTGTTGTGTGCATTCAACTCACAGAGTTGAACGTTCCCTTAGACAGAGCAGATTTGAAACACTCTATTTGTGCAATTTGCAAGTGTAGATTTCAAGCGCTTTAAGGTCAAGGGCAGAAAAGGAAATATCTTCGTTTCAAAACTAGACAGAATCATTCCCACAAACTGCGTTGTGATGGGTTCGTTCAACTCACAGAGTTTAACCTTTCTGTTCATAGAGCAGTTAGGAAACACTCTGTTTGTAAAGTCTGTAAGTGGATATTCTGACATCTTGTGGCCTTCGTTGGAAACGGGATTACTTCATATTCTGCTAGACAGAAGAATTCTCAGTAACTTCCTTGTGTTGTGTTTATTCAACTCACAGAGTTGAATGATCCTTTACACAGAGCAGACTTGAAACACTCTTTTTGTGGAATTTGTAAGTGGAGATTTCAGCCGCTTTGAGGTCAATAGTAGAAAAGGAAATATCTTCGTAGAAAAACTACACAGAATGATTCTCAGAAACTCCTTTGTGATGTGTGTTTTCAACTCACAGAGTTTAACCTTCCTTTTCATAGAGCAGTTAGTAAACACTCTGTTTATAAAGTCTGCAAGTGGATATTCAGACCCCTTTGAGGCCTTCGTTGGAAACGGGATTTATTCATATTCTGCTACACAGAAGAATTCTCAGTAACTTCCTTGTGTTGTGTGTATTCAACTGACAGAGTTGAACTTTCATTTAGAGACAGCAGATTTGAAACACTGTTTTTGTGGAATTTGCAAGTGGAGATTTCAAGCGCTTTTGGGCCAAAGGCAGAAAAGGAAATATCTTCGTATAAAAACTAGACAGAATCATTCTCAGAAACTGCTCTGCGATGTGTGCGTTCAACTCTCACAGTTTAACTTTTCTTTTCATTCAGCAGTTTGGAAACACTCTGTTTGTAAAGTCTGCACGTGGATAATTTGACCACTTAGAGGCCTTCATTGGAAACGGGTTTTTTTCATGTAAGGCTAGACAGAAGAATTCCCAGTAACTTCCTTGTGTTGTGTGCATTCAACTCACAGAGTTGAACGTTCCCTTAGACAGAGCAGATTTGAAACACTCTATTTGTCCAATTTGCAAGTGTAGATTTCAAGCGCTTTAAGGTCAACGGCAGAAAAGGAAATATCTTCGTTTCAAAACTAGACAGAATCATTCCCACAAACTGCGTTGTGATGTGTTCGTTCAACTCACAGAGTTTAACCTTTCTTTTCATAGAGCAGTTAGGAAACACTCTGTTTGTAAAGTCTCTAAGTGGATATTCTGACATCTTGTGGCCTTCGTTGGAAACGGGATTTCTTCATATTATGCTATACAGAAGAATTCTCAGTAACTTCCTTGCGTTGTGTGTATTCAACTCACAGAGTTGAACGATCCTTTACACAGAGCAGACTTGAAACATTCTTTTTGTGGAATTTGCAAGTGGAGATTTCAGCCGCTTTGAGGTCAATGGTAGAATAGGAAATATCTTCCTATAGAAACTAGACAGAACGATTCTCAGAAACTCCATTGTGATGTGTGCGTTCAACTCACAGAGTTTAACCTTTCTTTTCATAGAGCAGTTAGGAAACACTCTGTTTGTAAAGTCTGCAAGTGGATATTCAGACCTCTTTGAGGCCTTCGTTGGAAACGGGATTTCTTCCTATTCTGCTAGACAGAAGAATTCCCAGTAACTTCCTTGTGCTGTGTGTGTTCAACTCACAGAGTTGAACTTTCATTTACACAGAGCAGATTTGAAACACTCTTTTTGTGGAATTTGCAAATGGAGATTTCAAGCGCTTTGAGGCCAAAGGCAGAAAAGGAAATATCTTCGTTTCAAAACTAGACAGAATGATTCTCAGAAACTGCTCTGCGATGTGTGCGTTCACCTCTCAGAGTTTAACTTTTCTTTTCATTCAGCAGTTTGGAAACCCTCTGTTTGTAAAGTCTGCACGTGCATAATTTGACCACTTAGAGGCCTTCGTTGGAAACGGGTTTTTTTCATGTAAGGCTAGACAGAAGAATTCCCAGTAACTTCCTTGTGTTGTGTACATTCAATTCACAGAGTTGAACGTTCCCTTAGACAGAGCAGATTTGAAACACTCTTTTTGTGCAATTGGCAAATGGAGATTTCAAGCGCTTTAAGGTCAATGGCAGAAAAGGAAATATCTTCGTTTCAAAACTAGACAGAATCATTCCCACAAACTGCGTTGTGAAGTGTTCGTTCAACTCACAGAGTTTAACCTTTCTTTTCATAGAGCAGTTAGGAAACACTCTGTTTGTAAATTCTGTAAGTGGATATTCTGACATCTTGGGGCCTTCGTTGGAAACGGGATTTCTTCATATTCTGCTAGACAGAAGAATTCTCAGTAACTTCCTTGTGTTGTGTGTATTCAACTCACAGAGTTGAATGATCCTTTACACAGTAGCAGACTTGAAACACTCTTTTTGTGGAATTTGCAAGTGGAGATTTCAGCCGCTTTGAAGTCAAAGGTAGAAAAGGAAATATCTTCCTATAAAAACTAGACAGAATGATTCTCAGAAACTCCTTTGTGATGTGTGCGTTCAACTCACAGAGTTTAACCTTTCTTTTCATAGAGCAGTTAGGAAACACTCTGTTTGTAAAGTCTGCAAGTGGATATTCAGACCTCTTTGAGGCCTTCGTTGGAAACGGTATTTCTTCATATTATGCTAGACAGAAGGATTCCCAGTAACTTCCTTGTGTTGTGTGTGTTCAACTCACAGAGTTGAACTTTCATATACAAAGAGCAGATTTGAAACACTCTTTTTGTGGAATTTGCAAGTGGAGATTTCAAGCGCTTTGAGGCCAAAGGCAGAAAAGGAAATATCTTCGTATAAAAACTAGACAGAATCATTCTCAGAAACTGCTCTGCGATGTGTGCGTTCAACTCTCAGAGTTTAACTTTTCTTTTCATTCAGCAGTTTGTAAACTCTCTGTTTGTAAAGTCTGCACGTGGATATTTTGACCACTTAGAGGCCTTCGTTGGAAACGGGTTTTTTTCCTGTAAGGCTAGACAGAAGAATTCCCAGTAACTTCCTTGTGTTGTGTACATTCAACTCACAGAGTTGAACGTTAACTTAGACAGAGCAGATTTGAAACACTCTTTTTGTGAAATTGGCAAGTGGAGATTTCAAGAGTTTTAAGGTCAATGGCAGAAAAGGAAATATCTTCGTTTCAAAACTAGACAGAATCATTCCCACAAACTGCGTTGTGATGTGTTCGTTCAACTCACAGAGTTTAACCTTTCTGTTCATAGAGCAGTTAGGAAACACTCTGTTTGTAAAGTCTGTAAGTGGATATTCAGACATCTTGTGGCCTTCGTTGGAAACGGGATTTCTTCATATTCTGCTAGACAGAAGAATTCTCAATAACTTCCTTGTGTTGTGTTTATTCAACTCACAGAGTTGAATGATCCTTTACACAGAGCAGACTTGAAACACACTTTTTGTGGAAATTGCAAATGGAGATTTCAGCCGCTTTGAGGTCAATGGTAGAAAAGTAAATATCTTCGTATAAAGACTAGACAGAATGATTCTCAGAAACTCCTTTGTGATGTGTGCGTTCAACTCACAGAGTTTAACCTTTGTTTTCATAGAGCAGTTAGGAAACACTCTGTTTGTAAAGTCTGCAAGTGGATATTCAGACCTCTTTGAGGCCTTCGTTGGAAACGGGTTTTTTTCATATAAGGCTAGACAGAAGAATTCTCAGTAACTTCCTTGTGTTGTGTGTATTCAACTGACAGAGTTGAACTTTCATTTAGAGAGAGCAGATTTGAAACACTGTTTTTGTGGAATTTGCAAATGGAGATTTCAAGAGCTTTGGGGCCAAAGGCAGAAAAGGAAATATCTTCGTATAAACACTAGACAGAATCATTCTCAGAAACTGCTGCGTGATGTGTGCGTTCAACTCTCAGAGTTTAACTTTTCTTTTCATTCAGCGGTTTGGAAACACTCTGTTTGAAAAGTCTGCACGTGGATATTTTGACCACTTAGAGGCCTTCGTTGGAAACGGGTTTTTTTCATGTAAGGCTAGACAGAAGAATTCCCAGTAACTTCCTTGTGTTGTGTGCATTCAACTCACAGAGTTGAACGTTCCCTTAGACAGAGCAGGTTTGAAACACTCTATTTGTGCAATTTGCAAGTGTAGATTTCAAGCGCTTTAAGGTCAATGGCAGAAAAGGAAATATCTTCGTTTCAAAACTAGACAGAATCATTCCCACAAACTGCGTTGTGATGTGTTCGTTCAACTCACAGAGTTTAACCTTTCTGTTCATAGAGCAGTTAGGAAACACTCTGTTTGTAAAGTCTGTAAGTGGATATTCTGACATCTTGTGGCCTTCGTTGGAAACGGGATTTCTTCGTATTCTGCTAGACAGAAGAATTCTCAGTAACTTCCTTGTGTTGTGTGTATTCAACTCACAGAGTTGAACGATCCTTTACACAGAGCAGACTTGAAACACTCTTTTTGTGGAATTTGCAAGTGGAGATTTCAGCCGCTTTGAGGTCAATGGTAGAAAAGTAAATATCTTCGTATAAAGACTAGACAGAATGATTCTCAGATACTCCTTTGTGATGTGTGCATTCAACTCACAGAGTTTAACCTTTCTTTTCATAGAGCAGTTAGGAAACACTCTGTTTGTAAAGTCTGCAAGTGGATATTCAGACCTCCTTGTGGCCTTCGTTGGAAACGGGATTTCTTCATATTATGCTAGACAGAAGAATTCCCAGTAACTTCCTTGTGTTGTGTGTGTTCAACTCACAGAGTTGAACTTTCATTTACACAGAGAAGATTTGAAACACTCTTTTTGTGGAATTTGCAAGTGGAGATTTCAAGCGCTTTGAGGCCAAAGGCAGAAAAGGAAATATCTTCGTTTCAAAACTAGACAGAATCATTCTCAGAAACTGCTCTGCGATGTGTGCGTTCAACTCTCAGAGTTTGACTTTTCTTTTCATTCAGCAGTTTGGAAACACTCTGTTTGTAAAGTCTGCACGTGGATATTTTGACCACTTAGAGGCCTTCGTTGGAAACGGGTTTTTTTCCTGTAAGGCTAGACAGAAGAATTCCCAGTAACTTCCTTGTGTTGTGTGCATTCAACTCACAGAGTTGAACGTTCCCTTAGACAGAGCAGATTTGAAACACTCTATTTGTGCAATTTGCAAGTGTAGATTTCAAGCGCTTTAAGGTCAACGGCAGAAAAGGAAATATCTTCGTTTCAAAACTAGACAGAATTATTCTGAGAAACTCCTTTGTGATGTGTGCGTTCAACTCACAGAGTTTAACCTTTCTTTTCATAGAGCAGTTAGGAAACACTCTGTTTGTAAAGTCTGCAAGTGGATATTCAGACCTCCTTGAGGCCTTCGTTGGAAACGGGATTTCTTAATATTATGCTAGACAGAAGAATTCTCAGTAACTTCCTTGTGTTGTGTGTATTCAACTCACAGAGTTGAACGATCCTTTACACAGAGCAGACTTGAAACACTCTTTTTGTGAAATTTGCAAGTGGAGATTTCAGCCGCTTTGAGTTCAATGGTAGAATAGGAAATATCTTCCTATAGAAACTAGACAGAATGATTCTCAGAAACTCCTTTGTGATGTGTGCGTACAACTCACAGAGTTTAACCTTTCTTTTCATAGTGCAGTTAGGAAACACTCTGTAAAGTCTGCAAGTGGATATTCAGACCTCTTTGAGGCCTTCGTTGGAAACGGGATTTCTTCATATTATGCTAGACAGAAGAATTCTCAGTAAATTCCTTGTGTTGTGTGTATTCAACTGACAGAGTTGAACTTTCATTTGGAGAGAGCAGATTTGAAACACTATTTTTGTGGAATTTGCAAGTGGAGATTTCAAGCGCTTTGGGGCCAAAGGCAGAAAAGGAAATATCTTCGTATAAAAACTAGACAGAAATCATTCTCAGAAACTGCTGCGTGATGTGTGCGTTCAACTCTCAGAGTTTAACTTTTCTTTTCATTCAGCGGTTTGGAAACACTCTGTTTGTAAAGTCTGCACGTGGATATTTTGACCACTTAGAGGCCTTCGTTGGAAACGGGTTTTTTTCATGTAAGGCTAGACAGAAGAATTCCCAGTAACTTCCTTGTGTTGTGTGCATTCAACTCACAGAGTTGAACGTTCCCTTAGACAGAGCAGATTTGAAACACTCTATTTGTGCAATTTGCAAGTGTAGATTTCAAGCGCTTTAAAGTCAATGGAAGAAAAGGAAATATCTTCGTTTCAAAACTAGACAGAATCATTCCCACAAACTGCGTTGTGATGTGTTCGTTCAACTCACAGAGTTTAACCTTTCTGTTCATAGAGCAGTTAGGAAACACTCTGTTTGTAAAGTCTGTAAGTGAATGTTCTGACATCTTGTGGCCTTCGTTGGAAACGGGATTTCTTCATATTCTGCTAGACAGAAGAATTCTCAGTAACTTCCTTGTGTTGTGTGTATTCAACTCACAGAGTTGAACGATCCTTTACACAGAGCAGACTTGAAACACTCTTTTTGTGGAATTTGCAAGTGGAGATTTCAGCCTCTTTGAGGTCAATGGTAGAATAGGAAATATCTTCCTATAGAAACTAGGCAGAATGATTCTCAGAAACTTCATTGTGATGTGTGCGTTCAACTCACAGAGTTTAACCTTTCTTCTCATAGAGCAGTTAGGAAACACTCTGTTTGTAAACTGTGCAAGTGGATATTCAGACCTCTTTGAGGCCTTCGTTGGAAACGGAATTTCTTCATACTATGCTAGACAGAAGAATTCTCAGTAACTTTCTTGTGTTGTGTGTATTCAACTCACAGAGTTGAACGATCCTTTACACAGAGCAGACTTGAAACACTCTTTTTGTGGAATTTGCAAGTGGAGATTTCAAGCGCTTTGGGGCTAAAGGCAGAAAAGGAAATATCTTCGTATAAAAACTAGACAGAATCATTCTCAGAAACTGCTGCGTGATGTGTGCCTTCAACTCTCAGAGTTTAACTTTTCTTTTCATTCAGCGGTTTGGAAACACTCTGTTTGTAAAGTCTGCACGTGGAAATTTTGACCACTTAGAGGCCTTCGTTGGAAACGGGTTTTTTTCATGTAAGGCTAGACAGAAGAATTCCCAGTAACTTCCTTGTGTTGTGTGTATTCAACTCACAGAGTTGAACTTTCCCTTAGACAGAGCAGATTTGAAACACTCTTTTTGTGCAATTTGGAAGTGGAGATTTCAAGCGCTTTAGGGTCAATGGCAGAAAAGAAAATATCTTCATCTCAAAACTAGACAGAATCATTCCCACAAACTGCGTTGTGATGTGTTCGTTCAACTCACAGCAGTTTAACCTTGCTTTTCATAGAGCAGTTAGGAAACAGTCTGTTTGTAAATTCTGTAAGTGGATATTCTGACATCTTGTGGCCTTCCTTGGAAACGGGATTTCTTCATATTCTGCTAGACAGAAGAATTCTCAGTAACTTCCTTGTGTTGTGTGCATTCAAATCACAGAGTTGAAAGATCCTTTACACAGAGCAGATTAGAAACACTCTTTTTGTGGAACTTGCAATTGGATATTTCAGCCGCTTTGAGGTCAATGGTAGAAAAGGAAATATCTTCGTATAAAAACTAGACAGAATGATTCTCAGAAACTCCTTTGTGATGTGTGCGTACAACTCACAGAGTTTAACCTTTCTTTTCATAGAGTAGTTAGGAAACACTCTGTTTGTAAAGTCTGCAAGTGGATATTCAGACCTCTTTGAGGCCTTCGTTGGAAACGGGTTTTTTTCATATAAGGCTACACAGAAGAATTCCCAGTAACTTCCTTGTGTTGTGTGTGTTCAACTCACAGAGTTGAACTTTCATTTACACAGAGCAGATTTGAAACACTCTTTTTGTGGAATTTGCAACTGGAGATTTCAAGCGATTTGAGGCCAAAGGCAGAAAAGGAAATATCTTCGTTTCAAAACTAGACAGAATCATTCTCAGAAACTGCTGTGCGATGTGTGCGTTCAACTCTCAGAGTTTAACTTTTCTTTTCATTCAGCAGTTTGGAAACACTCTGTTTGTAAAGTCTGCACGTGGATATTTTGACCACTTAGAGGCCTTCGTTGGAAACGGGTTTTTTTCCTGTAAGGCTAGACAGAAGAATTCCCAGTAACTTCCTTGTGTTGTGTACATTCAACTCACAGAGTTGAACGTTCCCTTAGACAGAGCAGATTTGAAACACTCTTTTTGTGCAATTGGCAAGTGGAGATTTCAAGCGCTTTAAGGTCAATGGCAGAAAAGGAAATATCTTCGTTTCAAAACTAGACAGAATCATTCCCACAAACTGCGTTGTGATGTGTTCGTTCAACTCACAGAGTTTAACCTTTCTTTTCATAGAGCAGTTAGGAAACAATCTGTTTGTAAATTCTGTAAGTGGATATTCTGACATCTTGTGGCCTTCGTTGGAAACGGGATTTCTTCATATTGCTGCTAGACAGAAGAATTCTCAGTAACTTCCTTGTGTTGTGTGTATTCAACTCAAAGAGTTGAACGATCCTTTACACAGAGCAGACTTGAAACACTCTTTTTGTGGAATTTGCAAGTGGAGATTTCAGCCTCTTTGAGGTCAATGGTAGAATAGGAAATATCTTCCTATAGAAACTAGACAGAACGATTCTCAGAAACTCCTTTGTGATGTGTGCGTTCAACTCACAGAGTTTCACCTTTCTTTTCATAGAGCAGTTAGGAAACACTCTGTTTGTAAAGTCTGCAAGTGGATATTCAGACCTCTTTGAGGCCTTCGTTGGAAACGGGATTTCTTCATATTCTGCTAGACAGAAGAATTCCCAGTAACTTCCTTGTGTTGTGTGTGTTCAACTCACAGAGTTGAACTTTCATTTACACAGAGCATCTTTGAAACACTCTTTTTGTGGAATTTGCAAGTGGAGATTTCAAGCGCTTTGAGGCCAAAGGCAGAAAAGGAAATATCTTCGTTTCAAAACTAGACAGAATCATTCTCAGAAACTGCTCTGCGATGTGTGCGTTCAACTCTCAGAGTTTAACTTTTCTTTTCATTCAGCAGTTTGGAAACACTCTGTTTGTAAAGTCTGCACGTGGATAACTTGACCACTTAGAGGCCTTCGTTGGAAACGGGTTTTTTTCCTGTAAGGCTAGACAGAAGAATTCCCAGTAACTTCCTTGTGTTGTGTGCATTCAACTCACAGAGTTGAACGTTCCCTTAGACAGAGCAGATTTGAAGCACTCTATTTGTGCAATTTGCAAGTGTAGATTTCAAGCGCTTTATGGTCAATGGCAGAAAAGGAAATATCTTCATTTCAAAACTAGACAGAATCATTCCCACAAACTGCGTTGTGATGTGTTCGTTCAACACACAGAGTTTAACCTTTCTGTTCATAGAGCAGTTAGGAAAAACTCTGTTTGTAAAGTCTGTAAGTAGATATTCTGACATCTTGTGGCCTTCGTTGGAAACGGGATTTCTTCATATTCTGCTAGACAGAAGAATTCTCAGTAACTTCCTTGTGTTGTGTGTATTCCTCTCACAGAGTTGAACGATCCTTTACACAGAGCAGACTTGAAAACAGTCTCTTTTGTGGAATTTGCAAGTGGAGATTTCAGCCGCTTTGAGGTCAATGGTAGAAAAGGAAATATCTTCGTATAAAGACTAGACAGAATGATTCTCAGAAACTCCTTTGTGATGTGTGTGTTCAACTCACAGAGTTTAACCTTTCTTTTCATAGAGCAGTTAGGAAACACTCTGTTTATAAAGTCTGCAAGTGGATATTCAGACCCATTTGAGGCCTTCGTTGGAAACGGGATTTCTTCATATTATGCTAGACAGAAGAATTCTCAGTAACTTCCTTGTGTTGTGTGTATTCAACTGACAGAGTTGAACTTTCATTTACAGAGAGCAGATTTGAAACACTGTTTTTGTGGAATTTGCAAGTGGAGATTTCAAGCGCTTTGCGGCCAAAGGCAGAAAAGGAAATATCTTCGTATAAAGACTAGACAGAATCATTCTCAGAAACTGCTCTGCGATGTGTGCGTTCAACTCTCAGAGTTTAACTTTTCTTTTCATTCAGCAGTTTGGAAACACTCTGTTTGTAAAGTCTGCACGTGGATATTTTGACCACTTAGAGGCCTTCTTTGGAAACGGGTTTTTTTCCTGTAAGGCTAGACAGAAGAATTCCCAGGAACTTCCTTGTGTTGTGTACATTCAACTCACAGAGTTGAACGTTCCCTTAGACAGAGCAGATTTGAAACACTCTTTTTGTGCAATTGGCAAATGGAGATTTCAAGCGCTTTAAGGTCAATGGCAGAAAAGGAAATATCTTCGTTTCAAAACTAGACAGAATGATTCTCATAAACTCCTTTGTGATGTGTGCGTTCAACTCACAGAGTTTAACCTTTCTTTTCATAGAGCAGTTAGGAAACACTCTGTTTGAAAAGTCTGCAAGTGGATATTCAGACCTCCTTGAGGCCTTCGTTGGAAACGGGAATTCTTCATATTCTGCTAGACAGAAGAATTCTCAGTAACTTCCTTGTGTGGTGTGTATTCAACTCACAGAGTTGAACGATCCTTTACACAGAGCAGACTTGAAACACTCTTTTTGTGGAATTTGCAAGTGGAGATTTCAGCCGCTTTGAGGTCAATGGTAGAAAAGGAAATATCTTCGTATAAAGACTAGACAGAATGATTCTCAGAAACTCCTTTGTGATGTGTGCGTTCAACTCACAGAGTTTAACCTTTCTTTTCATAGAGCAGTTAGGAAACACTCTGTTTGTAAAGTCTGCAAGTGGATATTCAGACCTCCTTGAGGCCTTCGTTGGAAACGGGATTTCTTCATATTATGCTAGACACAAGAATTCTCAGTAACTTCCTTGTGTTGTGTGTATTCAACTCACAGAATTGAACGATCCTTTACACAGAGCAGACTTGAAACACTCTTTTTGTGGAATTTGCAAGTGGAGATTTCAGCCGCTTTGAGGTCAATGGTAGAATAGGAAATATCTTCCTATAGAAACTAGACAGAGATCATTCTCAGAAACTGCTGCGTGATGTGTGCGTTCAACTCTCAGAGTTTAACTTTTCTTTTCATTCAGCGGTTTGGAAACACTCTGTTTGTAAAGTCTGCACGTGGATATTTTGACCACGTAGAGGCCTTCGTTGGAAACGGGTTTTTTTCATGTAAGGCTAGACAGAAGAATTCCCAGTAACTTCCTTGTGTTGTGTGCATTCAACTCACAGAGTTGAACGTTCCCTTAGACAGAGCAGATTGGAAACACTCTGTGCAATTTGCAAGTGTAGATTTCAAGCGCTTTAAGGTCAACGGCAGAAAAGGAAATATCTTCGTTTCAAAACTAGACAGAATCATTCTCAGAAACTGCTCTGCGATGTGTGCGTTCAACTCTCAGAGTTCAACTTTTCTTTTCATTCAGCAGTTTGGAAACATTCTGTTTGTAAAGTCTGCACGTGGATAATTTGACTACTTAGAGGCCTTCGTTGGAAACGGGTTTTTTTCATGTAAGGCTAGACAGAAGAATTCTCAGTAACTTCCTTGTGTTGTGTGTATTCAACTCACAGAGTTGAACGATCCTTTACACAGAGCAGACTTGTAACACTCTTTTTGTGGAATTCGCAAGTGGAGATTTCAGCAGCTTTGAAGTCAAAGGTAGAAAAGGAAATATCTTCCTATAAAAACTAGACAGAATGATTCTCAGAAACTCCTTTGTGATGTGTGCGTTCAACTCACAGAGTTTAACCATTCTTTTCATAGAGCAGTTAGGAAACACTCTGTTTGTAAAGCCTGCAAGTGGATATTCTGACCTCCTTGAGGCCTTCGTTGGAAACGGGATTTCTTCATATTCTGCTAGACAGAAGAATTCTCAGTAACTTCCTTGTGTTGTGTGTATTCAACTCACAGAGTTGAACGATCCTTTACACAGAGCAGACTTGAAACACTCTTTTTGTGTAATTTGCAAGTGGAGATTTCATCCGCTTTGAGGTCAATAGTAGAAAAGAAAATATCTTCATAGAAAAACTAGACAGAATCATTCTCAGAAACTGCTGCGTGATGTGTGCGTTCAACTCTCACAGTTTAACTTTTCTTTTCATTCAGCGGTTTGGAAACACTCTGTTTGTAAAGTCTGCACGTGGATATTTTGACCACTTAGAGTCCTTCGTTGGAAACGGGTTTTTTTCATGTAAGGCTAGACAGAAGAATTCCCAGTAACTTCCTTGTGTTGTGTGCATTCAACTCACAGAGTTGAACGTCCATTAGACAGAGCAGATTTGAAACACTCTATTTGTGCAATTTGCAAGTGTAGATTTCAAGCGCTTTAAGGTCAATGGCAGAAAAGGAAATATCTTCGTTTCAAAACTAGACAGAATCATTCCCACAAACTGCCTTGTGATATGTTCGTTCAACTCACAGAGTTTAACCTTTCTGTTCATAGAGCAGTTAGGAAACACTCTGTAACGTCTGTAAGTGGATATTCTGACATCTTGTGGCCTTCGTTGGAAACGGGATTTCTTCATATTCTGCTAGACAGAAGAATTCTCAGTAACTTCCTTGTGTTGTGTGTATTCAACTCACAGAGTTGAACGATCCTTTACACAGAGCAGACTTGAAACACTCTTTTTGTGGAATTTGCAAGTGGAGATTTCAGCCGCTATGGGGTCAATGGTAGAATAGGAAATATCTTCCTATAGAAACTAGACAGAATGATTCTCATAAACTCCTTTGTGATGTGTGCGTTCAACTCACAGAGTTTAACCTTTCTTTTCATAGAACAGTTAGGAAACACTCTGTTTGTAAAGTCTGCAAGTGGATATTCAGACCTCCTTGAGGCCTTCGTTGGAAACGGGATTTCTTCATATTCTGCTAGACAGAAGAATTCCCAGTAACTTCCTTGTGATGTGTGTGTTCAACTCACAGAGTTGAACTTTCATTTACACAGAGCAGATTGGAAACACTCTTTTTGTGGAATTTGCAAGTGGAGATTTCAAGCGCTTTGAGGCCAAAGGCAGAAAAGGAAATATCTTCGTATAAAAACTACACAGAATCATTCTCAGAAACTGCTCTGCGATGTGTGCGTTCAACTCTCAGAGTTTAACTTTTCTTTTCATTCAGCAGTTTGGAAACACTCTGTTTGTAAAGTCTGCACGTGGATAATTTGACCACTTAGAGGCCTTCGTTGGAAACGGGTTTTTTTCCTGTAAGGCTAGACAGAAGAATTCCCAGTAACTTCCTTGTGTTGTGTGCATTCAACTCACAGAGTTGAACGTTCCCTTAGACAGAGCAGATTTGAAACACTCTATTTGTGCAATTTGCAAGTGTAGATTTCAAGCGCTTTAAGGTCAATGGCAGAAAAGGAAATATCTTCGTTTCAAAACTAGACAGAATCATTCCCACAAACTGCGTTGTGATGTGTTCGTTCAACTCACAGAGTTTAACCTTTCTGTTCATAGAGCAGTTAGGAAACACTCTGTTTGTAAAGTCTGTAAGTGGATATTCTGACGTCTTGTGGCCTTCGTTGGAAACGGGATTTCTTCATATTCTGCTAGACAGAAGAATTCTCAGTAACTTCCTTGTGTTGTGTGTATTCAACTCACAGAGTTGAACGATCCTTTACACAGAGCAGACTTGAAACATTCTTTTTGTGGAATTTGCAAGTGGAGATTTTAGCCGCTTTGAGGTCAATGGTAGAATAGGAAATATGTTCCTATAGAAACTAGACAGAATGATTGTCAGAAACTCCTTTGTGATGTGTGCGTTCAACTCACAGAGTTTAACCTTTCTGTTCATAGAGCAGTTAGGAAACACTCTGTTTGTAAAGTCTGCAAGTGGATATTCAGACCTCCTTGAGGCCTTCGTTGGAAACGGGATTTCTTCATATTCTGCTAGACAGAAGAATTCTCAGTAACTTCCTTGTGTTGTGTGTATTCAACTGACAGAGTTGAACTTTCATTTAGAGAGAGCAGATTTGAAACACTGTTTTTGTGGAATTTGCAAGTGGAGATTTCAAGCGGTTTGGGGCCAAAGGCAGAAAAGGAAATATCTTCGTATAAAAACTAGACAGAATCATTCTCAGAAACTGCTGCGTGATGTGTGCGTTCAACTCTCAGAGTTTAACTTTTCTTTTCATTCAGCGGTTTGGAAACACTCTGTTTGTAAAGTCTGCACGTGGATATTTTGACCACTTAGAGGCCTTCGTTGGAAACGGGTTTTTTTCATGTAAGCCTAGACAGAAGAATTCCCAGTAACTTCCTTGTGTTGTGTGCATTCAAGTCACAGAGTTGAACGTTTCCTTAGACAGAGCAGAATTGAAACACTCTATTTGTGCAATTTGCAAGTGTAGATTTCAACCGCTTTAAGGTCAACGGCAGAAAAGGAAATATCTTCGTTTCAAAACTAGACAGAATGATTCTCAGAAACTCCTTTGTGATGTGTGCATTCAACTCACAGTTTAACCTTTCTTTTCATAGAGCAGTTAGGAAACACTCTGTTTGTAAAGTCTGCAAGTGGATATTCAGACCTCCTTGAGGCCTTCGTTGGAAACGGGATTTCTTCATATTATGCTAGACAGAAGAATTCTCAGTAACTTCCTTGTGTTGTGTGTATTCAACTCACAGAGTTGAACGATGCTTTACACAGAGCAGACTTGAAACACTCTTTTTGTGGAATTTGCAAGTGGAGATTTCAGCCGCTTTGAGGTCAATGGTAGAAAAGGAAATATCTTCGTATAAAAACTAGACAGAATGATTCTCAGAAACTCCTTTGTGATGTGTGCGTTCAACTCACAGAGTTTAACCTTTCTTTTCATAGAACAGTTAGGAAACACTGTGTTTGTAAAGTCTGCAAGTGGATATTCAGACCTCCTTAAGGCCTTCGTTGGAAACGGGATTTCTTCATATTATGCTAGACAGAAGAATTCTCAGTAACTTCCTTGTGTTGTGTGTATTCAACTGACAGAGTTGAACTTTCATTTAGAGAGAGCAGATTTGAAACACTGTTTTTGTGGAATTTGCAAGTGGAGATTTCAAGCGCTTTGGGGCCAAAACTAGACAGAATGATTCTCAGAAACTCCTTTGTGATGTGTGCGTTCAACTCACAGAGTTTAACCTTTCTTTTCATTCAGCGGTTTGGAAACACTCTGTTTGTAAAGTCTGCACGTGGATATTCAGACCTCTTTGAGGCCTTCGTTGGAAACGGGTTTTTTTCATGTAAGGCTAGACAGAAGAATTCCCAGTAACTTCCTTGTGTTGTGTGCATTCAACTCACAGAGTTGAACGTTCCTTTAGACAGAGCAGATTTGAAACACTCTATTTGTGCAATTTGCAAGTGTAGTTTTCAAGCTCTTTAAGGTCAACGGCAGAAAAGGAAATATCTTGGTTTCAAAACTAGACAGAATCATTCCCACAAACTGCGTTGTGATGTGTTCGTTCATCTCACAGAGTTTAACCTTTCTTTTCATAGAGCAGTTAGGAAACAGTCTGTTTGTACATTCTGTAAGTGGATATCCTGACATCTTGTGGCCTTCGTTGGAAACGGGATTTCTTCATATTCTGCTAGACAGAAGAATTCTCAGTAACTTCCTTGTGTTGTGTGTATTCAACTCACAGAGTTGAACGATCCTTTACACAGAGCAGACTTGAAACACTCTTTTTGTGGAATTTGCAAGTGGAGATTTCAGCCGCTTTGATTTCAATGGTAGAAAAGGAAATATCTTCGTATAAAGACTAGACAGAATGATTCTCAGAAACTCCTTTGTGATGTGTGCGTTCAACTCACAGAGTTTAACCTTTCTTTTCATAGAGCAGTTAGGAAACACTCTGTTTGTAAAGTCTGCAAGTGGATATTCAGACATCTATGAGGCCTTCGTTGGAAACGGGATTTCTTCATGTTCTGCTAGACAGAAGAATTCTCAGTAACTTTCCTTGTGTTGTGTGTTTTCAACTCACAGAGTTGAACGATCCTTTACACAGAGCAGACTTGAAACACTCCTTTTGTGGAATTTGCAAGTGGAGATTTCAGCCGCTTTGAGGTCAATGGTACAATAGGAAATATCTTCCTATAGAAAGTAGACAGAATGATTCTGAGAAACTCCTTTGTGATGTGTGCGTTCAACTCACAGAGTTTAACCTTTCTTTTCATAGAGCAGTTAGGAAACACTCTGTTTGTAAAGTCTGCAAGTGGATATTCAGACATCTTTGAGGCTTTCTTTGGAAACGGGATTTCTTCATATTCTGCTATACAGAAGAATTCTCAGAAACTTCCTTGTGTTGTGTGTATTCAACTCACAGAGTTCAACGATCGTTTACACAGAGCAGACTTGAGACACTCTTTTTGTGGAATTTGCAAGTGGAGATTTCAGCCGCTTTGAGGTCAATGGTAGAAAAGGAAATATCTTCATATAAAAAATAGACAGAATCATTCCCACAAACTGCGTTGTGATGTGTTCGTTCAACTCACAGAGTTTAACCTTCCTGTTCATAGAGCAGTTAGGAAACACTCTGTTTGTAAAGTCTGTAAGTGGATATTCTGACATCTTGTGGCCTTCGTTGGGAACGGGATTTCTTCATATTCTGCTAGACAGAAGAATTCTCAGAATCTTCCTTGTGTTGTGTGTATTCAACTCACAGAGTTGAACGATGGTTTACTCAGAGCAGATTTGAAACACTCTTTTTGTGGAATTTGCAAGTGGAGATTTCAGCCGCTTTGAGGTCAATGGTAGAAAAGGAAATATCTTCGTACAAAAACTAGACAGAATGATTCTCAGAAACTCCTTTGTGATGTGTGCGTTCAACTCACACAGTTTAACCTTTCTTTTCATAGAGCAGTTAGGAAACACTCTGTTTGTAAAGTCTGCAAGTGGATATTCACACCTCCTTGAGGCCTTCGTTGGAAACGGGATTTCTTCATATTATGCTAGACAGAAGAATTCCCAGTAACTTCCTTGTGTTGTGTGTGTTCAACTCACAGAGATGAACTCTCATTTACACAGAGCAGATTTGAAACTCTCTTTTTGTGTAATTTGCAAATGGAGATTTCAAGCGCTTTGAGGCCAAAGGCAGAAAAGGAAATATCTTCGTATAAAAACTAGACAGAATCATTCTCAGAAACTGCTCTGCGATGTGTGCGTTCAACTCTCAGAGTTTAACTTTTCTTTTCATTCAGCAGTTTGGAAACACTCTGTTTGTAAAGTCTGCACGTGGATATTTTGACCACTTAGAGGCCTTCGTTGGAAACGGGATTTTTTCCTGTAAGGCTAGACAGAAGAATTCCCAGTAACTTCCTTGTGTTGTGTGTGTTCAACTCACTGAGTTGAACTTTCATTTACCCAGAGCAGATTTGAAACACTCTTTTTGTGGAATTTGCAAGTGGAGATTTCAAGCGCTTTGAGGCCAAAGGCAGAAAAGGAAATATCTTCGTTTCAAAACTAGACAGAATCATTCTCAGAAACTGCTCTGCAATGTGTGCGTTCAACTCTCAGAGTTTAACTTTTCTTTTCATTCAGCAGTTTGGAAACACTCTGTTTGTAAAGTCTGCACGTGGATAATTTGACCACTTAGAGGCCTTCTTTGGAAACGGGTTTTTTTCATGTAAGGCTAGACAGAAGAATTCTCAGTAACTTCCTTCTGTTGTGTGTATTCAACTCACAGAGTTGAACGTTCCTTTACACACAGCAGACTTGAAACACTCTTTTTGTGGAATTTGCAAGTGGAGATTTCAGCCGCTTTGTGGTCAATGGTAGAAAAGGAAATATCTTCGTATAAAAACTAGACAGAATGATTCTCAGAAACTCCTTTGTGATGTGTGTGTTCAACTCACAGAGTTTAACCTTTCTTTTCATAGAGCAGTTAGGAAACACTCTGTTTGTAAAGTCTGCAAGTGGATATTCAGACCTCTTTGAGGCCTTCGTTGGAAACGGGTTTTTTTCATGTAAGGCTAGACAGAAGAATTCTCAGTAACTTCCTTGTGTTGTGTGTATTCAACTGACAGAGTTGTACTTTCGTTTAGAGAGAGCAGATTTGAAACACTGTTTTTGTGGAATTTGCAAGTGGAGATTTCAAGCGCTTTGGGGCCAAAGGCAGAAAAGGAAATATCTTCGTATAAAAACTAGACAGAATCATTCTCAGAAACTGCTGCGTGATGTGTGCTTTCAACTCTCAGAGTTTAACTTTTCTTTTCATTCAGCGGTTTGGAAACACTCTGTGTGTAAAGTCTGCACGTGGATATTTTGACCACTTAGAGGCCTTCGTTGGAAACGGGTTTTTTTCATGTAAGGCTAGACAGAAGAATTCTCAGTAACTTCCTTGTTTTGTGTGTATTCAACTCACAGAGTTGAACGATCCTTTACACAGAGCAGACTTGTAACACTCTTTTTGTGGAATTTGCAAGTGGAGATTTCAGCCGCTTTGAAGTCAAAGGTAGAAAAGGAAATATCTTCTTATAAATACTAAACAGAATCATTCGCACAAACTGCGTTGTGATGTGTTCGTTCAACTCACAGAGTTTAACCTTTCTTTTCATAGAGCAGTTAGGAAACAGTCTGTTTGAAAATTCTGTAAGTGGATATTCTGACATCTTGTGGCCTTCGTTGGAAACGGGATTTCTTCATATTCTGCTAGACAGAAGAATTCTCAGAATCTTCCTTGTGTTGTGTGTATTCAACTCACAGAGTTGAACGATGGTTTACACAGAGCAGATTTGAAACACTCATTTGGTGGAATTTGCAAGTGGAGATTTCAGCCGCTTTGAGGTCAATGGTAGAAAAGGAAATATCTTCGTATAACAACTAGACAGAATTATTCTCAGAAACTCCTTTGTGATGTGTGCGTTCAACTCACAGAGTTTAACCTTTCTTTTCATAGAGCAGTTAGGAAACACTCTGTTTGTAAGGTCTGCAAGTGGATATTCAGAGATCCTTGAGGCCTTCTTTGGAAACGGGATTTCTTCATATTATGCTGGACAGAAGAATTCTCAGTAACTTCCTTGTGTTGTGTGTATTCAACTGACAGAGTTGAACTTTCATTTAGAGAGAGCAGATTTGAAACACTGTTTGTGTGGAATTTGCAAGTGGAGATTTCAAGCGCTTTGGGGCCAAAGGCAGAAAAGGTAATATCTTCGTATAAAAACTAGACAGAATCATTCTCAGAAACTGCTCTGCGATGTGTGCGTTCAACTCTCAGAGTTTAACTTTTCTTTTCATTCAGCAGTTTGGAAACACTCTGTTTGTAAAGTCTGCACGTGGATAATTTGACCACTTAGAGGCCTTCATTGGAAACGGGTTTTTTTCCTGTAAGGCTAGACAGAAGAATTCCCAGTAACTTCCCTTGTGTTGTGTACATTCAACTCACAGAGTTGAACGTTCCCTTAGACAGAGCAGATTTGAAACACTCTTTTTGTGCAATTGGCAAGTGGTGATTTCAGCCTCTTTGAGGTCAATGGTAGAAAAGGAAATATCTTCGTATAAAAACTAGACAGAATGATTCTCAGAAACTCCTTTGTGATGTGTGTGTTCAACTCACAGAGTTTAACCTTTCTTTTCATAGAGCAGTTAGGAAACACTCTGTTTGTAAAGTCTGCAAGTGGATATTCAGACCTGCTTTGAGGCCTTCGTTGGAAACGGGTTTTTTTCATATAAGGCTAGACAGAAGAATTCCCAGTAACTTCCTTGTGTTGTGTGTGTTCAACTCACAGAGTTGAACTTTCATTTACACAGAGCAGATTTGAAACACTCTTTTTGTGGAATTTGCAAGTGGAGATTTCAGCCGCTTTGAGGTCAATGGTAGAAAAGGAAATATCTTCGTATAAAAACTAGACAGAATGATTCTCAGAAACTCCTTTGTGATGTGTGCGTTCAACTCACAGAGTTTAACCTTTCTTTTCATAGAGCAGTTAGGAAACACTCTGTTTGTAAACTCTGCAAGTGGATATTCAGACCTCTTTGAGGCCTTCGTTGGAAACGGGATTTCTTCATACTATGCTAGACAGAAGAATTCTTAGTAACTTCCGCGTGTTGTGTGTATTCAACTCACAGAGTTGAACGATCCTTTACACAGAGCAGACTTGAAACACTCTTTTTGTGGAATTTGCAAGTGGAGATTTCCGCCGCTATGTGGTCAATGGTAGAAAAGGAAATATCTTCCTATAAAAACTAGACAGAATCATTCTCAGAAACTGCTGCGTGATGTGTGCGTTCAACTCTCAGAGTTTAACTTTTCTTTTCATTCAGCCGTTTGGAAACACTCTGTTTGTAAAGTCTGCACGTGGATATTTTGACCACTTAGAGGCCTTCGTTGGAAACGGGTTTTTTGCATGTAAGGCTAAACAGAAGAATTCCCAGTAACTTCCTTGTGTTGTGTGCATTCAACTCACAGAGTTGAACGTTCCCTTAGGCAGAGCAGATTTGAAACACTCTATTTGTGCAATTTGCAAGTGTAGATTTCAAGCGCTTTAAGGTCAATGGCAGAAAAGGAAATATCCTCGTTTCAAAACTAGACAGAATGATTCTCAGAAAATTCTTTGTGATGTGTGCGTTCCACTCACAGAGTTTAACCTTTCTTTTCATAGAGCAGTTAGGAAACACTCTGTTTGTAAACTCTGCAAGTGGATATTCAGACCTCTTTGAGGCCTTCTTTGCAAACGGGATTTCTTCATATTATGCCTGAGAGAAGAATTCTCAGTAACTTCCCTTGTGCTGTGTGTATTCAACTCACAGAGTTGAACGATCCTTTACACAGAGCAGACTTGATACACTCTTTTTGTGGAATTTGCAAGTGGAGATTTCAGCCGCTTTGAGGTCAATGGTAGAAAAGGAAATATCTTCGTATAAAAACTAGACAGAAATGATTCTCATAAACTCCTTTGTGATGTGTGCGTTCAACTCACAGAGTTTAACCTTTCTTTTCATAGAGCAGTTAGGAAACACTCTGTTTGTAAAGTGTGCAAGTGGATATTCAGACCTCCTTGAGGCCTTCGTTGGAAACGGGATTTCTTCATATTCTGCTAGACAGAGAATTCCCAGTAACTTCCTTGTGTTGTGTGTGTTCAACTCACACAGTTGAACTTTCATTTACACAGAGCAGATTTGAAACACTCTTTTTGTGGAATTTGCAAATGGAGATTTCAGCCGCGTTGAGGTCAACGGTAGAAAAGGAAATATCTTCGTTTCAAAACTAGACAGAATCATTCTCAGAAACTGCTGCATGATGTGTGCGTTCAACTCTCAGAGTTTAACTTTTCTTTTCATTCAGCGGTTTGGAAACACTCTGTTTGTAAAGTCTGCACGTGGATATTTTGACCACTTAGAGGCCTTCGTTGGAAACGGGTTTTTTTCATATAAGGCTAGACAGAAGAATTCCCAGTAACTTCCTTGTGTTGTGTGCATTCAACTCACAGAGTTGAACGTTCCCTTAGACAGAGCAGATTTGAAACACTCTATTTGTGCAATTTCCAAGTGTAGATTTCAAGCGCTTTAAGGTCAACGGCAGAAAAGGAAATATCTTCGTTTCAAAACTAGACAGAATGATTCTCAGAAACTTCTTTGTGATGTGTGCGTTCAACTCACAGAGTTTAACCTTTCTTTTCATAGAGCAGTTAGGAAACAGTCTGTTTGAAAATTCTGTAAGTGGATATTCTGACATCTTGTGGCCTTCGTTGGAAACGGGATTTCTTCATATTCTGCTAGACAGAAGAATTGTCAGTAACTTCCTTGTGTTGTGTGTATTCAACTCACAGAGTTGAATGATCCTTTACACAGAGCAGACTTGAAACACTCTTTATGTGGAATTTGCAAGTGGAGATTTCAGCCGCTTTGAGTTCAATGGTAGAATAGGAAATATCTTCCTATAGAAACTAGACAGAATGATTCTCAGAAACTCCTTTGTGATGTGTGCGTTCAACTCACAGAGTTTATCCTTTCTTTTCATAGAGCAGTTAGGAAACACTCTGTTTGTAAAGTCTGCATGTGGATATTCAGACATCATTGAGGCCTTCGTTGGAAACGGGATTTCTTCATGTTCTGCTAGACAGAAGAATTCTCAGTAACTTCCTTGTGTTGTGTGTATTCAACTGACAGAGTTGAACTTTCATTTAGAGAGAGCAGATTTGAAACACTGTTTTTGTGGAATTTTCAAGTGGAGATTTCAAGCGCTTTGGGGCCAAAGGCAGAAAAGGAAATATCTTCGTATAAAAACTAGACAGAATCATTCTCAGAAACTGCTCTGCGATGTGTGCGTTCAACTATCAGAGTTTAACTTTGCTTTTCATTCAGCAGTTTGGAAACACTCTGTTTGTAAAGTCTGCACGTGGATAATTTGACCACTTAGAGGCCTTCGTTGGAAACGGGTTTTTTTCATGTAAGGCTAGACAGAAGAATTCCCAGTAACTTCCTTGTGTTGTGTACATTCAACTCACAGAGTTGAACGTTCCTTTAGACAGAGCAGATTTGAAACACTCTTTTTGTGCAATTGGCAAATGGAGATTTCAAGCGCTTTAAGGTCAATGGCAGAAAAGGAAATATCTTCGTTTCAAAACTAGACAGAATCATTCCCACAAACTGCGTTGTGATGTGTTCGTTCAAATCACAGAGTTTAAACTTTCTTTTCATAGAGCAGTTAGGAAACAGTCTGTTTGTAAATTCTGTAAGTGGATATTCTGACATCTTGTGGCCTACGTTGGAAACGGGATTTCTTCAAATTCTGCTAGACAGAATAATTCTCAGTAACTTCCTTGTGTTGTGTGTATTCAACTCACAGAGTTGAACGATCCTTTACAGAGAGCAGGCTTGAAACAGTCTTTTTGTCGAATTTGCAAGTGGAGATTTCAGCCGCTTTGAGGTCAATGGTAGAATAGGAAATATCTTCTTATAGAAACTAGACAGAATGATTCTCAGAAACTCCTTTGTGATGCGTGCGTTCAACTCACAGAGTTTAACCTTTCTTTTCATAGAGCAGTTAGGAAACACTCTGTTTGTAAAGTCTGCAAGTGGATATTCAGACATCCTTGAGGCTTTCGTTGGAAACGGGATTTCTTCATATTCTGCTAGAAAGAAGAATTCTCAGTAACTTCCTTGTGTTGTGTGTATTCAACTGACAGAGTTGAACTTTCATTTAGAGAGAGCAGATTTGAAACACTGTTTTTGTGGAATTTGCAAGTGGAGATTTCAAGCGCTTTGTGGCCAAAGGCAGAAAAGGAAATATCTTCGTATAAAAACTAGACAGAATCATTCTCAGAAACTGCTGCGTGATGTGTGCGTTCAACTCTCAGAGTTTAACTTTTCTTTTGATTCAGCGGTTTGGAAACACTCTGTTTGTAAAGTCTGCACGTGGATATTTTGACCACTTAGAGGCCTTCGTTGGAAACGGGTTTTTTTCATGTAATGCTAGACAGAAGAATTCCCAGTAACTTCCTTGTTTTGTGTGCATTCAACTCACAGAGTTTAACGTTCCCTTAGACAGAGCAGATTTGAAACACTCTATTTGTGCAATTTGCAAGTGTAGATTTCAAGCGCTTTAAGGTCAACGGCAGAAAAGGAAATATCTTCGTTTCAAAACTAGACAGAATCATTCCCACAAACTGCGTTGTGATGTGTTCGTTCAACTCACAGAGTTTAACCTTTCTGTTCATAGAGCAGTTAGGAAACACTCTGTTTGTAAACTCTGTAAGTGGATATTCTGACATCTTGTGGCCTTCGTTGGAAACGGGATTTCTTCACATTCTGCTAGACAGAAGAATTCTCAGTAACTTCCTTGTGTTGTGTGTATTCAACTCACAGAGTTGAATGATCCTTTACACAGAACAGTCTTGAAACACTCTTTTTGTGGAATTTGCTAGTGGAGATTTCAGCCGCTTTGATGTCAATGGTAGAATAGGAAATATCTTCCTATAGAAACTAGACAGAATGATTCTCAGAAACTCCTTTGTGATGTGTGCGTTCAACTCACAGAGTTTAACCTTTCTTTTCATAGAGCAGTTAGGAAACACTCTGTTTGTAAAGTCTGCAAGTGGATATTCAGACCTCTTTGAGGCCTTCGTTGGAAACGGGTTTTTTTCATATAAGGCTAGAGAGAAGAATTCCCAGTAACTTCCTTGTGTTGTGTGTGTTCAACTCACAGAGTTGAACTTTCATTTACACAGAGCAGATTTGAAACACTCTTTTTGTGGAATTTGCAAATGGAGATTTCAAGCGCTTTGAGGCCAAAGGCAGAAAAGGAAATATCTTCGTATAAAAACTGGACAGAATCATTCTCAGAAACTGCTCTGCGATGTGTGCGTTCAACTCTCAGAGTTTAACTTTTCTTTTCATTCAGCAGTTTGGAAACACTCTGTTTGTAAAGTCTGCACGTGGATAACTTGACCGCTTAGAGGCCTTCGTTGGAAACGGGTTTTTTTCACGTAAGGCTAGACAGAAGAATTCCCAGTAACTTCCTTGTGTTGTGTGCATTCAACTCACAGAGTTGAACGTTCCCTTAGACAGAGCAGATTTGAAACACTCTACTTGTGCAATTTGCAAGTGTAGATTTCAAGCGCTTTAAGGTCAATGGCAGAAAAGGAAATATCTTCGTTTCAAAACTAGACAGAATCATTCCCACAAACTGCGTTGTGATGTGTTCGTTCAACTCACAGAGTTTAACCTTTCTGTTCATAGAGCAGTTAGAAAACACTCTGTTTGTAAAGTCTGTAAGTGGATATTCTGACATTTTGTGGCCTTCGTTGGAAATGGGATTTCTTCATATTCTGCTAGACAGAAGAATTCTCAGTAACTTCCTTGTGTTGTGTGTATTCAACTCACAGAGTTGAACTATCCTTTACACAGAGCAGACTTGAAACACTCGTTTTGTGGAATTTGCAAGTGGAGATTTCAGCCGCTTTGAGGTCAATGGTAGAAAAGGAAATATCTTCGTATAAAAACTAGACAGAATGATTCTCAGAAACTCCTTTGTGATGTGTGTGTTCAACTCACAGAGTTTAACCTTTCTTTTCATAGAGCAGTTAGGAAACACTCTGTTTGTAAAGTCTGCAGGTGGATATTCAGACCTCTTTGAGGCCTTCGTTGGAAACGGGTTTTTTTCATATAAGGCTAGACAGAAGAATTCCCAGTAACTTCCTTGTGTTGTCTGTGTTCAACTCACAGAGTTGAACTTTCATTTACACAGAGCAGATTTGAAACACTCTTTTTGTGGAATTTGCAAGTGGAGATTTCAAGCGCTTTGAGGCCAAAGGCAGAAAAGGAAATATCTTCGTTTCAAAACTAGACAGAATCATTCTCAGAAACTGCTCTGCGATGTGTGCGTTCAACTCTCAGAGTTTAACTTTTCTTTTCATTCAGCAGTTTGGAAACACTCTGTTTGTAAAGTCTGCACGTGGATAACTTGACCACTTAGAGGCCTTCGTTGGAAACGGGTTTTTTTCATGTAAGGCTAGACAGAAGAATTCTCAGTAACTTCCTTGTGTTGTCTGTATTCAACTCACAGAGTTGAACGATCCTTTACAGAGAGCAGACTTGTAACACTCTTTTTGTGGAATTTGCAAGTGGAGATTTCAGCCACTTTGAAGTCAAAGGTAGAAAAGGAAATAACTTCCTATAAAAACTAGACAGAATCATTCCCACAAACTCCGTTGTGATGTGTTCGTTCAACTCACAGAGTTTAACCTTTCTGTTCATAGAGCAGTTAGGAAACACTCTGTTTGTAAAGTCTGTAAGTGGATATTCTGACATCTTGTGGCCTTCGTTGGAAACGGGATTTCTTCATATTCTGCTAGACAGAAGAATTCTCAGTAACTTCCTTGTGTTGTGTGTATTCAACTCACAGAGTTGAACGATCCTTTACACAGAGCAGACTTGAAACACTCTTTTTGTGGAATTTGCAAGTGGAGATTTCAGCCGCTTTGAGGTCAATGGTAGAAAAGGAAATATGTTCGTATAAAGATTAGACAGAATGATTCTCAGAAACTCCTTTGTGATGTGTGTGTTCAACTCACAGAGTTTAACCTTTCTTTTCATAGAGCAGTTAGTAAACACTCTGTTTATAAAGTCTGCATGTGGATATTCAGACCCCTTTGAGGCCTTCGTTGGAAACGGGATTTCTTCATATTATGCTAGACAGAAGAATTCCCAGTAACTTCCTTGTGTTGTGTGTGTTCAACTCACAGAATTGAACTTTCATTTACCCAGAGCAGATTTGAAACACTCTTTTTGTGGAATTTGCAAGTGGAGATTTCAAGCGCTTTGAGGCCAAAGGCAGAAAAGGAAATATCTTCGTTTCAAAACTAGACAGAATCATTCTCAGAAACTGCTCTGCGATGTGTGCGTTCAACTCTCAGAGTTTAACTTTTCTTTTCATTCAGCAGTTTGGAAACACTCTGTTTGTAAAGTCTGCACGTGGATATTTTGACCATTTAGAGGCCTTCGTTGGAAACGGGTTTTTTTCTTGTAAGGCTAGACAGAAGAATTCCCAGTAACTTCCTTGTGTTGTGTACATTCAACTCACAGAGTTGAACGTTCCCTTAGACAGAGCAGATTTGAAACACTCTTTTTGTGCAATTGGCAAGTGGAGATTTCAAGCGCTTTAAGGTCAATGGCAGAAAAGGAAATATCTTCGTTTCAAAACTAGAGAGATAATCATTCCCACAAACTGCGTTGTGATGTGTTCGTTCAACTCACAGAGTTTAACCTTTCTTTTCATAGAGCAGTTAGGAAACAGTCTGTTTGTCAATTCTGTAAGTGGATATTCTGACATCTTGTGGCCTTCGTTGGAAACGGGATTTCTTCATATTCTGCTAGACAGAAGAATTCTCAGTAACTTCCTTGTGTTGTGTGTATTCAACTCACAGAGTTGAACGATCCTTTACACAGAACAGACTTATAACACTCTTTTTGTGGAATTTGCAAGTGGAGATTTCAGCCACTTTGAAGTCAAAGGTAGAAAAGGAAATAACTTCCTATAAAAACTAGACAGAATGATTCTCAGAAACTTCTTTGTGATGTGTGCGTTCAACTCACAGAGTTTAACCTTTCTTTTCATAGAGCAGTTAGGAAACACTCTGTTTGTAAACTCTGCAAGTGGAAATTCAGACCTCTTTGAGGCCTTCGTTGGAAACGGGATTTCTTCATACTATGCTAGACAGAAGAATTCCCAGTAACTTCCTTGTGTTGTGTGTGTTCAAGTCACAGAGTTGAACTTTCATTTACACAGAGAAGATTTGAAACACTGTTTTTGTGGAATTTGCAAGTGGAGATTTCAAGCGCTTTGAGGCCAAAGGCAGAAAAGGAAATATCTTCGTTTCAAAACTAGACAGAATCATTCTCAGAAACTGCTCTGCGATGTGTGCGTTCAACTCTCAGAGTTTAACTTTTCTTTTCATTCAGCAGTTTGGAAACACTCTGTTTGTAAAGTCTGCACGTGGATATTTTGACCACTTAGAGGCCTTCGTTGGAAACGGGTTTTTTTCATGTAAGGCTAGACAGAAGAATTCTCAGTAACTTCCTTGTGTTGTGTGTATTCAACTCACAGAGTTGAACGATCCTATACACAGAGCAGACTTGTAACACTCTTTTTGTGGAATTTGCAAGTGGAGATTTCAGCCGCTTTGAAGTCAAAGGTAGAAAAGGAAATATCTTCCTATAAAAACTAGACAGAATGATTCTCAGCAAACTCCTTTGTGATGTGTGCGTTCAACTCACAGAGTTTAACTTTTTTTTTCATAGAGCAGTTAGGAAACACTCTGTTTGTAAAGTCTGCAAGTGGATATTCAGACCTCTTTGAGGCCTTCGTTGGAAACGGGTTTTTTTCATATAAGGCTAGACAGAAGAATTCTCAGTAACTTCCTTGTGTTGTGTGTATTCAACTCACAGAGTTGAACGATCCTTTACACAGAGCAGACTTGAAACACTCTTTTAGTGGAATTTGCAAGTGGAGATTTCAGCCGCTTTGAGGTCAATGGTAGAATAGGAAATATCTTCCTATAGAAACTAGACAGAATGATTTTCAGAAACTCCTTTGTGATGTGTGCGTTCAATTCACAGACTTTAACTTTTCATAGAGCAGTTAGGAAACACTCTGTTTGTAAAGTCTGCAAGTGGATATTCAGACCTCTTTGAGGCCTTCGTTGGAAACGGGATTTCTTCATATTATGCTAGACAGAAGAATTCTCAGTAACTTCCTGGTGTTGTGTGTATTCAACTGACAGAGTTGAACTTTCATTTAGAGAGGGCAGATTTGAAACACTGTTTTTGTGGAATTTGCAAGTGGAGATTTCAAGCGCTTTGGGGCCAAAGGCAGAAAAGGAAATATCTTCGTATAAAAACTAGACAGAATCATTCTCAGAAACTGCTCTGCGATGTGTGCGTTCAACTCTCAGAGTTTAACTTTGCTTTTCATTCAGCAGTTTTGAAACACTCTGTTTGTAAAGTCTGCACGTGGATAATTTGACCACTTAGAGGCCTTCGTTGGAAACGGGTTTTTTTCATGTAAGGCTAGACAGAAGAATTCCCAGTAACTTCCTTGTGTTGTGTGCATTCAACTCACAGAGTTGAACGTTCCCTTAGACCGAGCAGATTTGACACACTCTATTTGTGCAATTTGCAAGTGTAGATTTCAAGCGCTTTAAGGTCAACGGCAGAAAAGGAAATATCTTCGTTTCAAAACTAGACAGAATCATTCCCACAAACTGCGTTGTGATGTGTTCGTTCAACTCACAGAGTTTAACCTTTCTTTTCATAGAGCACTTAGGAAACAGTCTGTTTGTAAATTCTGTAAGTGGATATTCTGACATCTTGTGGCCTTCGTTGGAAACGGGATTTCTTCATATTCTGCTAGACAGAAGAATTCTCAGAATCTTCCTTGTGTTGTGTGTATTCAACTCACAGAGTTGAACGATCCTTTTCACAGAGCAGACTTGAAACACTGTTTTTGTGGAATTTGCAAGTGGAGATTTCAGCCGCGTTGAGGTCAATGGTAGAAAAGGAAATATCTTCGTATAAAAACTAGACAGAATGATTCTCAGAAACTTCTTTGTGACGTGTGCGTTCAACTCACAGAGTTTAACCTTTCTTTTCATAGAGCAGTTAGGAAACACTCTGTTTGTAAACTGTGCAAGTGGATGTTCAGACCTCTTTGAGGCCTTCGTTGGAATCGGGATTTCTTCATACTGTGCTAGACAGAAGATTTCTCAGTAACTTCCTTGTGTTGTGTGTATTCAACTCACAGAGTTGAACGATCCTTTACACAGAGCGGACTTGAAACACTCTTTTTGTGGAATTTGCAAGTGGAGATTTCAGCCGCGTTGAGGTCAATGGTAGAAAAGGAAATCTCTTCGTATAAAAACTAGACAGAATCATTCTCAGAAACTGCTCTGCGATGTGTGCGTTCAACTCTCAGAGTTTAACTTTTCTTTTCATTCAGCAGTTTGGAAACACTCTGTTTGTAAAGTCTGCACGTGGATATTTTGACCACTTAGAGGACTTCGTTGGAAACGGGTTTTTTTCCTGTAAGGCTAGACAGAAGAATTCCCAGTAACTTCCTTGTGTTGTGTACATTCAACTCACAGAGTTGAACGTTCCCTTAGACAGAGCAGATTTGAAACACTCTTTTTGTGCAATTGGCAAGTGGAGATTTCAAGCGCTTTAAGGTCAATGGCAGAAAAGGAAATATCTTCGTTTCAAAACTAGACAGAATCATTCCCACAAACTGCGTTGTGATGTGTTCGTTCAACTCACAGAGTTTAACTTTTCTTTTCATAGAGCAGTTAGGAAACACTCTGTTTGTAAAGTCTGCAAGTGGATATTCAGACCTCCTTGAGGCCTTCGTTGGAAACGGGATTTCTTCATATTCTGCTAGACAGAAGAATTCTCAGTAACTTCCTTGTGTTGTGTGTATTCAACTCACAGAGTTGAACGATCCTTTACACAGAGCAGACTTGAAACACTCTATTTGTAGAACTTGCAAGTGGAGATTTCAGCCGCTTTGAGGTCAATAGTAGAAAAGGAAATATCTTCGTAGAAAAACTAGACAGAATGATTCTCAGATACTCCTTTGTGATGTGTGCGTTCAACTCACAGAGTTTAACCTTTCTTTTCATAGAGCAGTTAGGAAACACTGCGTTTGTAAAGTCTGCAAGTGGATATTCAGACCTCCTTGAGGCCTTCGTTGGAAACGGGATTTCTTCATATTATGCTAGACAGAAGAATTCCCAGTAACTTCCTTGTGTTGTGTGTGTTTAACTCACAGAGTTGAACTTTGATTTACACAGAGCAGATTTGAAACACTCTTTTTGTGGAATTTGCAAGTGGAGATTTCAAGCGCTTTGAGGCCAAAGGCAGAAAAGGAAATATCTTCGCATAAAAACTAGACAGAATCATTCTCAGAAACTGCTGCGTGATGTGTGCGTTCAACTCTCAGAGTTTAACTTTTCTTTTCATTCAGCGGTTTGGAAACACTCTGTTTGTGAAGTCTGCCCGTGGATATTTTGACCCCTTAGAGGCCTTCGTTGGAAACGGGTTTTTTTCATGTAAGGCTAGACAGAAGAATTCTCAGTAACTTCCTTGTGTTGTGTACATTCAACTCACAGAGTTGAACGTTCCCTTAGACACAGCAGATTTGAAACACTCTTTTTGTGCAATTGGCAAGTGGAGATTTCAAGCGCTTTGAGGTCAATGGCAGAAAAGGAAATATCTTCGTTTCAAAACTAGACAGAATCATTCCCACAAACTGCGTTGTGATGTGTGCGTTCAACTCAAAGAGTTTAACCTTTCTTTTCATAAAGCAGTTAGGAAACACTCTGTTTGTAAAGTCTGCAAGTGGATATTCAGACCTCCTTGAGGCCTTCGTTGGAAACGGGATTTCTTCATATTCTGCTAGACAGAAGAATTCTCAGTAACTTCCTTGTGTTGTGTGTATTCAACTCACAGAGTTGAAGGATCCTTTACACAGAGCAGACTTGAAACACTCTTTTTGTGGAATTTGCAAGTGGAGATTTCAGCCGCTTTGAGGTCAATGGTAGAAAAGGAAACTATCTTCATATAAAGACTAGACAGAATGATTCTCAGAATCTCCTTTATGATGTGTGCGTTCAACTCACAGAGTTTAACCTTTCTTTTCATAGAGCAGTTAGGAAACACTCTGTTTGTAAAGTCTGCAAGTGGATATTCAGACCTCTTTGAGGCCTTCGTTGGAAACGGGTTTTTTTCATATAAGACTAGACAGAAGAATTCTCAGTAACTTCCTTGTGTTGTGTGTATTCAACTCACAGAGTTGAACTTTCATTTACACAGAGCAGATTTGAAACACTCTTTTTGTGGAATTTGCAAATGGAGATTTCAAGCGCTTTGAGGCCAAAGGCAGAAAAGGAAATATCTTCGTATAAAAACTAGACAGAATCATTCTCAGAAACTGCTCTGCGATGTGTGCGTTCAACTCTCAGATTTTAACTTTTCTTTTCATTCAGCAGTTTGGAAACACTCTGTTTGTAAAGTCTGCACGTGGATATTTTGACCACTTAGAGGCCTTCGTTGGAAACGGGGTTCTTTCCTGTAAGGCTAGACAGAATAATTCCCAGTAACTTCCTAGTGTTGTGTGCATTCAACTCACAGAGATGAACGTTCCCTTAGACAGAGCAGATTTGAAACACTCTGTGCAATTTGCAAGTGTAGATTTCAAGCGCTTTAATGTCAATGGCAGAAAAGGAAATATCTTCGCTTCAAAACTAGACAGAATCATTCCCACAAACTGCGTTGTGATGTGTTCGTTCAACTCACAGAGTTTAACCTTTCTTTTCATAGAGCAGTTAGGAAACAGTCTGTTTGTCAATTCTGTAAGTGGATATTCTGACATCTTGTGGCATTCGTTGGAAACGGGATTTCTTCATATTCTGCTAGACAGAAGAATTCTCAGTAACTTCCTTGTGTAGTGTGTATTCAACTCACAGAGTTGAACGATCCTTTACACAGAGCAGAGTTGAAACACTCTTTTTGTGGAATTTGCAAGTGGAGATTTCAGGCGCTTTGAGGTCAATGGTAGAAAAGGAAATATCTTCGTATAAAGACTAGACAGAATGATTCTCAGAAACTCCTTTGTGATGTGTGCGTTCAACTCACAGAGTTTAACCTTTCTATTCATAGAGCAGTTAGGAAACACTCTGTTTGTCAAGTCTGCAAGTGGATACTCAGACCTCTTTGAGGCCTTCGTTGGAAACGGGTTTTTTTCATATAAGGCTAGACAGAAGAATTCTCAGTAACTTCCTTGTGTTGTGTGTATTCAACTGACAGAGTTGAACTTTCATTTAGAGAGAGCAGATTTCAAACACTGTTTTTGTGGAATTTGCAAGTGGAGATTTCAAGCGCTTTGGGGCCAAAGGCAGAAAAGGAAATATCTTCGTATAAAAACTAGACAGAATCATTCTCAGAAACTGCTCTGTGATGTGTGCGTTCAACTCTCAGAGTTTAACTTTTCTTTTCATTCAGTACTTTGGAAACACTCTGTTTGTAAAGTCTGCACGTGGATATTTTGACCACTTAGAGGCCTTCGATGGAAACGGGGTTTTTTCATTTAAGGCTAGACAGAAGAATTCCCAGTAACTTCCTTGTGTTGTGTGCATTCAACTCACAGAGATGAACGTTCCCTTAGACAGAGCAGATTTGAAACACTCTATTTGTGCAATTTGCAAGTGTAGATTTCAAGCTCTTTAAGGTCAATGGCAGAAAAGGAAATATCTTTGTTTCAAAACTAGACAGAATCATTCCCACAAACTGCGTTGCGATGTGTTCGTTCAACTCACAGAGTTTAACATTTCTTTTCATAGAGCACTTAGGAAACAGTCTGTTTGTAAATTCTGTAAGTGGATATTCTGACATCTTGTGGCCTTCGTTGGAAACAGGATTTCTTCATATTCTGCTAGACAGAAGAATTCTCAGTAACTTCCTTGTGTTGTGTGTATTCAACTCACAGACTTGAAGGATCCTTTACAGAGAGGAGGCTTGAAACCCTCTTTTTGTCGAATTTGCAAGTGGAGATTTCAGCCGCTTTGAGGTCAATGGTAGAATAGGAAATATCTTCTTATAGAAACTAGACAAAATGATTCTCAGAAACTCCTTTGTGATGTGTGCGTTCAACTCACAGAGTTTAACCTTTCTTCTCATAGAGCAGTTAGGAAACACTCTGTTTGTAAAGTCTGCAAGTGGATATTCAGACCTCTTTGAGGCCTTCGTTGGAAACGGGTTTTTTTCATATAAGGCTAGACAGAAGAATTCCCAGTAACTTCCTTGTGTTGTGTGTGTTCAACTCACAGAGTTGAACTTTCATTTACACAGAGCAGATTTGAAACACTCTTTTTGTGGAATTTGCAAGTGGAGATTTCAAGCGCTTTGAGGCCAAAGGCAGAAAAGGAAATATCTTCGTTGCAAAACTAGACAGAAATCATTCTCAGCAAACTGCTGCGTGATGTGTGCGTTCAACTCTCAGAGTTTAACTTTTCTTTTCATTCAGCGGTTTGGAAACACTCTGTTTGTAAAGACTGCACGTGGATATTTTGACCACTTAGAGGCCTTCGTTGGAAAGGGGTTTTTTTTCATGTAAGGCTAGACAGAAGAATTCCCAGTAACTTCCTTGTGTTGTGTACATTCAACTCACAGAGTTGAACGTTCCCTTAGACAGAGCAGATTTGAAACACTCTTTTTGTGCAATTGGCAAGTGGAGATTTCAAGCGCTTTGAGGTCAATGGCAGAAAAGGAAATATCTTCCTTTCAAAACTAGACAGAATCATTCCCACAAACTGCGTTGTGATGTGTTCGTTCAACTCACAGAGTTTAACCTTTCTGTTCATAGAGCAGTTAGCAAACACTCTGTTTGTAAAGTCTGTAAGTGGATATTCAGACATCTTGTGGCCTTCGTTGGAAACAGGATTTCTTCATATTCTGCTAGACAGAAGAATTCTCAGAATCTTCCTTGTGTTGTGTGTATTCAACTCACAGAGTTGAACGATGGTTTACACACAGCAGATTTGAAACACTCTTTTTGTGGTATTTGCAAGTGGAGATTTCAGCCGCTTTGAGGTCAATGGTAGAAAAGGAAATATCTTCGTATAAAAACTAGACAGAACGATTCTCAGAAACTCCTTTGTGATGTGTGCGTTCAACTCACAGAGTTTAACCTTTCTGTTCATAGAGCAGTTAGGAAACACTCTGTTTGTAAAGTCTGCAAGTGGATATTCAGACCTCTTTGAGGCCTTCGTTGGAAACGGGATTTCTTCATATTCTGCTAGACAGAAGAATTCCCAGTAACTTCCTTGTGTTGTGTGTGTTCAACTCACAGAGTTGAACTTTCATTTACGCAGAGCAGATTTGAAACACTCTTTTTGTGGAATTTGCAAGTGGAGATGTCAAGCGCTTTGAGGCCAAAGGCAGAAAAGGAAATATCTTCGTTTCAAAACTAGACAGAATCATTCTCAGAAACTGCTCTGCGATGTGTGCGTTCAACTCTCAGAGTTTAACTTTTCTTTTCATTCAGCAGTTTGAAAACACTCTGTTTGTAAAGTCTGCACGTGGATATTTTGACCACTTAGAGGCCTTCGTTGGAAACGGGTTTTTTTCCTGTAAGGCTAGACAGAAGAATTCCCAGTAACTTCCTTGTGTTGAGTACATTCAACTCACAGAGTTGAACGTTCCCTTAGACAGAGCAGATGTGAAACACTCTTTTTGTACAATTGGCAAGTGGAGATTTCAAGCGCTTTAAGGTCAATGGCAGAAAAGGAAATATCTTCGTTTCAAAACTAGACAGAATGATTCTCAGAAACTTCTTTGTGATGTGTGCGTTCAACTCACAGAGTTTAACCTTTCTTTTCATAGAGCAGTTAGGAAACACTCTGTTTGTAAACTCTGCAAGTGGATATTCAGACCTCTTTGAGGCCTTCGTTGGAAACGGGATTTCTTCATACTGTGCTAGACATAAGAATTCTCAGTAACTTCCTTGTGTTGTGTGTATTCAACTCACAGACTTGAATGATCCTTTACACAGAGCAGACTTGAAACACTCTTTTTGTGGAATGTGCAAGTGGAGATTTCAGCCGCTTTGTGGTCAATGGTAGAATAGGAAATATCTTCCTATAGAAACTAGACAGAATGATTCTCAGAAACTCCTTTGTGATGTGTACGTTCAACTCACAGAGTTTAACCTTTCTTTTCATAGAGCAGTTAGGAAACACTCTGTTTGTAAAGTCTGCAAGTGGATATTGAGACCTCTTTGAGGCCTTCGTTGGAAACGGGTTTTTTACATATAAGGCTAGACAGAAGAATTCCCAGTAAGTTCCTTGTGTTGTGTGTGTTCAACTCACAGAGTTGAACTTTCATTTACACAGAGCAGATTTGAAACACTCTTTTTGTGGAATTTGCAAATGGAGATTTCAAGCGCTTTGAGGCCAAAGGCAGAAAAGGAAATATCTTCGTATAAAAACTAGACAGAATCATTCTCAGAAACTGCTCTGCGATGTGTGCGTTCAACTCTCAGAGTTTAACTTTTCTTTTCATTCAGCAGTTTGGAAACACTCTGTTTGTAAAGTCTGCACGTGGATAATTTGACCACTTAGAGGCCTTCGTTGGAAACGGGTTTTTTTCCTGTAAGGCTAGACAGAAGAATTCTCAGTAACTTCCTTGTGTTGTGTGTATTCAACTCACAGAGTTGAACGATCCTTCACACAGAGCAGACTTGGAAAACTCTTTTTGTGGAATTTGCAAGTGGAGATTTCAGCCGCTTTGAAGTCAAAGGTAGAAAAGGAAATATATTCCTATAAAAAGTAGACAGAATCATTCCCACAAACTGCGTTGTGATGTTTTCGTTCAACTCACAGAGTTTAACCTTTCTTTTCATAGAGCAGTTAGGAAACACTCTGTTGGTAAATTCTGTAAGTGGATATTCTGACATCTTGTGGCCTTCGTTGGAAACGGGATTTCTTCATATTCTGCTAGACAGAAGAATTCTCAGTAACTTCCTTGTGTTGTGTGTATTCAACTCACAGAGTTGAACGATCCTTTACACAGAGCAGACTTGAAACACTCTTTTTGTGGAATTTGCAAGTGGAGATTTCAGCCGCTTTGAGCTCAATGGTAGAATAGGAAATATCTTCCTATAGAAACTAGACAGAACGATTCTCAGAAACTCCTTTGTGATGTGTGCGTTCAACTCACAGAGTTTAACTTTTCTTTTCATAGAGCAGTTAGTAAACACTCTGTTTATAAAGTCTGCAAGTGGATATTCAGACCCCTTTGAGGCCTTCGTTGGAAACGGGATTTCTTCATATTATGCTAGACAGAAGAATTCTCAGTAACTTCCTTGTGTTGTGTGTATTCAACTGACAGAGTTGAACTTTGATTTAGAGAGAGCAGATTTGAAACACTGTTTTTGTGGAATTTGCAAGTGGAGATTTCAAGCGCTTTGGGGCCAAAGGCAGAAAAGGAAATATCTTCGTATAAAAACTAGACAGAATCATTCTCAGAAACTCCTTTGTGATGTGTGCGTTCAACTCTCAGAGTTTAACTTTTCTTTTCATTCAGCGGTTTGGAAACACTCTGTTTGTAAAGTCAGCACGTGGAAATTTTGACCACTTAGAGGCCTTCGTTGGAAACGGGTTTTTTTCATGTAAGGCTAGACAGAAGAATTCCCAGGAACTTCCTTGTGTTGTGTACATTCAACTCACAGAGTTGAACGTTCCCTTAGACAGAGCAGATTTGAAACACTCTTTTTGTGCAATTGGCAAGTGGTGATTTCAGCCGCATTGAGGTCAATGGTAGAAAAGGAAATATCTTCGTATAAAAACTAGACAGATAATCATTCCCACAAACTGCGTTGTGATGTGTTCGTTCAACTCACAGAGTTTAACCTTTCTTTTCATAGAGCAGTTAGGAAACACTCTGTTGGTAAATTCTGTAAGTGGATATTCTGACATCTTGTGGCCTTCGTTGGAAACGGGATTTCTACATATTCTGCTAGACAGAAGAATTCTCAGTAACTTCCTTGTGTTGTGTGTATTCAACTCACAGAGTTGACCGATCCTTTACACAGAGCAGACTTGTAACACTCTTTTTGTGGAATTTGCAAGTGGAGATTTCAGCCGTTTTGAAGTCAAAGGTAGAAAAGGGAATATCTTCCTATAAAAACTAGACAGAATGATTCTCAGAAACTCCTTTGTGATGTGTGCGTTCAACTCACAGAGTTTAACTTTTCTTTTCATAGAGCAGTTAGGAAACACTCTGTTTGTAAAGTCTGCAAGTGGATATTCAGACCTCCTTGAGGCCTTCATTGGAAACGGGATTTCTTCATATTCTGCTAGACAGAAGAATTCTCAGTAACTTCCTTGTGTTGTGTGTATTCAGCTCACAGGGTTGAACGATCCTTTATACAGAGCAGACTTGAAACACTCTTTTTGTGGGACTTGCAAGTGGAGATTTCAGCCGCTTTGAGGTCAATAATTGAAAAGGAAATATCTTCGTAGAAAAACTAGACAGAATCATTCTCAGAAACTGCTGCGTGATGTGTGCGTTCAACTCTCAGAGTTTAACTTTTCTTTTCATTCAGCGGTTTGGAAACACTCTGTTTGTAAAGACTGCACGTGGATATTTTGACCACTTAGAGGCCTTCGTTGGAAACGGGTTTTTTTTCATGTAAGGCTAGACAGAAGAATTCCCAGTAACTTCCTTGTGTTGTGTGCATTCAACTCACAGAGTTGAACGTTCCCTTAGGCAGAGCAGATTTGAAACACTCTATTTGTGCAATTTGCAAGTGTAGATTTCAAGCGCTTTAAGGTCAACGGCAGAAAAGGAAATATCTTCGTTTCAAAACTAGACAGAATCATTCCCACAAACTGCGTTGTGATGTATTCGTTCAACTCACAGAGTTTAACCTTTCTGTTCATAGAGCAGTTAGGAAACACTCTGTTTGTAAAGTATGCAAGTGGATATTCAGACCTCCTTGAGGCCTTCGTTGGAAACGGGATTTCTTCATATTCTGCTAGACAGAAGAATTCTCAGTAACTTCCTTGTGTTGTGTGTATTCAACTCACAGGGTTGAACGATCCTTTATACAGAGCAGACTTGAAACACTCTTTTTGTGGGACTTGCAAGTGGAGATTTCAGCCGCTTTGAGGTCAATAATAGAAAAGGAAATATCTTCGTAGAAAAACTAGACAGAATGATTCTCAGAAACTTCATTGTGACGTGTGCGTTCAACTCACAGAGTTTAACATTTCTTTTCATAGAGCAGTTAGGAAACACTCTGTTTGTAAAGTCTGCAAGTGGATATTCAGACCTCTTTGAGGCCTTCGTTGGAAACGGGATTTTCTTCATACTGTGCTAGACAGAAGAATTCTCAGTAACTTCCTTGTGTTGTGTGTATTCCACTGACAGAGTTGAACTTTCATTTAGAGAGAGCAGATTTGAAACACTGTTTTTGTGGAATTTGCAAGTGGAGATATCAAGCGCTTTGGGGCCAAAGGCAGAAAAGGAAATATCTTCGTATAAAAACTAGACAGAATCATTCTCAGAAACTGCTGTGTGATGTGTGCGTTCAACTCTCAGAGTTTAACTTTTCTTTTCATTCAGCGGTTTGGAAACACTCTGTTTGTAAAGTCTGCACGTGGATATTTTGACCACTTAGAGGCCTTCGTTGGAAACGGGATTTTTTCATGTAAGGCTAGACAGAAGAATTCCCAGTAACTTCCTTGTGTTGTGTACATTCAACTCACAGAGTTGAACGTTCCCTTAGACAGAGCAGATTTGAAACACTCTTTTTGTGCAATTGGCAAGTGGAGATTTCAAGCGCTTTAAGGTCAATGGCAGAAAAGGAAATATCTTCGTTTCAAAACTAGACAGAATCATTCCCACAAACTGCGTTGTGATGTGTTCGTTCAACTCACAGAGTTTAACCTTTCTGTTCATAGAGCAGTTAGGAAACACTCTGTTTGTAAAGTCTGAAAGTGGATATTCTGACATCTTGTGGCCTTCGTTGGAAACGGGATTTCTTCATATTCTGCTAGACAGAAGAATTCTCAGTAACTTCCTTGTGTTGTGTGTATTCAACTCACAGAGTTGAACGATCCTTTACACAGAGCAGACTAGAAACACTCTTTTTGTGGAATTTGCAAGTGGAGATTTCAGCCGCTTTGAGGTCAATAGTAGAAAAGGAAATATCTTCGTAGAAAAACTAGACAGAATGATTCTCAGAAACTCCTTTGTGATGTGTGTGTTCAACTCACAGAATTTAACCTTTCTTTTCATAGAGCAGTTAGTAAACACTCTGTTTATAAAGTCTGCAAGTGGATATTCAGACCCCTTTGAAGCCTTCGTTGGAAACGGGATTTCTTCATATTATGCTAGACAGAAGAATTCTCAGTAACTTCCCTTGTGTTGTGTGTATTCAACTGACAGAGTTGAACTTTCATTTAGAGAGAGCAGATTTGAAACACTGTTTTTGTGGAATTTGCAAGTGGAAATTTCAAGCGCTTTGGGGTCAAAGGCAGAAAAGGAAATATCTTCGTATAAAAACTAGACAGAATCATTCTCAGAAACTGCTCTGCGATGTGTGCGTTCAACTCTCAGAGTTTAACTTTTCTTTTCATTCAGCAGTTTGGAAACACTCTGTTTGTAAAGTCTGCAGGTGGATATTTTGACCACTTAGAGGCCTTCGTTGGAAACGGGTATTTTTTCCTGTAAGGCTAGAAAGAATAATTCCCAGTAACTTCCTTGTGTTGTGTGCATTCAACTCACAGAGTTGAACGTTCCCTTAGACAGAGCAGATTTGAAACACTCTATTTGTGCAATTTGCAAGTGTAGATTTCAAGCGCTTTAAGGTCAATGGCAGAAAAGGAAATATCTTCGTTTCAAAACTAGACAGAATCATTCCCACAAACTGCGTTGTGATGTGTTCGTTCAACTCACAGAGTTTAACCTTTCTGTTCATAGAGCAGTTAGGAAACACTCTGTTTGTAAAGTCTGAAAGTGGATATTCTGACATCTTGTGGCCTTCGTTGGAAACGGGATTTCTTCATATTCTGCTAGACAGAAGAATTCTCAGTAACTTCCTTGTGTTGTGTGTATTCAACTCACAGAGTTGAACGATCCTTTACACAGAGCAGACTTCAAACATTCTTTTTGTGGAATTTGCAAGTGGAGATTTCAGCCGCTTTGAGGTCAATGGTAGAAAAGGAAACTATCTTCATATAAAGACTAGACAGAATGATTCTCAGAAACTCCTTTGTGATGTGTGCGTTCAACTCACAGAGTTTAACCTTTCTTTTCATAGAGCAGTTAGGAAACACTCTGTTTGTAAAGTCTGGAAGTGGATATTCAGACCTCCTTGAGGCCTTCGTTGGAAACGGGATTTCTTCATATTATGCTTGACAGAAGAATTCCCAGTAACTTCCTTGTGTTGTGTGTGTTCAACTCACAGAGTTGAACTTTCATTTACACAGAGCAGATTTGAAACACTCTTTTTGTGGAATTTGCAAATGGAGATTTCAAGCGCTTTGAGGCCAAAGGCAGAAAAGGAAATATCTTCGTTTCAAAACTAGACAGAATCATTCTCAGAAACTGCTCTGCGATGTGTGCGTTCAACTCTCAGAGTTTAACTTTTCTTTCCATTCTGCAGTTTGGAAACACTCTGGTTGTAAAGTCTGCACGTGGATAACTTGACCACTTAGAGGCCTTCGTTGGAAACGGGTTTTTTTCCTGTAAGGCTAGACAGAAGAATTCCCAGTAACTTCCTTGTGTTGTGTGCATTCAACTCACAGAGTTGAACGTTCCCTTAGACAGAGCAGATTTGGAACACTCTATTTGTGCAATTTGCAAGTGTAGATTTCAAGCGCTTTATGGTCAACGGCAGAAAAGGAAATATCTTCGTTTCAAAACTAGACAGAATCACTCCCACAAACTGCGTTGTGATGTGTTCGTTCAACTCACAGAGTTTAACCTTTCTGTTCATAGAGCAGTTAGGAAACACTCTGTTTGTAAAGTCTGCAAGTGAATATTCAGACCTCCTTGAGGCCTTCGTTGGAAACGGGATTTCTTCATATTCTGCTAGACCGAATAATTCTCAGTAACTTCCTTGTGTTGTGTGTATTCAACTCACAGAGTTGAACGATCCTTTACACAGAGCAGATTTGAAACACTCTTTTTGTGGAATTTGCAAGTGGAGATTTCAGCCGCTTTGAGGTCAATGGTAGAAAAGGAAACTACCTTCATATAAAGACTAGACAGAATGATTCTCAGAAACTCCTTTGTGATGTGTGTGTTCAACTCACAGAGTTTAACCTTTCTTTTCATAGAGCAGTTAGTAAACACTCTGTTTATAAAGTCTGCACGTGGATATTTTGACCACTTAGAGGCCTTCGTTGGAAACGGGTTTTTTTCATGTAAGGCTAGACAGAAGAATTCCCAGTAACTTCCTTGTGTTGTGTGTGTTCGACTCACAGAGTTGAACTTTCATTTACACAGAGCAGATATGAAACACTCTTTTTGTGGAATTTGCAAGTGGAGATTTCAAGCGCTTTGAGGCCAAAGGCAGAAAAGGAAATATCTTCGTTTCAAAACTAGACAGAATCATTCTCAGAAACTGCTGTGTGATGTGTGCGTTCAACTCTCAAAGTTTAACTTTTCTTTTCATTCAGCGGTTTGGAAACACTCTGTTTGTAAAGTCTGCACGTGGATATTTTGACCACTTAGAGGCCTTCGTTGGAAACGGGATTTTTTCATGTAAGGCTAGACAGAAGAATTCCCAGTAACTTCCTTGTGTTGTGTGCATTCAACTCACAGAGTTGAACGTTCCCTTAGACAGAGCAGATTTGAAACACTCTATTTGTGCAATTTGCAAGTGTAGATTTCAAGCGCTTTAAGGTCAATGGCAGAAAAGGAAATATCTTCGTTTCAAAACTAGACAGAATCATTCCCACAAACTGCGTTGTGATGTGTTCGTTCAACTCACAGAGTTTAACCTTTCTGTTCATAGAGCAGTTAGGAAACACTGTGTTTGTAAAGTCTGTAAGTGGATATTCTGACATCTTGTGGCCTTCGTTGGAAAAGGGATTTCTTCATATTCTGCTAGACAGAAGAATTCTCAGTAACTTCCTTGTGTTGTGTGTATTCAACTCACAGAGTTGAACGATCCTTTACAGAGAGCAGACTTTAAGGACTCTTTTTGTGGAATTTGCAAGTGGAGATTTCAGCCGCTTTGAGGTCAATGGTAGAAAAGGAAATATCTTCGTATAAAGACTAGACAGAATGATTCTCAGAAACTCCTTTGTGATGTGTGTGTTCAACTCACAGAGTTTAACATTTCTTTTCATAGAGCAGTTAGGAAACACTCTGTTTGTAAAGTCTCCAAGTGGATATTCAGACCTCTTTGAGGCCTTCGTTGGAAACGGGTTTTTTTCATATAAGGCTAGACAGAAGAATTCCCAGTAACTTCCTTGTGTTGTGTGTGTTCAACTCACAGAGTTGAACTTTCATTTACACAGAGCAGATTTGAAACACTCTTTTTGTGGAATTTGCAAGTGGAGATTTCAAGCGCTTTGAGGCCAAAGGCAGAAAAGGAAATATCTTCGTTTCGAAACTAGACAGAATCATTCTCAGAAACTGCTCTGCGATGTGTGCGTTCAACTCTCAGAGTTTAACTTTTCTTTTCATTCAGCAGTTTGGAAACACTCTGTTTGTAAAGTCTGCACGTGGATATTTTGACCACTTAGAGGCCTTCGTTGGAAACGGGTTTTTTTCCTGTAAGGGTAGACAGAAGAATTCCCAGTAACTTCCTTGTGTTGTGTGCATTCAACTCACAGAGTTGAACGTTCCCTTAGACAGAGCAGATTTGAAACACTCTATTTGTGTAATTTGCAAGTGTACATTTCAAGCGCTTTAAGGTCAACGGCAGAAAAGGAAATATCTTCGTTTCAAAACTAGACAGAATCATTCCCACAAACTGCGTTGTGATGTGTTCGTTCAACTCACAGAGTTTAACTTTTCCGTTCATAGAGCAGTTAGGAAACACTCTGTTTGTAAAGTCTGCAAGTGGATATTCAGACCTCCTTGAGGCCTTCGTTGGAAATGGGATTTCTTCATATTCTGCTAGACAGAAGAATTCTCAGTAACTTCCCTTGTGTTGTGTGTATTCAACTCACACAGTTGAACGATCCTTTACACAGAGCAGACTTGTAACACTCTTTTTGTGGAATTTGCAAGTGGAGATTTCAGCCGCTTTGAAGTCAAAGGTAGAAAAGGAAATATCTTCCTATAAAAACTAGACAGAATGATTCTCAGAAACTCCTTTGTGATGTGTGCGTTCAACTCACAGAGTTTAACCTTTCTTTTCATAGAGCAGTTAGGAAACACTCTGTTTGTAAAGTCTGCAAGTGGATATTCAGACCTCCTTTAGGACTTCGTTGGAAACGGGATTTCTTCATATTATGCTAGACAGAAAGAATTCCCAGTAACTTCCTTGTGTTGTGTGTGTTCAACTCACAGAGTTGAACTTTCATTTACACAGAGCAGATTTGAAACACTCTTTTTGTGGAATTTGCAAGTGGAGATTTCAAGCGCTTTGAGGCCAAAGGCAGAAAAGGAAATATCTTCGTTTCAAAACTAGACAGAATCATTCTCAGAAACTGCTGCGTGATGTGTGCGTTCAACTCTCAGAGTTTAACTTTTCTTTTCATTCAGCGGTTTGGAAACACTCTGTTTGTAAAGACTGCACGTGGATATTTTGACCACTTAGAGGCCTTCGTTGGAAACGGGTTTTTTTTCATGTAAGGCTAGACAGAAGAATTCCCAGTAACTTCCTTGTGTTGTGTGCATTCAACTCACAGAGTTGAACGTTCCCTTAGACAGAGCAGATTTGAAACACTCTATTTGTGCAATTTGCAAGTGTAGATTTCAAGCGCTTTAAGGTCAGTGGCAGAAAAGGAAATATCTTCGTTTCAAAACTAGACAGAGTGATTCTCAGAAACTCCTTTGGGATGTCTGCGTTCAACTCACAGAGTTTAACCTTTCTTTTCATAGAGCAGTTAGGAAACACTCTGTTTGTAAAGTCTGCAAGTGCATATTCAGACCTCCTTGAGGCCTTCGTTGGAAACGGGATTTCTTCATATTCTGCTATACAGAAGAATTCTCAGAAACTTCCTTGTGTTGTGTGTATTCAACTCACAGAGTTGAACGATCGTTTACACAGAGCAGACTTGAGAAACTCTTTTTGTGGAATTTGCAAGTGGAGATTTCAGCCGCTTTGAGGTCAATGGTAGAAAAGGAAATATCTTCATATAAAAACTAGACAGAATGATTCTCATAAACTCCTTTGTGATGTGTGCGTTCAACTCACAGAGTTTAACTTTTCTTTTCATAGAGCAGTTAGGAAACACTCTGTTTGTAAAGTCTGCAAGTGGATATTCAGACCTCTTTGGGGCCTTCGTTGGAAACGGGATTTCTTCATATTCTGCTAGACAGAATAATTCTCAGTAACTTCCTTGTGTTGTGTGTATTCAACTCACAGAGTTGAACGATCCTTTACAGAGAGCAGACTTGAAACACTCTTTTTGTGGAATTTGCAAGTGGAAATTGCAGCCGCTTTGAGGTCAATGGTAGAAAAGGAAATATCTTCCTATAGAAACTAGACAGAATCATTCTCAGAAACTGCTGCGTGATGTGTGCGTTCAACTCTCAGAGTTTAACTTTTCTTTTCATTCAGCGGTTTGGAAACACTCTGTTTGTAAAGTCTGCACGTGGAAATTTTGACCACTTAGAGGCCTTCGTTGGAATCGGGTTTTTTTCATGTAAGGCTAGACAGAAGAATTCCCAGTAACTTCCTTGTGTTGTGTGCATTCAACTCACAGAGTTGAACGTTCCCTTAGACAGAGCAGATTTGAAACACTCTATTTGTGCAATTTGCAAGTGTAGATTTCAAGCGCTTTAAGGTCAATGGCAGAAAAGGAAATAACTTCGTTTCAAAACTAGACAGAATCATTCCCACAAACTGCCTTGTGATGTGTTCGTTCAACTCACAGAGTTTAACCTTTCTATTCATAGAGCAGTTAGGAAACACTCTGTAACGTCTGTAAGTGGATATTCTGACATCTTGTGGCCTTCGTTGGAAACGGGATTTCTTCATATTCTGCTAGACAGAAGAATTCTCAGTAACTTCCTTGTGTTGTGTGTATTCAACTCACAGAGTTGAAGGATCCTTTACAGAGAGCAGGCTTCAAACACTCTTTTTGTCGAATTTGCAAGTGGAGATTTCAGCCGCTTTGAGGTCAATGGTAGAATAGGAAATATCTTCGTATAAAGAATAGACAGAATGATTCTCAGAAACTCCTTTGTGATGTGTGCGTTCAACTCACAGAGTTTAACCTTTCTTTTCATAGAGCAGTTAGGAAACACTCTGTTTGTAAAGTCTGCAAGTGGATATTCAGACCTCTTTGAGGCCTTCGTTGGAAACGGGTTTTTTTCATATAAGGCGAGACAGAAGAATTCTCAGTAACTTCCTTGTGTTGTGTGTATTCAACTGACAGAGTTGAACTTTCATTTAGAGAGAGCAGATTTGAAACACTCTTTTTGTGGAATTTGCAAGTGGAGATTTCAAGCGCTTTGGGGCCAAGGGCAGAAAAGGAAATATCTTCGTATAAAAACTAGACAGAATCATTCTCAGAAACTGCTGCGTGATGTGTGCGTTCAACTCTCAGAGTTTAACTTTTCTTTTCATTCAGCGGTTTGGAAACACTCTGTTTGTAAAGTCTGCACGTGGATATTTTGACCACTTAGAGGCTTCGTTGGAAACGGGTTTTTTTCATGTAAGGCTAGACAGAAGAATTCCCAGTAACTTCCTTGTGTTGTGTACATTCAACTCACAGAGTTGAACGTTCCCTTAGACAGAGCAGATTTGAAACACTCTTTTTGTGCAATTGGCAAATGGAGATTTCAAGCGCTTTAAGGTCAATGGCAGAAAAGGAAATATCTTCCTTTCAAAACTAGACAGAATCATTCCCACAAGCTGCGTTGTGATGTGTTCGTTCAACTCACAGAGTTTAACCTTTCTGTTCATAGAGCAGTTAGGAAACCCTCTGTTTGTAAAGTCTGCAAGTGGATATTCAGACCTCTTTGAGGCTTTCGTTGGAAACGGGATTTCCTCATATTCTGCTAGACAGAAGAATTCTCAGTAACTTCCTTGTATTGTGTGTATTCAACTCACAGAGTTGAACGATCCTTTACACAGAGCAGACTTGAAACACTCTTTTTGTGGAATTTGCAAGTGGAGATTTCAGCCGCTTTGTGATCAATGGTAGAATAGGAAATATCTTCCTATAGAAACTAGACAGAATGATTCTCATAAACTCCTTTGTGATGTGTGCGTTCAACTCACAGAGTTTAACTTTTCTTTTCATAGAGCAGTTAGGAAACACTCTGTTTGTAAAGTCTGCAAGTGGATATTCAGACCTCCTTGAGGCCTTCGTTGGAAACGGGATTTCTTCATATTATGCTAGACAGAAGAATTCCCAGTAACTTCCTTGTGTTGTGTGTGTTCAACTCACAGAGTTGAACTTTCATTTACACAGAGCAGATTTGAAACACTCTTTTTGTGGAATTTGCAAGTGGAGATTTCACGCGCTTTGAGGCCAAAGGCAGAAAAGGAAATATCTTCGTTTGAAAACTAGACAGAATCATTCTCAGAAACTGCTCTGCATTGTGTGCGTTCAACTCTCAGAGTTTAACTTTTCTTTTCATTCAGCAGTTTGAAAACACTCTGTTTGTAAAGTCTGTACGTGGATAATTTGACCACATAGAGGCCTTCGTTGGAAACGGGTTTTTTTCATGTAAGGCTAGACAGAAGAATTCCCAGTAACTTCCTTGTGTTGTGGACATTCAACTCACAAAGTTGAACGTTCCCTTAGACAGAGCAGACTTGTAACACTCTTTTTGTGGAATTTGCAAGTGGAGTTTTCAGCCGCTTTTAAGTCAATGGTAGAAAAGGTAATATCTTCCAATAAAAACTAGACAGAATCATTCCCACAAACTGCGTTGTGATGTGTTCGTTCAACTCACAGAGTTTAACCTTTCTGTTCATAGAGCAGTTAGGAAACACTCTGTTTGTAAAGTCTGCAAGTGGATATTCAGACCTCTTTGAAGCCTTCGTTGGAAACGGGATTTCTTCATATTCTGCTAGACAGAAGAATTCTCAGTAACTTCCTTGTGTTGTGTGTATTCAACTCACAGAGTTGAACGATCCTTTACACAGAGCAGACTTGAAACACTTTTTTTGTGGAATTTGCAAGTGGAGGTTTCAGCCGCTTTGAGGTCAATAGTAGAAAAGGAAATATCTTCGTAGAAAAAGTAGACAGAATGATTCTCAGAAACTCCTTTGTGATGTGTGCGTTCAACTCACAGAGTTTAACCTTTCTTTTCATAGAGCAGTTAGGAAACACTCTGTTTGTAAAGTCTGCAAGTGGATATTCAGACCTCCTTGAGGCCTTCGTTGGAAACGGTATTTCTTCATATTCTGCTAGACAGAAGAATTCCCAGTAACTTTCCTTGTGTTGTGTGTGTTCAACTCACAGAGTTGAACTTTCATTTACACAGAGCAGATTTGAAACACTCTTTTTGTGGAATTTGCAAGTGGAGATTTCAAGCGCTTTGAGGCCAAAGGCAGAAAAGGAAATAGTCTTCGTTTCAAAACTAGACAGAATCACTCTCAGAAACTGCTCTGCGATGTGTGCGTTCAACTCTCAGAGTTTAACTTTTCTTTTCATTCAGCAGTTTGGAAACACTCTGTTTGTAAAGTCTGCACGTGGATATTTTGACCACTCAGAGGCCTTCGTTGGAAACGGGTTTTTTTCCTGTAAGGCTAGACAGAAGAATTCCCAGTAACTTCCTTGTGTTGTGTACATTCAACTCACAGAGTTGAACGTTCCCTTAGACAGAGCAGATTTGAAACACTCTTTTTGTGCAATTGGCAAGTGGAGATTTCAAGAGATTTAAGGTCAATGGCAGAAAAGGAAATATCTTCGTTTCAAAACTAGACAGAATCATTCCCACAAACTGCGTTGTGATGTGTTCGTTCAACTCACAGAGTTTAACCTTTCTGTTCATAGAGCAGTTAGGAAACACTCTGTTTGTAAAGTCTGTAAGTGGATATTCTGACATCTTGTGGCCTTCGTTGGAAAGGGGATTTCTTCATATTCCGCTAGACAGAAGAATTCTCAGTAACTTCCTTGTGTTGTGTGTATTCAACTCACAGTAGTTGAACGACCCTTTACACAGAGCAGACTTGTAACACTCTTTTTGTGGAATTTGCAAGTGGAGATTTCAGCCACTTTGAAGTCAAAGGTAGAAAAGGAAATAACTTCCTATAAAAACTAGACAGAATGATTCTCAGAAACTCCTTTGTGATGTCTGCGTTCAACTCACAGAGTTTAACCTTTCTTTTCATAGAGCAGTTAGGAAACACTCTGTTTGTAAAGTCTGCAAGTGGATATTCAGACCTCCTTGAGGCCTTCGTTGGAAACGGGATTTCTTCATATTCTGCTATACAGAAGAATTCCCAGTAACTTCCTTGTGTTGTGTGTGTTCAACTCACAGAGTTGAACTTTCATTTACACAGAGCAGATTTGAAACACTCTTTTTGTGGAATTTGCAAGTGGAGATTTCAAGCGCTTTGAGGCCAAAGGCAGAAAAGGAAATATCTTCGTATATAAACTAGACAGAATCATTCTCAGAAACTGCTCTGTGATGTGTGCGTTCAACTCTCAGAGTTTAACTTTTCTTTTCATTCAGCAGTTTGGAAACACTCTGTTTGTAAAGTCTGCACGTGGATAATTTGATCACTTAGAGGCCTTCGTTGGAAACGGGTTTTTTTCATGTAAGGCTAGACAGAAGAATTCCCAGTAACTTCCTTGTGTTGTGTGCATTCAACTCACAGAGTTGAACGTTCCCTTAGACAGAGCAGATTTGAAACACTCTATTTGTGCAATTTGCAAGTGTAGATTTCAAGCGCATTAAGGTCAATGGCAGAAAAGGAAATATCTTCGTTTCAAAATTAGACAGAATCATTCCCACAAACTGCGTTGTGATGTGTTCGTTCAACTCACAGAGTTTAACCTTTCTGTTCATAGAGCAGTTAAGAAACACTCTGTTTGTAAAGTCTGCAAGTGGATATTCAGACCTCCTTGAGGCCTTCGTTGGAAACGGGATTTCTTCATATTCTGCTAGACAGAAGAATTCTCAGAAACTTCCTTGTGTTGTGTGTTTTCAACTCACAGAGTTGAACGATCCTTTACACAGAGCAGACTTGAAACACTCCTTTTGTGGAATTTGCAAGTGGAGATTTCAGCCGCTTTGAGGTCAATGATAGAATAGGAAATATCTTCCTATAGAAAGTAGACAGAGAACGATTCTCAGAAACTCCTTTGTGATGTGTGCGTTGAACTCACAGAGTTTAACCTTTCTTTTCATAGAGCAGTTAGGAAACACTCTGTTTGTAAAGTCTGCAAGTGGATATTCAGACCTCTTTGAGGCCTTCGTTGGAAACGGGATTTCTTCATATTCTGCTAGACAGAAGAATCCCCAGTAACTTCCTTGTGTTGTGTGTGTTCAACTCACAGAGTTGAACTTTGATTTACACAGAGCAGATTTGAAACACTCTTTTTGTGGAATTTGCAAGTGGAGATTTCAAGCGCTTTGAGGCCAAAGGCAGAAAAGGAAATATCTTCGTATAAAAACTAGACAGAATCATGCTCAGAAACTGCTCTGCGATGTGTGCGTTCAACTCTCAGAGTTTAACTTTTCTTTTCATTCAGCAGTTTGGAAACACTCTGTTTGTAAAGTCTGCACGTGGATAACTTGACCACTTAGAGGCCTTCGTTGGAAACGGGTTTTTTTCATGTAAGGCTAGACAGAAGAATTCCCAGTAACTTCCTTGTGTTGTGTGCATTCAACTCATAGAGTTGAACGTTCCCTTAGACAGAGCAGATTTGAAACACTCTATTTGTGCAATTTGCAAGTGTAGTTTTCAAGCTCTTTAAGGTCAACGGCAGAAAAGGAAATATCTTGGTTTCAAAACTAGACAGAATCATTCCCACAAACTGCGTTGTGATGTGTTCGTTCAACTCACAGAGTTTAACCTTTCTTTTCATAGAACAGTTAGGAAACAGTCTGTTTGTAAATTCTGTAAGTGGATATTCTGACATCTTGTGACCTTCGTTGGAAACGGGATTTCTTCATATTCTGCTAGACAGAAGAATTCTCAGAATCTTCCTTGTGTTGTGTGTATTCAACCCACAGTAGTTGAACGATAGTTTACACAGAGCAGATTTGAAACACTCATTTGGTGGAATTTGCAAGTGGAGATTTCAGCCGCTTTGAGGTCAATGGTAGAAAAGGAAATATCTTCGTATAACAACTAGACAGAATGATTCTCAGAAACTTCTTTGTGATGTGTGTGTTCAACTCACAGAGTTTAACCTTTCTTTTCATAGAGCAGTTAGGAAACACTGTGTTTTTAAACTCTGCAAGTGGATATTCAGACCTCTTTGAGGCCTTCGTTGGAAACGGGTTTCTTCATACTGTGCTAGACAGAAGAATTCCCAGTAACTTCCTTGTGTTGTGTGTGTTCAACTCACAGAGTTGAACTTTCATTTACACAGAGCAGATTTGAAACACTCTTTTTGTGGAATTTGCAAGTGGAGATTTCAAGAGCTTTGAGGCCAAAGGCAGAAAAGGAAATATCTTCGTATAAAAACTAGACAGAATGATTCTCAGAAACTGCTCTGCGATGTGTGCGTTCAACTCCCAGAGTTTAACTTTTCTTTTCATTCAGCAGTTTGGAAACACTCTGTTTGTAAAGTCTGCACGTGGATAACTTGACCACTTAGAGGCCTTCGTTGGAAACGGGTTTTTTTCATGTAAGGCTAGACAGAAGAATTCCCAGTAACTTCCTTGTGTTGGGTGCATTCAACTCACAGAGTTGAACGTTCCCTTAGACAGAGCAGATTTGAAACAGCCTATTTGTGCAATTTGCAAGTGTAGATTTCAAGCGCTTTAAGGTCAACGGCAGGAAAGGAAATATCTTCCTTTCAAAACTAGACAGAATCATTCTCAGAAACTGCTCTGCGATGTGTGCGTTCAACTCTCAGAGTTTAACTTTGCTTTTCATTCAGCAGTTTGGAAACACTCTGTTTCTAAAGTCTGCACGTGGATAATTTGACCACTTAGAGGCCTTCGTTGGAAACGGGTTTTTTTCATGTAAGGCTAGACAGAAGAATTCTCAGTAACTTCCTTGTGTTGTGTGTATTCAACTCACAGAGTTGAACGATCCTTTACACAGAGCAGACTTGTAACACTCTTTTTGTGGAATTTGCAAGTGGAGATTTCAGCCGCTTTGAAGTCAAAGGTAGAAAAGGAAATATCTTCCTATAAAAACTACACAGAATGATTCTCAGAAACTCCTTTGTGATGTGTGCGTTCAACTCACAGAGTTTAACCTTCCTTTTCATAGTGCAGTTAGGAAACACTCTGTTTGTAAAGTCTGCAAGTGGATATTCAGACCTCTTTGAGGCCTTCGTTGGAAACGGGTTTTTTTCATATAAGGCTAGACAGAAGAATTCCCAGTAACTTCCTTGTGTTGTGTGTGTTCAACTCACAGAGTTGAACTTTCATTTACACAGAGCAGATTTGAAACACTCTTTTTCTGGAATTTGCAAATGGAGATTTCAAGGGATTTGAGGCCAAAGGCAGAAATGGAAATATCTTCGTATAAAAACTAGACAGAATCATTCTCAGAAACTGCTGCGTGATGTGTGCGTTCAACTCTCAGAGTTTAACTTTTCTTTTCATTCAGCGGTTTGGAAACACTCTGTTTGTAAAGTCTGCACGTGGACATTTTGACCACTTAGAGGCCTTCGTTGGAAACGGGTTTTTTTCATGTAAGGCTAGACAGAAGAATTCCCAGTAACTTGCCTTGTGTTGTGTACATTCAACTCACAGAGTTGAACGTTCCCTTAGACAGAGCAGATTTGAAACACTCTTTTTGTGCAATTGGCAAATGGAGATTTCAAGCGCTTTAAGGTCAATGGCAGAAAAGGAAATTGTTCGTTTCAAAACTAGACAGAATGATTCTCAGAAACTCCTTTGTGATGTGTGCGTTCAACTCACAGAGTTTAACCTTTCTGTTCATAGAGCAGTTAGGAAACACTCTGTTTGTAAAGTCTGCAAGTGGATATTCAGACCACCTTGAGGCCTTCGGTGGAAACGGGATTTCTTCATATTCTGCTAGACAGAAGAATTCTCAGTAACTTCCTTGTGTTGTGTGTATTCAACTCACAGAGTTGAACGATCCTTTACACAGAGCAGAGTTGAAACACTCTTTTTGTGGAATTTGCAAGTGGAGATTTCAGCCGCTTTGAGGTCAATGGTAGAAAAGGAAATATCTTCGTATAAAGACTAGACAGAGTGTTTCTCAGAAACTCCTTTGTGATGTCTGCGTTCAACTCACAGAGTTTAACCTTTCTTTTCATAGAGCAGTTAGGAAACACTCTGTTTGTAAAGTCTGCAAGTGGATATTCAGACCTCCTTGAGGCCTTCGTTGGAAACGGGATTTCTTCATATTCTGCTATACAGAAGAATTCTCAGAAACTTCCTTCTATTGTGTGTATTCAACTCACAGAGTTGAACGATCGTTTACACAGAGCAGACTAGAGACACTCTTTTTGTGGAATTTGTAAGTGGAGATTTCAGCCGCTTTGAGGTCAATGGTAGAAAAGGAAATATCTTCGTATAAAAACTAGACAGAATCATTCTCAGAAACTGCTCTGCGATGTGTGCGTTCAACTCTCAGAGTTTAACTTTTCTTTTCATTCAGCAGTTTGGAAACACTCTGTTTGTAAAGTCTGCACGTGGATAACTTGACCACTTAGAGGCCTTCGTTGGAAACGGGTTTTTTTCATGTAACGCTAGACAGAAGAATTCCCAGTAACTTCCTTGTGTTGTGTACATTCAACTCACAGAGTTGAACGTTCCCTTAGACAGAGCAGATTTGAAACACTCTTTTTGTGCAATTGGCAAATGGAGATTTCAAGCGCTTTAAGGTCAATGGCAGAAAAGGAAATATCTTCGTTTCAAAACTAGACAGAATCATTCCCACAAACTGCGTTGTGATGTGTTCGTTCAACTCACAGAGTTTAACCTTTCTTTTCATAGAGCAGTTAGGAAACAGTCTGTTTGAAAATTCTGTAAGTGGATATTCTGACATCCTTGTGGCCTTCGTTGGAAACGGGATTTCTTCATATTCTGCTAGACAGAAGAATTCTCAGTAACTTCCTTGTGTTGTGTGTATTCAACTCACAGAGTTGAACGATCCTTTACACAGAGCATACTTGAAACACTCTTGTTGTGGAATTTGCAAGTGGAGATTTCAGCCGCTTTGAGGTCAATGGTAGAATAGGAAACATCTTCCTATAGAAACTAGACAGAATGATTCTCAGAAACTCCCTTGTGATGTGTGCGTTCAACTCACAGAGTTTAACCTTTCTTTTCATAGAGCAGTTAGGAAACACTCTGTTTGTAAAGTCTGCAAGTGGATATTCAGACCTCTTTGAGGCCTTCGTTGGAAACGGGATTTCTTCATATTATGCTAGACAGAAGAATTCTCAGTAACTTCCTTGTGTTGTGTGTTTTCAACTCACAGAGTTCAACGATCCTTTACATAGAGTAGACTTGAAACACTCTTTTTGTGGAATTGGCAAGTGGAGATTTCAGCCGCTTTGAGGTCAATGGTAGAAAAGGAAATATCTTCGTATAAAAAATAGACAGAAATGATTCTCAGAAACTCCTTTGTGATGTCTGCGTTCAACTCACAGAGTTTAACCTTTCTTTTCATAGAGCAGTTAGGAAACACTCTGTTTGTAAAGTCTGCAAGTGGATATTCAGACATCCTTGAGGCCTTCGTTGGAAACGGGATTTCTTCATGTTCTGCTAGACAGAAGAATTCCCAGTAACTTCCTTGTGTTGTGTGTGTTCAACTCACAGAGATGAACTCTCATTTACACAGAGCAGATTTGAAACACTCTTTTTGTGGAATTTGCAAATGGAGATTTCAAGCGCTTTGAGGCCAAAGGCAGAAGAGGAAATATCTTCGTATAAAAACTAGACAGAATCATTCTCAGAAACAGCTCTGCGATGTGTGCGTTCAACTCTCAGAGTTTAACTTTTCTTTTCATTCAGCAGTTTGGAAACACTCTGTTTGTAAAGTCTGCACGTACATAATTTCACCACTTAGAGGCCTTCGTTGGAAACAGGTTTTTTTCATGTAAGGCTAGACAGAAGAATTCTCAGTAACTTCCTTGTGTTGTGTGTATTCAACTCACAGAGTTGAACGATCCTTTACACAGAGCAGACTTGAAACACTCTATTTGTAGAATTTGCAAGTGGAGATTTCAGCTGCTTTGAGGTCAATAGTAGAAAAGGAAATATCTTCGTAGAAAAACTAGACAGAAAGATTCTCAGAAACTCCTTTGTGATGTGTGCGTTCAACTCACAGAGTTTAACCTTTCTTTTCATAGAGCAGTTAGGAAACACTCTGTTTGTAAAGTCTGCAAGTGGATATTAAGACCTCCTTGAGGCCTTCGTTGGAAACGGGATTTCTTCATATTCTGCTAGACAGAAGAATTCTCAGTAACTTCCTTGTGTTCTGTGTATTCAACTGACAGAGTTGAACTTTCATTTAGAGAGAGCAGATTTGAAACACTGTTTTTGTGGAATTTGCAAGTGGAGATTTCAAGCGCTTTGGGGCCAAAGGCAAAAAAGGAAATATCTTCGTATAAAAACTAGACAGAATGATTCTCAGAAACTCCTTTGTGATGTGTGCGTTCAACTCACAGAGTTTAACCTTTCTTTTCATAGAGCAGTTAGGAAACACTCTGTTTGTAAAGTCTGCACGTGGATATTTTGACCACTTAGAGGCCTTCGTTGGAAACGGGTTTTTTTCCTGTAAGGCTAGACAGAAGAATTCCCAGTAACTTCCTTGTGTTGTGTACATTCAACTCACAGAGTTGAACGTTCCCTTAGACAGAGCAGATTTGAAACACTCTTTTTGTGCAATTGGCAAATGGAGATTTCAAGCGCTTTAAGGTCAATGGCAGAAAAGGAAATATCTTCGTTTCAAAACTAGACAGAATGATTCTCAGAAACTCTTTTGTGATGTGTGCGTTCAACTCACAGAGTTTAACTTTTCTTTTCATAGAGCAGTTAGGAAACACTCTGTTTGTAAAGTCTGCAAGTGGATATTCAGACCTCCTTGTGGCCTTCGTTGGAAACGGGATTTCTTCATATTCTGCTAGACGGAAGAAATCTCAGTAACTTCCTTGTGTTGTGTGTATTCAACTCACAGAGTTGAACGATCCTTTACACAGAGCAGACTTGAAACACTCTTTTTGTGGAATTTGCAAGTGGAGATTTCAGCCGCTTTGAGGTCAATGGTAGAATAGGAAATATCTTCCTATAGAAACTAGACAGAATGATTCTCATAAACTCCTTTGTGATGTGTGCGTTCAACTCACAGAGTTTAACGTTTCTTTTCATAGAGCAGTTAGGAAAAACTCTGTTTGTAAAGTCTGCAAGTGGATATTCAGACCTCTTTGAGGCCTTCGTTGGAAACGGGATTTCTTCATATTATGCTAGACAGAACAATTCTCAGTAACTTCCTTGTGTTGTGTGTATTCAACTCACAGAGTTGAACGATCCTTTACACAGAGCAGACTTGAAACACTCTTTTTGTGGAATTTGCAAGTGGAGATTTCAGCCGCTTTGAGGTCAATGGTAGAAAAGGAAACTATCTTCGTATAAAGACTAGACAGAATCATTCTCAGAAACTGCTGCGTGATGTGTGCGTTCAACTCTCAGAGTTTAACTTTTCTTTTCATTCAGCGGTTTGGAAACACGCTGTTTGTAAAGTCTGCACGTGGAAATTTTGACCACTTAGAGGCCTTCGTTGGAAACGGGTTTTTTTCATGTAAGGCTAGACAGAAGAATTCCCAGTAACTTCCTTGTGTTGTGTGCATTCAACTCACAGAGTTGAACGTTCCCTTAGACAGAGCAGATTTGAAACACTCTATTTGTCCAATTTGCAAGTGTAGATTTCAAGCGCTTTAAGGTCAACGGCAGAAAAGGAAATATCTTCGTTTCAAAACTAGACAGAATCATTCCCACAAACTGCGTTGTGATGTGTTCGTTCAACTCACAGAGTTTAACCTTTCTGTTCATAGAGCAGTTAGGAAACACTCTGTTTGTACAGTCTGTAAGTGGATATTCTGACATCTTGTGGCCTTCGTTGGAAACTGGATTTCTCCATATTCTACTAGACAGAAGAATTCTCACAATCTTCCTTGTGTTGTGTGTATTCAACTCACAGAGTTGAACGATGGTTTACACAGAGAAGATTTGAAACACTCTTTTTGTGGAATTTGCAAGTGGAGATTTCACCCGCTTTGAGGTCAATGGTAGAAAAGGAAATATCTTCGTATAAAAACTAGACAGAATGATTCTCAGAAACTCCTTTGTGATGTGTGCGTTCAACTCACAGAGATTAACCTTTCTTTTCATAGAGCAGTTAGGAAACACTCTGTTTGTAAAGTCTGCAAGTGGATATTCAGACCTCTTTGAGGCCTTCGTTGGAAACGGGATTTCTTCATATTCTGCTAGACAGAAGAATTCCCAGTAACTTCCTTGTGTTGTGTGTGTTCAACTCACAGAGTTGAACTTTCATTTACACAGAGCAGATTTGAAACACTCTTTTTGTGGAATTTGCAACTGGAGATGTCAAGCGCTTTGAGGCCAAAGGCAGAAAAGGAAATATCTTCGTTTCAAAACTAGACAGAATCATTCTCAGAAAATGCTCTGTGATGTGTGCGTTCAACTCTCAGAGTTTAACTTTTCTTTTCATTCAGCAGTTTGGAAACACTCTGTTTGTAAAGTCTGCACGTGGATATTTTGACCACTTAGAGGCCTTCGTTGGAAACGGGTTTTTTTCATGTAAGGGTAGACAGAAGAATTCCCAGTAACTTCCTTGTGTTGTGTGCATTCAACTCACAGAGTTGAACGTTCCCTTAGACACAGCAGATTTGGAACACTCTATTTGTGCAATTTGCAAGTGTAGATTTCAAGCGCTTTAAGGTTAACGGCAGAAAAGGAAATATCTTCGTTTCAAAACTAGACAGAATGATTCTCAGAACCTCCTTTGTGATGTGTGCGTTCAACTCACAGAGTTGAACCTTTCTTTTCATAGAGCAGTTAGGAAACACACTGTTTGTAAAGTCTGCAAGTGGATATTCAGACATCCTTGAGGCTTTCGTTGGAAACGGGATTTCTTCATATTCTGCTAGAAAGAAGAATTCTCAGTAACTTCCTTGTGTTGTGTGTATTCAACTCACAGAGTTGAACGATCCTTTACACAGAGCAGACTTGAAACACTCTTTTTGTGGAATTTGCAAGTGGAGATTTCAGCCGCTTTGAGGTCAATGGAAGAATAGGAAATATCTTCCTATAGAAACTAGACAGAATGATTCTCAGAAACTCCTTTGTGATGTGTGTGTTCAACTCACAGAGTTTAACCTTTCTTTTCATAGAGCAGTTAGTAAACACTCTGTTTATAAAGTCTGCAAGTGGATATTCAGACCCCTTTGAGGCCTTCGTTGGAAACGGGATTTCTTCATATTCTGCTAGACAGAAGAATTCTCAGTAACTTCCTTGTGTTGTGTGTATTCAACTCACAGAGTTGAAGGATCCTTTACAGAGAGCAGCCTTGAAACACTCTTTTTGTCGAATTTGCAAGTGGAGATTTCAGCCGCTTTGAGGTCAATGGTAGAATAGGAAATATCTTATTATAGAAACTAGACAGAATCATTCTCAGAATCTGCTGCGTGATGTGTGCGTTCAACTCTCAGAGTTTAACTTTTCTTTTCATTCAGCGGTTTGGAAACACTCTGTTTGTAAAGTCTGCACGTGGATATTTTGACCACTTAGAAGCCTTCTTTGGAAACGGGTTTTCTTCATGTAAGGCTAGACAGAAGAATTCCCAGTAACTTCCTTGTGTTGTGTGCATTCAACTCACAGAGTTGAACGTTCACTTAGACAGAGCAGATTTGAAACACTCTATTTGTGCAATTTGCAAGTGTAGATTTCAAGCGCTTTAAGGTCAATGGCAGAAAAGGAAATTTCTTCGTTTCAAAACTAGACAGAAATCATTCTCAGAAACTGCTCTGCGATGTGTGCGTTCAACTCTCAGAGTTTAACTTTGCTTTTCATTCAGCAGTTTGGAAACACTCTGTTTGTAAAGTCTGCACGTGGATAATTTGACCACTTAGAGGCCTTCGTTGGAAACGGGTTTTTTTCATGTAAGGCTAGACAGAAGAATTCTCAGTAACTTCCTTGTGTTGTGTGTATTCAACTCACAGAGTTGAACGATCCTTTACACAGAGCAGACTTGGAACACTCTTTTTGTGGAATTTGCAAGTGGAGATTTCAGCCGCTTTGAAGTCAAAGGTAGAAAAGGAAATATCTTCCTATAAAAACTAGACAGAATGATTCTGAGAAACTCCTTTGTGATGTGTGCGTTCAACTCACAGAGTTTATCCTTTCTTTTCATAGAGCAGTTAGGAAACACTCTGTTTGTGAAGTCTGCAAGTGGATATTCAGACCTCTTTGAGGCCTTCGTTGGAAACGGGATTTCTTCATATTCTGCTAGACAGAAGAATTCCCAGTAACTTCCTTGTGTTGTGTGTGTTCAACTCACAGAGTTGAACTTTCATTTACACAGAGCAGATTTGAAACACTCTTTTTGTGGAATTTGCAATTGGAGATTTCAAGCGCTTTGAGGCCAAAGGCAGAAAAGGAAATATCTTCGGTATAAAAACTAGACAGAATCATTCTCAGAAACTGCTCTGCGATGTGTGCGTTCAACTCTCAGAGTTTAACTTTGCTTTTCATTCAGCAGTTTGGAAACACTCTGTTTGTAAAGTCTTCACGTGGATATTTTGACCACTTAGAGGCCTTCGTTGGAAACGGGTTTCTTTCCTGTAAGGCTAGACAGAAGAATTCCCAGTAACTTCCTTGTGTTGTGTACGGTTCAACTCACAGAGTTGAACGTTCCCTTAGACAGAGCAGATTTGAAACACTCTTTTTGTGCAATTGGCAAGTGGAGATTTCAAGCGCTTTAAGGTCAATGGCAGAAAAGGAAATATCTTCGTTTCAAAACTAGACAGAATCATTCCCACAAACTGCGTTGTGATGTGTTCGTTCAACTCACAGACTTTAACCTTTCTTTTCATAGAGCAGTTAGGAAACAGTCTGTTTGTAAATTCTGTAAGTGGATATTCTGACATACTTGTGGCCTTCGTTGGAAACGGGATTTCTTCATATTCTGCTAGACAGAAGAATTCTCAGTAACTTCCTTGTGTTGTGTGTATTCAACTCACAGAGTTGAACGATCCTTTACACAGAGCAGACTTGAAACACTCTTTTTGTGGAATTTGCAAGTGGAGATTTCAGCCGCTTTGAGGTCAATGGTAGAATAGGAAATATCATCCTATAGAAACTAGACAGAATGATTCTCAGAAACTCCTTTGTGATGTGGGCGTTCAACTCACAGAGTTTAACCATTCTTTTCATAGAGCAGTTAGGAAACACTCTGTTTGTAAAGTATGCATGTGGATATTTGGACTTCTTTGAGGCCTTCGTTGGAAACGGGTTTTTTTCATGTAAGGCTAGACAGAAGAATTCTCAGTAACTTCCTTGTGTTGTGTGTATTCAACTCACAGAGTTGAACGATCCTATACACAGAGCAGACTTGAAACACTCTTTTTGTGGAATTTGCAAGTGGAGATTTCAGCCGCTTTGAGGTCAATGGTAGAATAGGAAATATCTTCCTATAGAAACTAGACAGAATCATTCTCAGAAACTGCTGCGTGATGTGTGCGTTCAACTCTCAGAGTTTAACTTTTCTTTTCATTCAGCGGTTTGGAAACACTCTTTTTGTAAGTCTGCACGTGGATATTTTGACCACTTAGAGGCCTTCGTTGGAAACGGGTTTTTTTCATGTAAGGCTAGACAGAAGAATTCCCAGTAACTTCCTTGTGTTGTGTACATTCAACTCACAGAGTTGAACGTTCCCTTAGACAGAGCAGATTTGAAACACTCTTTTTGTGCAATTGGCAAATGGAGATTTCAAGCGCTTTAAGTTCAATGGCAGAAAAGGAAATATCTTCGTTTCAAAACTAGACAGAATCATTCCCACAAACTGCGTTGTGATGTGTTCGTTCAACTCACAGAGTTTAACCTTTCTGTTCATAGAGCAGTTAGGAAACACTCTGTTTGTAAAGTCTGAAAGTGGATATTCTGACATCTTGTGGCCTTCGTTGGAAACGGGATTTCTTCATATTCTGCTAGACAGAAGAATTGTCAGTAACTTCCTTGTGTTGTGTGTATTCAACTCACAGAGTTGAACGATCCTTTACACAGAGCAGACTTGAAACACTCTTTTTGTGGAATTTGCAAGTGGAGATTTCAGCCGCTTTGAGTTCAATGGTAGAATAGGAAATATCTTCCTATAGAAACTAGACAGAACGATTCTCAAAAACTCCTTTGTGATGTGTGCGTTCAACTCACAGAGTTTAACCTTTCTTTTCATAGAGCAGTTAGGAAACACTCTGTTTATAAAGTCTGCAAGTGGATATTCAGACCCCTTTGAGGCCTTCGTTGGAAACGGGATTTCTTCATATTATGCTAGACAGAAGAATTCTCAGTAACTTCCTTGTGTTGTGTGTATTCAACTGACAGAGTTGAACTTTCATTTAGAGAGAGCAGATTTGAAACACTGTTTTTGTGGAATTTGCAAGTGGAGATTTCAAGCGCCTTGGGGCCAAAGGCAGAAAAGGAAATATCTTCGTATAAAAACTAGACAGAATCATTCTCAGAAACTGCTCTGCGATGTGTGCGTTCAACTCTCAGAGTTTAACTTTTCTTTTCATTCAGCAGTTTGGAAACACTCTGTTTGTAAAGTCTGCACGTGGATAATTTGACCACTTAGAGACCTTCGTTGGAAACGGGTTTTTTTCATGGAAGGCTAGACAGAAGAATTCCCAGTAACTTCCTTGTGTTGTGTACATTCAACTCACAGAGTTGAAAGTTCCCTTAGACAGAGCAGATTTGAAACACTCTTTTTGTGCAATTGGCAAATGGAGATTTCAAGCGCTTTAATGTCAATGGCAGAAAAGGAAATATCTTCGTTTCAAAACTAGACAGAATCATTCCCACAAACTGCGTTGTGATGTGTTCGTTCAACTCACAGAGTTTAACCTTTCTTTTCATAGAGCAGTTAGGAAACAGTCTGTTTGTAAATTCTGTAAGTGGATATTCTGACATTTTGTGGCCTTCGTTGGAAACGGGATTTCTTCATATTCTGCTAGACAGAAGAATTCTCAGTAACTTCCTTGTGTTGTGTGTATTCAACTCACAGAGTTGAACGATCCTTTACACAGAGCAGACTTGTAACACTCTTTTTGTGGAATTTGCAAGTGGAGATTTCAGCCGCTTTGAGGTCAACGGTAGAAAAGGAAATCTCTTCGTATAAAAACTAGACAGAATGATTCTCAGAAACTTCTTTGTGATGTGTGTGTTCAACTCACAGAGTTTAACCTTTCTTTTCATAGAGCAGTTAGGAAACACTCTGCCTGTAAAGTCTGCAAGTGGATATTCAGACCTCGTTGAGGCCTTCGTTGGAAACGGGATTTCTTCATATTCTGCTAGACAGAAGAATTCTCAGTAACTTCCTTGTGTTGTGTGTATTCAACTGACAGAGTTGAACTTTCATTTAGAGAGAGCAGATTTGAAACACTGTTTTTGTGGAATTTGCAAGTGGAGATTTCAAGCGCTTTGGGGCCAAAGGCAGAAAAGGATATATCTTCGTATAAAAACTAGACAGAATCATTCTCAGAAACTGCTGCGTGATGTGTGCGTTCAACTCTCAGAGTTTAAAGTTTCTTTTCATTCAGCGGTTTGGAAACACTCTGTTTGTAAAGTCTGCAAGTGGATATTCAGACCTCTTGGAGGCTTTCGTTGGAAACGGGATTTCTTCATATTCTGCTAGACAGAAGTAATTCCCAGTAACTTCCTTGTGTTGTGTGCATTCAACTCACAGAGTTGAACGTTCCCTTAGACAGAGCAGATTTGAAACACTCTATTTGTGCAATTTGCAAGTGTAGATTTCAAGCGCTTTAAGGTCAATGGCAGAAAAGGAAATATCTTCGTTTCAAAACTAGACAGAATCATTCCCACAAACTGCGTTGTGATGTGTTCGTTGAACTCACAGAGTTTAACCTTTCTTTTCATAGAGCAGTTAGGAAACAGTCTGTTTGTCAATTCTGTAAGTGGATATTCTGACATCTTGTGGCCTTCGTTGGAAACGGGATTTCTTCATATTCTGCTAGACAGAAGAATTCTCAGTAACTTCCTTGTGTTGTGTGTATTCAACTCACAGAGTTGAACGATCTTTTACACAGAGCAGACTTGAAACACTCTTTTTGTGGAATTTGCAAGTGGAGATTTCAGCCGCTTTGAGGTCAATGGTAGAAAAGGAAATATCTTCGTATAAAGACTAGACAGAATGATTCTTAGAAACTCCTTTGTGATGTGTGCGTTCAACTCACAGAGTTTAACCTTTCTGTTCATAGAGCAGTTAGGAAACACTCTGTTTGTAAAGTCTGCAAGTGGATATTCAGACCTCCTTTAGGCCTTCGTTGGAAACGGGATTTCTTCATATTCTGCTAGACAGAAGAATTCTCAGTAACTTCCTTGTGTTGTGTGTATTCAACTCACAGAGTTGAACTATCCTTTACACAGAGCAGACTTGAAACACTCTTTTTGTGGAATTTGCAAGTGGAGATTTCAGCCGCTTTGAGGTCAATGGTAGAAAAGGAAATATCTTCGTATAAAAACTAGACAGAATCATTCTCAGAAACTGCTCTGTGATGTGTGCGTTCAACTCTCAGAGTTTACCTTTTCTTTTCATTCAGCAGTTTGGAAACACTCTGTTTGTAAAGTCTGCACGTGGATAATTTGACCACTTAGAGGCCTTCGTTGGAAACGGGTTTTTTTCATGTAAGGCTAGACAGAAGAATTCCCAGTAACTTCCTTGTGTTGTGTGCATTCAACTCACAGAGTTGAACGTTCCCTTAGACAGAGCAGATTTGAAACACTCTATTTGTGCAATTTGCAAGTGTAGATATCAAGCGCTTTAAGGTCAATGGCAGAAAAGGAAATGTCTTAGTTTCAAAACTAGACAGAATGATTCTCAGAAACTTCTTTGTGATGTGTGCGTTCAACTCACAGAGTTTAACCTTTCTTTTCATAGAGCAGTTAGGAAACACTCTGTTTGTAAACTCTGCAAGTGGATATTCAGACCTCTTGGAGGCCTTCGTTGGAAACGGGATTTCTTCATAGTATGCTAGACAGAAGAATTCTCAGTAACTTCCTTGTGTTGTGTGTATTCAACTCACAGAGTTGAAAGATCCTTTACACAGAGCAGACTTGAAACACTCTTTTTGTGGAATTTGCAAGTGGAGATTTCAGCCGCTTTGAGGTCAATAGTAGAAAAGGAAATATCTTCGTAGAAAAACTAGACAGAATGATTCTCAGAAACTCCTTTGTGATGTGTGCGTTCAACTCACACAGTTTAACCTTTCTTTTCATAGAGCAGTTGGGAAACACTCTGTTTGTAAAGTCTGCAAGTTGATATTCAGACCTCTTTGAGGCCTTCGTTTGAAACGGGATTTCTTCATATTCTGCTAGAAAGAAGAATTCTCAGTAACTTCCTTGTGTTGTGTGTATTCAACTGACAGAGTTCAACTTTCACTTAGAGAGAGCAGATTTGTAACACTGTTTTTGTGGAATTTGCAAGTGGAGATTTCAAGCGCTTTGGGGCCAAAGGCAGAAAACGAAATATCTTCGTATAAAAACTAGACAGAATCATTCTCAGAAAATCCTCTGTGATGTGTGGGTTCAACTCTCAGAGTTTAACTTTTCTTTTCATTCAGCAGTTTGGAAACACTCTGTTTGTAAAGTCTGCACGTGGATATTTTGACCACTTAGAGGCCTTCGTTGGAAACGGGTTTTTTTCATGTAAGGGTAGACAGAAGAATTCCCAGTAACTTCCTTGTGTTGTGTGCATTCAACTCACAGAGTTGAACGTTCCCTTAGACAGAGCAGATTTGAATCACTCTATTTGTGCAATTTGCAAGTGTAGATTTCAAGCGATTTAAGGTCAATGGCAGAAAAGGAAATATCTTCGTTTCAAAACTAGACAGAAATCATTCCCACAAACTGCGTTGTGATGTGTTCGTTCAACTCACAGAGTTTAACCTTTCTGTTCATAGAGCAGTTAGGAAACACTCTGTTTGTAAAGTCTGTAAGTGGATATTCTGACATCTTGTGGCCTTCGTTGGAAACGGGATTTCTTCATATTCTGCTAGACAGAAGAATTCTCAGTAACTTCCTTGTGTTGTGTGTATTCAACTCACAGAGTTGAACGATCCTTTACACAGAGCAGACTTGAAACACTCTTCTTGTGGAATTTGCAAGTGGAGATTTCAGCCGCTTTGAGGTCAATGGTAGAAAAGTAAATATCTTCGTATAAAGACTAGACAGAATGATTCTCAGAAACTCCTTTGTGATGTGTGCGTTCAACTCACAGAGTTTAACCTTTCTTTTCATAGAGCAGTTAGGAAACACTCTGCTTGTAAAGTCTGCAAGTGGATATTCAGACCTCTTTGAGGCCTTCGTTGGAAACGGGTTTTTTTCATATAAGGCTACACAGAAGAATTCCCAGTAACTTCCTTGTGTTGTGTGTGTTCAACTCACAGAGTTGAACTTTCATTTACACAGAGCAGATTTGAAACACTCTTTTTGTGGAATTTGCAAGTGGAGATTTCAAGGGCTTTGAGGCCAAAGGCAGAAAAGGAAATATCTTCGTATAAAAACTAGACAGAATCATTCTCAGAAACTGCTCTGCGATGTGTGCGTTCAACTCTCAGAGTTTAACTTTTCTTTTCATTCAGCAGTTTGGAAACACTCTGTTTCTAAAGTCTGCACGTGGATAATTTGACCACTTAGAGGCCTTCGTTGGAAACGGGTTTTTTTCCTGTAAGGCTAGACAGAAGAATTCCCAGTAACTTCCTTGTGTTGTGTACATTCAACTCACAGAGTTGAACGTTCCCTTAGACAGAGCAGATTTGAAACACTCTTTTTGTGCAATTGGCAAGTGGAGATTTCAAGCGCTTTAAGGTCAATGGCAGAAAAGGAAATATCTTCGTTTCAAAACTAGACAGAATCATTCCCACAAACTGCGTTGTGATGTGTTCGTTCAACTCACAGAGTTTAACCTTTCTGTTCATAGAGCAGTTAGGAAACACTCTGTTTGTAAAGTCTGCAAGTGGATATTCAGACCTCCTAGAGGCCTTCGTTGGAAACGGGATTTCTCCATATTCTGCTAGACAGAAGAATTCTCAGTAACTTCCTTGTGTTGTGTGTATTCAACTCACAGAGTTGAACGATCCTTTACAAAGAGCAGACTTGAAACATTCTTTTTGTGGAATTTGCAAGTGGAGATTTCAGCCGCTTTGAGGTCAATGGTAGAATAGGAAATATGTTCCTATAGAAACTAGACAGAATGATTCTCAGAAACTCCATTGTGATGTGTGCGTTCAACTCAAAGAGTTTAACTTTTCTTTTCATAGAGCAGTTAGGAAACACTCTGTTTGTAAAGTCTGCAAGTGGATATTCAGACCCCTTTGAGGCCTTCGTTGGAAACGGGATTTCTTCATATTATGCTAGACAGAAGAATTCCCAGTAACTTCCTTGTGTTGTGTGTGTTCAACTCACAGCAGTTGAACTTTCATTTACACAGAGCAGATTTGAAACACTCTTTTTGTGGAATTTGCAAGTGGAGATTTCAAGCGCTGTGAGGCCAAAGGCAGAAAAGGAAATATCTTCGTATAAAAACTAGACAGAATCATTCTCAGAAACTGCTCTGCGATGTGTGCGTTCAACTCTCAGAGTTTAACTTTTCTTTTCATTCAGCAGTGTGGAAACACTCTGTTTGTAAAGTCTGCACGTGGATATTTTGACCACTTATAGGCCTTCGTTGGAAACGGGTTTTTTTCCTGTAAGGCTAGACAGAAGAATTCCCAGTAACTTCCTTGTGTTGTGTACATTCAACTCACAGAGTTGAACGTTCCCTTAGACAGAGCAGATTTGAAACACTCTTTTTGTGCAATTGGCAAATGGAGATTTCAAGCGCTTTAAGGTCAATGGCAGAAAAGGAAATATCTTCGTTTCAAAACTAGACAGAATCATTCCCACAAACTGCGTTGTGATGTGTTCGTTCAACTCACAGAGTTTAACCTTTCTGTTCATAGAGCAGTTAGGAAACACTCTGTTTGTAAAGTCTGTAAGTGGATATTCAGACATCTTGTGGCCTTCGTTGGAAACGGGATTTCTTCATATTCTGCTAGACAGAAGAATTCTCAGTAACTTCCTTGTGTTGTGTGTATGCAACTCACAGAGTTGAACGATCCTTTACACAGAGCAGACTTGAAACACTCTTTTTGTGGAATTTGCAATTGGAGATTTCAGCCGCTTTGAGGTCAATGGTAGAAAAGGAAACTATCTTCATATAAAGACTAGACAGAATGATTCTCAGAAACTCCTTTGTGATGTGTGCGTTCAACTCACAGAGTTTAACCTTTCTTTTCATAGACCAGTTAGGAAACACTCTGTAAAGTCTGCAAGTGGATATTCAGACATCCTTGAGGCCTTCGTTGGAAGCGGGATTTCTTCATATTCTGCTACAAAGAAGAATTCTTAGTAACTTCCTTGTGTTGTGTGTATTCAACTCACAGAGTTGAACGATCCTTTACACAGAGCAGACTTGAAACATTCTTTTTGTGGAATTTGGAAGTGGAGATTTCAGCCGCTTTGAGGTCAATGGTAGAATAGGAAATATCTTCCTATAGAAACTAGACAGAATCATTCTCAGAAACTGCTGCGTGATGTGTGCGTTCAACTCTCAGAGTTTAACTTTTCTTTTCATTCAGCGGTTTGGAAACACTCTGTTTGTAAAGTCTGCACGTGGATATTTTGACCACTTAGAGGCCTTCGTTGGAAACGGGTTTTTTTCATGTAAGGCTCGACAGAAGAATTCCCAGTAAATTCCTTGTGTTGTGTACATTCAACTCACAGAGTTGAACGTTCCCTTAGACAGAGCAGATTTGAAACACTCTTTTTGTGCAATTGGCAAGTGGAGATTTCAAGCGCTTTAAGGTCAATGGCAGAAAAGGAAATATCTTCGTTTCAAAACTGGACAGAATCATTCCCACAAACTGCGTTGTGATGTGTTCGTTCAACTCACAGAGTTTAACCTTTCTTTTCATAGAGCAGTTAGGAAAGAGTCTGTTTGTAAATTCTGTAAGTGGATATTCTGACATCTTGTGGCCTTCGTTGGAAACGGGATTTCTTCATATTCTGCTAGACAGAAGAATTCTCAGAAACTTCCTTGTGTTGTGTGTTTTCAACTCACAGAGTTGAACGATCCTTTACACAGAGCAGACTTGAAACACTCTTTTTGTGGAATTTGCAAGTGGAGATTTCAGCCGCTTTGAGGTCAATGGTAGAATAGGAAATATCTTCCTATAGAAACTAGACAGAACGATTCTCAGAAACTCCTTTGTGATGTGTGCGTTCAACTCACAGAGTTTAACCTTTCTTTTCATAGAGCAGTTAGGAAACACTCTGTTTGTAAAGTCTGCAAGTGGATATTCAGACCTCTTTGAGGCCTTCGTTGTAACGGGATTTCTTCCTATTCTGCTAGACAGAAGAATTCCCAGTAACTTCCATGTGTTGTGTGTGTTCAACTCACAGAGTTGAACTTTCATTTACACAGAGCAGATTTGAAACACTCTTTTTGTGGAATTTGCAAATGGAGATTTCAAGCGCTTTGAGGCCAGAGGCAGAAAAGGAAATATCTTCGTATAAAAACTAGACAGAATCATTCTCAGAAACTGCTCTGCGATGTGTGCGTTCAACTCTCAGAGTTTAACTTTTCTTTTCATTCAGCAGTTTGGAAACACTCTGTTTGTAAAGTCTGCATGTGGATAATTTGACCACTTAGAGGTCTTCGTTGGAAACGGGTTTTTTTCATGTAAGGCTAGACAGAAGAATTCCCAGTAACTTCCTTGTGTTGTGTGCATTCAACTCACAGAGTTGAACGTTCCCTTAGACAGAGCAGATTTGAAACACTCTATTTGTGCAATTTGCAAGTGTAGTTTTCAAGCTCTTTAAGGTCAACGGCAGAAAAGGAAATATCTTGGTTTCAAAACTAGACAGAATCATTCCCACAAACTGCGTTGTGATGTGTTCGTTCAACTCACAGAGTTTAACCTTTCTGTTCATAGAGCAGTTAGGAAACACTCTGTTTGTAAAGTCTGCAAGTGGATATTCAGACCTCCTTGAGGCCTTCGGTGGAAACGGGATTTCTTCATATTCTGCTAGACAGAAGAATTCTCAGTAACTTCCTTGTGTTGTGTGTATTCAACTCACAGAGTTGAACGATCCTTTACACAGACCAGACTTGAAACACTCTTTTTGTGGAATTTGCAAGTGGAGATTTCAGCCGCTTTGAGGTCAATGGTAGAAAAGGAAATATCTTCGTATAAAGACTAGACAGAATGATTCTCAGAAACTCCTTTGTGATGTGTGTGTTCAACTCACAGAGTTTAACCTTTCTTTTCATAGAGCAGTTAGGAAACACTCTGTTTGTAAAGTCTGCAAGTGGATATTCAGACCTCTTTGAGGCCTTCGTTGGAAACAGTTTTTTTTCATATAAGGCTAGACAGAAGAATTCCCAGTAACTTCCTTGTGTTGTGTGTGTTCAACTCACAGAGTTGAACTTTCATTTACACAGAGCAGATTGGAAACACTCTTTTTGTGGAATTTGCAAGTGGAGATTTCAAGCGCTTTGAGGCCAAAGACAGAAAAGGAAATATCTTCGTATAAAAACTAGACAGAATCATTCTCAGAAACTGCTCTGCGATTTGTGCGTTCAACTCTCAGAGTTTAACTTTGCTTTTCATTCAGCAGTTTGGAAACACTCTGTTTGTAAAGTCTGCACGTGGATATTTTGACCACTTAGAGGCCTTCGTTGGAAACGGGTTTCTTTCCTGTAAGGCTAGACAGAAGAATTCTCAGTAACTTCCTTGTGTTGTGTGTATTCAACTCACAGAGTTGAACGATCCTTTACAGAGAGCAGACTTGAAACACTCTTTTTGTGGAATTTGCAAGTGGAGATTTCAGCCGCTTTGTGGTCAATGGTAGAATAGGAAATATCTTCCTATAGAAACTAGACAGAATGATTCTCAGAAACTCCTTTGTGATGTGTGCGTTCAACTCACAGAGTTTAACCTTTCTTTTCATAGAGCAGTTAGGAAACACTCTGTTTGTAAAGTCTGCAAGTGGATATTCAGACCTCTTTGAGGCCTTCGTTGGAAACGGGATTTCTTCATGTTCTGCTACACAGAAGAATTCTCAGTAACTTCCTTGTGTTGTGTGTATTCAACTCACAGAGTTGAACGATCCTTTACACAGAGCAGACTTGAAACACTCTTTTTGTAGAATTTCCAAGTGGAGATTTCAGCCGCTTTGAGGTCAATAGTGGAAAAGGAAATATCTTCGTAGAAAAACTAGACAGAATGATTCTCAGAAACGCCTTTGTGATGTGTGCGTGCAACTCACAGAGTTTAACCTTTCTTTTCATAGAGCAGTTAGGAAACACTCTGTTTGTAAAGTCTGCAAGTGGATATTCAGACCTCTTTGAGGCCTTCGTTGGAAACGGGTTTTTTTCATATAAGGCTAGACAGAAGAATTCTCAGTAACTTCCTTGTGTTGTGTGTATTCAACTGACAGAGTTGAACTTTCATTTAGAGAGAGCAGGTTTGAAACACTGTTTTTGTGGAATTTGCAAGTGGAGATTTCAAGCGCTTTGGGGCCAAAGGCAGAAAAGGAAATATCTTCGTATAAAAACTAGACAGAATCATTCTCAGAATCTGCTGCGTGATGTGTGCGTTCAACTCTCAGAGTTTAACTTTTCTTTTCATTCAGCGGTTTGGAAACACTCTGTTTGTAAAGTCTGCACGTGGATATTTTGACCACTTAGAGGCCTTCGTTGGAAACGGGTTTTTTTCATGTAAGGCTAGACAGAAGAATTCCCAGTAACTTCCTTCTGTTGTGTGCATTCCACTCACAGAGTTGAACGTTCCCTTAGACAGAGCAGATTTGAAACACTCTATTTGTGCAATTTGCAAGTGTAGATTTCAAGCGCTTTAAGGTCAATGGCAGAAAAGGAAATATCTTCGTTTCAAAACTAGACAGAATCATTCCCACAAACTGCGTTGTGATGTGTTCGTTCAACTCACAGAGTTTAACCTTTCTGTTCATAGAGCAGTTAGGAAACACTCTGTTTGTAAAGTCTGTAAGTGGATATTCTGACATTTTTTGGCCTTCGTTGGAAAAGGGATTTCTTCATATTCTCCTAGACAGAAGAATTCTCAGTAACTTCCTTGTGTTGTGTGTATTCAACTCACAGAGTTGAACGATCCTTTACACAGAGTAGACTTGAAACACTCTTTTTGTGGAATTTGCAAGTGGAGATTTCAGCCGCTTTCAGGTCAATAGTAGAAAAGGAAATATCTTCGTAGAAAAACTAGACAGAATGATTCTCAGAAACTCCTTTGTGATGTGTGCGTTCAACTCACAGAGTTTAACCTTTCTTTTCATAGCGCAGTTGGGAAACACTCTGTTTGTAAAGTCTGCAAGTGGATATTCAGACCTCCTTGAGGCTTTCGTTGGAAACGGGATTTCTTCATATTCTGCTAGAAAGAAGAATTCCCAGTAACTTCCTTGTGTTGTGTGTGTTCAACTCACAGAGTTGAACTTTCATTTACACAGAGCAGACTTGAAACACTCTTTTTGTGGAATTTGCAAGTGGAGATTTCAAGCGCTTTGAGGCCAAAGGCAGAAAAGGAAATATCTTCGTTTCAAAACTAGACAGAATCATTCTCAGAAACTGCTCTGCGATGTGTGCGTTCAACTCTCAGAGTTTAACTTTTCTTTTCATTCAGCAGTTTGGAAACACTCTGTTTGTAAAGTCTGCACGTGGATATTTTGACCACTTAGAGGCCTTCATTGGAAACGGGTTTTTTTCCTGTAAGGCTAGACAGAAGAATTCCCAGTAACTTCCTTGTGTTGTGTGCATTCAACTCACAGAGTTGAACGTTCCCTTAGACAGAGCAGATTTGAAACACTCTATTTGTGCAATTTGCAAGTGTAGTTTTCAAGCGCTTTAAGGTCAACGGCAGAAAAGGAAATTCTTCGTTTCAAAACTAGACAGAATGATTCTCAGAAACTCCTTTGTGATGTGTGCGTTCAACTCACAGAGTTCAACCTTTCTTTTAATAGAGCAGTTGGGAAACACTCTGTTTGTAAAGTCTGCAAGTGGATATTCAGACCTCCTTGAGGCCTTCGTTGGAAACGGGATTTCTTCATATTATGCTAGACAGAATAATTCTCAGTAACTTCCTTGTGTTGTGTGTATTCAACTCACAGAGTTGAACGATCCTTTACACAGAGCAGACTTGAAACATTCTTTTTGTGGAATTTGCTAGTGGAGATTTCAGCCGCTTTGAGGTCAATGGTAGAATAGGAAATATCTTCCTATAGAAACTAGACAGAATGATTCTCAGAAACTCCTTTGTGATGTGTGCGTTCAACTCACAGAGTTTAACCTTTCTTTTCATAGAGTAGTTAGGAAACACTCTGTTTGTAAAGTCTGCAAGTGGATATTCAGACATCCTTGAGGCTTTCGTTGGAAACGGGATTTCTTCATATTCTGTTAGAAAGAAGAATTCCCAGTAACTTCCCTTGTGTTGTGTGTGTTCAACTCACAGAGTTGAACTTTCATTTACACAGAGCAGATTTGAAACACTCTTTTTGTGGAATTTGCAAATGGAGGTTTCAAGCGCTTTGAGGCCAAAGGCAGAAAAGGAAATATCTTCGTATAAAAACTAGACAGAATCATTCTCAGAAACTGCTGCGTGATGTGTGCGTTCAACTCTCAGAGTTTAACTTTTCTTTTCATTCAGCGGTTTGGAAACACTCTGTTTGTAAAGTCTGCACGTGGATATTTTGACCACTTAGAGGCCTTCGTTGGAAACGGGTTTTTTGCATGTAAGGCTAGACAGAAGAATTCCCAGTAACTTCCTTGTGTTGTGTACATTCAACTCACAGAGTTGAACGTTCCCTTAGACAGAGCAGATTTGAAACACTCTTTTTGTGCAATTGGCAAATGGAGATTTCAAGCGCTTTAAGGTCAATGGCAGAAAAGGAAATATTCTTCGTTTCAAAACTAGACAGAATGATTCTCAGAAAATCTTTTGTGATGTGTGCGTTCAACTCACAGAGTTTAACTTTTCTTCTCATAGAGCAGGTAGGAAACACTCTGTTTGTAAAGTCTGCAAGTGGATATTCAGACCTCTTTGAGGCCTTCGTTGGAAACGGGATTTCTTCATATTATGCTAGACAGAATAATTCTCAGAAACTTCCTTGTGTTGTGTGTATTCAACTCACAGAGTTGAAGGATCCTTTACAGAGAGCAGGCTTGAAACACTCTTTTTGTCGAATTTGCAAGTGGAGATTTCAGCCGCTTTGAGGTCAATGGTAGAATAGGAAATATCTTCTTATAGAAACTAGACAGAATGATTCTCAGAAACTCCCTTGTGATGTGTGCGTTCAACTCACAGAGTTTAAGCTTTCTTTTCATAGAGCAGTTAGGAAACACTCTGTTTGTAAAGTCTGCAAGTGGATATTCAGACCTCCTTGAGGCCTTCGTTGGAAACAGGATTTCTTCATATGATGCTAGACAGAAGAATTCCCAGTAACTTCCTTGTGTTGTGTGTGTTCAACTCACAGAGTTGAACTTTCATTTACCCAGAGCAGATTTGAAACACTCTTTTTGTGGAATTTGCAAGTGGAGATTTCAAGCGCTTTGAGGCCAAAGGCAGAAAAGGAAATATCTTCGTTTCAAAACTAGACAGAATCATTCTCAGAAACTGCTCTGCGATGTGTGCGTTCAACTCTCAGAGTTTAACTTTTCTTTTCATTCAGCAGTTTGGAAACACTCTGTTTGTAAAGTCTGCACGTGGATATTTTGACCACTTAGAGGCCTTCGTTGGAACCGGGTTTTTTTCCTGTAAGGCTAGACAGAAGAATTCCCAGTAACTTCCTTGTGTTGTGTACATTCAACTCACAGAGTTGAACGTTCCCTTAGACAGAGCAGATTTGAAACACTCTTTTTGTGCAATTGGCAAATGGAGATTTCAAGCGCTTTAAGTTCAATGGCAGAAAAGGAAATATCTTCGTTTCAAAACTAGACAGAATGATTCTCAGAAACTCCTTTGTGATGTGTGCGTTCAACTCACAGAGTTTAACCTTTCTGTTCATAGAGCAGTTAGGAAACACTCTGTTTGTAAAGTCTGCAAGTGGATATTCAGACCTCCTTGAGGCTTTCGTTGGAAACGGGATTTCTTCATATTCTGCTAGACAGAAGAATTCTCAGAAACTTCCTTGTGTTGTGTGTATTCAACTCACAGAGTTGAACGATCGTTTACACAGAGCAGACTTGAGACACTCTTTTTGTGGAATTTGTAAGTGGAGATTGCAGCCGCTTTGAGGTCAATGGTAGAAAAGAAAATATCTTCATATAAAAACTAGACAGAATGATTCTCAGAAACTCCTTTGTGATGTGTGCGTTCAACTCACAGAGTTTAACTTTTGTTTTCATAGAGCAGTTAGGAAACACTCTCTTTGTATAGTCTTCAAGTGGATATTCAGACCTCTTTGAGGCCTTCGTTGGAAACGGGATTTCTTCATATTCTGCTAGACAGAAGAATTCCCAGTAACTTCCTTGTGTTGTGTGTGTTCAACTCACAGAGTTGAACTTTCATTTACACAGAGCAGATTTGAAACACTCTTTTTGTGGAATTTGCAAGTGGAGATTTCAAGCGCTTTGAGGGCAAAGGCAGAAAAGGAAATATCTTCGTTTCAAAACTAGACAGAATCATTCTCAGAAACTGCTGCGTGATGTGTGCGTTCAACTCTCAGAGTTTAAATTTTCTTTTCATTCAGCGGTTTGGAAACACTCTGTTTGTAAAGTCTGCACGTGGAAATTTTGACCACTTAGAGGCCTTCGTTGGAAACGGGATTTTTTCATGTAAGGCTAGACAGAAGAATTCCCAGTAACTTCCTTGTGTTGTGTGCATTCAACTCACAGAGTTGAACGTTCCTTAGACACAGCAGATTTGAAACACTCTATTTGTGCAATTTGCAAGTGTAGATTTCAAGCGCTTTAAGGTCAATGGCAGAAAAGGAAATATCTTCGTTTCAAAACTAGACAGAATGATTCTCAGAAACTCCTTTGTGATGTGTGTGTTCAACTCACAGAGTTTAACTTTTCTTCTCATAGAGCAGTTAGGAAACACTCTGTTTGTAAAGTCTGTAAGTGGATATTCTGACATCTTGTGGCCATCGTTGGAAACGGGATTTCTTCATATTCTGCTAGACAGAAGAATTCTCAGTAACTTTCCTTGTGTTGTGTGTATTCAACTCACAGAGTTGAACGATCCTTTACACAGAGCAGACTTGAAACACTCTTTTTGTGGAATTTGCAAGTGGAGATTTCAGCCGCTTTGAGGTCAATGGTAGAAAAGGAAACTATCTTCATATAAAGACTAGACAGAATGATTCTCAGAAACTCCTTTGTGATGTGTGCGTTCAACTCACAGAGTTTAACCTTTCTTTTCATAGAGCAGTTAGGAAACACTCTGTTTGTAAAGTCTACAAGTGGATATTCAGACCTCCTTGAGGCCTTCGTTGGAAACGGGATTTCTTCATATTATGCTAGACAGAATAATTCTCAGTAACTTCCTTGTGTTGTGTGTATTCAACTCACAGAGTTGAAGGATCCTTTACAGAGAGCAGGCTTGAAATACTCTTTTTGTCGAATTTGCAAGTGGAGATTTCAGCCGCTTTGAGGTCAATGGTAGAATAGGAAATATCTTCTTATAGAAACTAGACAGAATCATTCTCAGAAACTGCTGCGTGATGTGTGCGTTCAACTCTCAGAGTTTAACTTTTCTTTTCATTCAGCGGTTTGGAAACACTCTGTTTGTAAAGTCTGCACGTGGGTATTTTGACCACTTAGAGGCCTTCGTTGGAAACGGGTTTTTTTCATGTAAGGCTAGACAGAAGAATTCCCAGTAACTTCCTTGTGTTGTGTGCATTCAACTCACAGAGTTGAACGTTCCCTTAGACAGAGCAGATTTGAAACACTCTATTTGTGCAATTTGCAAGTGTAGATTTCAAGCGCTTTAAGGTCAATGGCAGAAAAGGAAATATCTTCGTTTCAAAACTAGACAGAATGATTCTCAGAAAATCCTTTGTGATGTGTGCGTTCAACTCACAGAGTTTAACTTTTCATATAGCAGTTAGGAAACACTTTGTTTGTAAAGTCTGCAAGTGGATATTCAGACCTCTTTGAGGCATTCGTTGGAAACGGGATTTCTTCATATTCTGCTAGACAGAAGAATTCTCAGAAACTTCCTTGTGTTGTGTGTATTCAACTCAGAGAGTTGAACGATCCTTTACACAGAGCAGACTTGAAACACACTTTTTTTGGTATTTTCAAGTGGAGATTTCAGCCACTTTGAGGTCAATGGTAGAAAAGGAAATATCTTCGTATAAAAACTAGACAGAATGATTCTCAGAAACTCCTTTGTGATGTGTGCGTTCAACTCACAGAGTTTAACTTTTCTTTTCATAGAGCAGTTAGGAAACACTCTGTAAAGTCTGCAAGTGCATATTCAGACCTCTTTGAGGCCTTCGTTGGAAACGGGATTTCTTCATATTATGCTAGACAGAATAATTCTCAGTAACTTCCTTATGTTGTGTGTATTCAACTCACAGAGTTGAACGATCCTTTACAAAGAGCAGACTTGAAACACTCTTTTTGTGGAATTCGCAAGTGGAGATTTCAGCCGCTTTGAGGTCAACAGTAGAAAAGGAAATATCTTCGTAGAAAAACTAGACAGAATCATTCTCAGAAACTGCTGTGTGATGTGTGCTTTCAACTCAGAGAGTTTAACTTTTCTTTTCATTCAGCAGTTTGGAAACACTCTGTTTGTAAAGTCTGCAAGTGGATATATTGACCTCTTAGGGTCCTTCGTTGGAAACGGGTTTTTTTTCATGTAAGGCTAGACAGAAGAATTCTCAGTAACTTCCTTGTGTTGTGTGTATTCAACTCACAGAGTTGAACGATCCTTTACACTGAGCAGACTTGTAACACTCTTTTTGTGGAATTTGCAAGTGGAGATTTCAGCCGCTTTGAAGTCAAAGGTAGAAAAGGAAATATCTTCCTATAAAGACTAGACAGAACGATTCTCAGAAACTCCTTTGTGATGTGTGCGTTCAACTCACAGAGTTTAACCTTTCTTTTCATAGAGCAGTTAGGAAACACTCTGTTTGTAAAGTCTGCAAGTGGATATGCAGACCTCTTTGAGGCCTTCGTTGGAAACGGGATTTCTTCATATTCTGCTAGACAGAAGAATTCTCAGTAACTTACCTTGTGTTGTGTGTATTCAACTCACAGAGTTCAACGATCCTTTACACAGAGCAGACTTGAAACACTCTTTTTGTGGAATTTGCAAGTGGAGATTTCAGCCGCTTTGAGGTCAATGGTAGAAAAGGAAATATCTTCGTATAAAAACTAAACAGAACGATTCTCAGAAACTCCTTTGTGATGTGTGCGTTCAACTCACAGAGTTTAACCTTTCTTTTCATAGAGCAGTTAGGAAACACTCTGTTTGTAAAGTCTGCAAATGGATATTCAGACCTCTTTGAGGCCTTCGGTGGAAACGGGATTTCTTCATATTCTGCTAGACAGAAGAATTCTCAGTAACTTTCCTTGTGTTGTGTGTATTCAACTGACAGAGTTGAACTTTCATTTAGAGAGAGCAGATTTGAAACACTGTTTTTGTGGAATTTGCAAGTGGTGATTTCAAGCGCTTTGGGGCCAAAGGCAGAAAAGGAAATATCTTCGTATAAAAACTAGACAGAATCATTCTCAGAAACTGCTGCGTGATGTGTGCGTTCAACTCTCAGAGTTTAACTTTTCTTTTCATTCAGCGGTTTGGAAACACTCTGTTTGTAAAGTCTGCACGTGGAAATTTTGACCACTTAGAGGCCTTCGTTGGAAACGGGATTTTTTCATGTAGGGCTAGACAGAAGTATTCTCAGTAACTTCCTTGTGTTGTGTGTATTCAACTCACAGAGTTAAACGATCCTTTACACAGAGCAGACTTGTAACACTCTTTTTGTGGAATTTGCAAGTGGAGATTTCAGCCGCTTTGAAGTCAAAGGTAGAAAAGGAAATAACTTCCTATAAAAACTAGACAGAATGATTCTCAGAAACTTCTTTGTGATGTGTGCGTTCAACTCACAGAGTTTAACATTTCTTTTCATAGAGCAGTTAGGAAACACTCTGTTTGTAAACTCTGCAAGTGGATATTCAGACCTCTTTGAGGCCTTCGTTGGAAACGGGATTTCTTCATACTGTGCTAGACAGAAGAATTCTCAGTAATTTCCTTGTGTTGTGTGTATTCAACTCACAGAGTTCAACGATCCTTTACACAGAGCAGACTTGAAACACTCTTTTTGTGGAATTTGCAAGTGGAGATTTCAGCCGCTTTGAGGTCAATGGTAGAAAAGTAAATATCTTCGTATAAAAACTAGACAGAATGATTCTCAGAAACTCCTTTGTGATGTGTGCGTTCAACTCACAGAGTTTAACTTTTCTTTTCATAGAGCAGTTAGTAAACACTCTGTTTATAAAGTCTGCAAGTGGATATTCAGACCCCTCTGAGGACTTCGTTGGAAACGGGATTTCTTCATATTATGCTAGACAGAAGAATTCCCAGTAACTTCCTTGTGTTGTGTGTGTTCAACTCACAGAGTTGAACTTTCATTTACACAGAGCAGATTTAGAACACACTTTTTGTGGAATTTGCAAGTGGAGATTTCAAGCGCTTTGAGGCCAAAGGCAGAAAAGGAAATATCTTCGTATAAAAACTAGACAGAATAATTCTCAGAAACTGCTGCGTGATGTGTGCGTTCAACTCTCAGAGTTTAACTTTTCTTTTCATTCAGCAGTTTGGAAACACTCTGTTTGTAAAGTCTGCACGTGGATAATTTGACCACTTAGAGGTCTTCGTTGGAAACGGGTTTTTTTCATGTAAGGCTAGACAAAAGAATTCTCAGTAACTTCCTTGTGTTGTGTTTATTCAACTCACAGAGTTGAACGATCCTTTACACAGAGCAGACTTGTAACACTCTTTTTGTGGAATTTGCAAGTGGAGATTTCAGCCGCTTTGAAGTCAAAGGTAGAAAAGGAAATATCTTCCTATAAAAACTAGACAGAATGATTCTGAGAAACTCCTTTGTGATGTGTGCGTTAAACTCACACAGTTTAACCTTTCTTTTCATAGAGCAGTTAGGAAACACTCTGTTTGTAAAGTCTGCAAGTGGATATTCAGACCTCCTTGAGGCCTTCGTTGGAAACGGGATTTCTTCATATTATGCTAGACAGAAGTAATTCTCAGTAACTTCCTTGTGTTGTGTGTATTCAACTCACAGAGTTAAACGATCCTTTACACAGAGCAGACGTGAAACACTCTTTTTGTGGAATTTGGAAGTGGAGATTTCAGCCGCTTTGAGGTCAATGGTAGAAAAGGAAACTATCTTCATATAAAGACTAGACAGAATGATTCTCAGAAACTCCTTTGTGATGTGTGCGTTCAACTCACAGAGTTTAACCTTTCTTTTCAGAGAGCAGTTAGGAAACACTCTGTTTGTAAAGTCTGCAAGTGGATATTCAGACATCTTTGAGGCTTTCGTTGGAAACGGGATTTCTTCATATTCTGCTAGACAGAAGAATTCCCAGTAACTTCCTTGTGTTGTGTGTGTTGAACTCACAGAGTTGAACTTTCATTTACACAGAGCAGATTTGAAACACTCTTTTTGTGGAATTTGCAAGTGGAGATTTCAAGCGCTTTGAGGCCAAAGGCAGAGAAGGAAATATCTTCGTTTGAAAACTAGACAGAATCATTCTCAGAAACTGCTCTGCGATGTGTGCGTTCAACTCTCCGAGTTTAACTTTTCTTTTCATTCAGCAGTTTGAAAACACTCTGTTTGTAAAGTCTGCACGTGGATAATTTGACCACTTAGAGGCCTTCGTTGGAAACGGTTTTTTTTTCATGTAAGGCTAGACAGAAGAATTCCCAGTAACTTCCTTGTGTTGTGTACATTCAACTCACAGAGTTGAACGTTCCCTTAGACAGAGCAGATTTGAAATACTCTTTTTGTGCAATTGGCAAGTGGAGATTTCAAGCGCTTTAAGGTCAATGGCAGAAAAGGAAATATCTTAGTTTCAAAACTAGACAGAATCATTCCCACAAACTGCGTTGTGATGTGTTCGTTCAACTCACAGAGTTTAACCTTTCTTTTCATAGAGCAGTTAGGAAACACTCTGTTTGTAAAGTCTGTAAGTGGATATTCTGACATCTTGTGGCCTTCGTTGGAAACGGGATTTCTTCATATTCTGCTAGACAGAAGAATTCTCAGTAACTTCCTTGTGTTGTGTGTATTCAACTCACAGAGTTGAACGATCCTTTACACAGAGCAGACTTGGAACACTCTTTTTGTGGAATTTGCAAGTGGAGATTTCAGCCGCGTTGAAGTCAATGGTAGAAAAGGAAATATCTTCGTATAAAAACTAGACAGAATGATTCTCAGAAACTCCTTTGTGATGTGTGCGTTCAACTCACAGAGTTTAACTTTTCTTTTCATAGAGCAGTTAGGAAACACTCTGTTTATAAAGTCTGCAAGTGGATATTCAGACCTCTTTGTGGCCTTCGTTGGAAACGGGATTTCTTCATATTATACTAGACAGAAGAATTCTCAGTAACTTCCTTGTGTTGTGTGTATTCAACTGACAAAGTTGAACTTTCATTTAGAGGGAGCAGATTTGAAACACTGTTTTTGTGGAATTTGCAAGTGGAGATTTCAAGCGCTTTGGGGCCAAAGGCAGAAAAGGATATATCTTCGTATAAAAACTAGACAGAATCATTCTCAGAAACTGCTGCGTGATGTGTGCGTTCAACTCTCAGAGTTTAACTTTTCTTTTCATTCAGCGGTTTGGAAACACTCTGTTTGTGAAGTCTGCCCGTGGATATTTTGACCCCTTAGAGGCCTTCGTTGGAAACGGGTTTTTTTCATGTAAGGCTAGACAGAAGAATTCCCAGTAACTTCCTTGTGTTGTGTACATTCAACTCACAGAGTTGAACGTTCCCCTTAGACAGAGCAGATTTGAAACACTCTTTTTGTGCAATTGGCAAGTGGAGATTTCAAGCGCTTTAAGGTCAATGGCAGAAAAGGAAATATCTTCGTTTCAAAACTAGACAGAATGATTCTCAGAAACTACTTTGTGATGTGTGCGTTCAACTCACAGAGTTTAACCTTTCTTTTCATAGAGCAGTTAGGAAACACTCTGTTTGTAAAGTCTGCAAGTGGATATTCAGACCTCCTTGAGGCCTTCGTTGGAAACGGGATTTCTTCATATTATGCAAGACAGAAGAATTCTCAGTAACTTCCTTGTGTTGTGTGTATTCAACTCACAGAGTTGAACGATCCTTTACACAGAGCAGACTTGAAACACTCTTCTTGTGGAATTTGCAAGTGGAGATTTCAGCCGCTTTGAGGTCAATGGTAGAATAGGAAATATCTTCGTATAGAAACTAGACAGAATGATTCTCAGAAACTCCTTTGTGATGTGTGCGTTCAACTCACAGACTTTAACCTTTCTTTTCATAGAGCAGTTAGGAAACACTCTGTTTGTAAAGTCTGCAAATGGATATTCAGACCTCTTTGAGGCCTTCGTTGGAAACGGGTTTTTTTCATATAAGGCTAGACAGAAGAATTCCCAGTAACTTCCTTGTGTTGTGTGTGTTCAACTCACAGAGTTGAACTTTCATTTACACAGAGCAGATTTGAAACACTCTTTTTGTGGAATTTGCAAGTGGAGATTTCAAGCGCTTTGAGGCCAAAGGCAGAAAAGGAGATATCTTCGTATAAAAACTAGACAGAATCATTCTCAGAAACTGCTGCGTGATGTGTGCGATCAACTCTCAGAGATTAACTTTTCTTTTCATTCAGCGGTTTGGAAACACTCTGTTTGTAAAGTCTGCACGTGGAAATTTTGACCACTTAGAGACCTTCGTTGGAAACGGGATTTTTTCATGTAAGGCTAGACAGAAGAATTCCCAGTAACTTTCCTTGTGTTGTGTGCATTCAACTCACAGAGTTGAACGTTCCCTTAGACAGAGCAGATTTGAAACACTCTATTTGTGCAATTTGCAAGTGTAGATTTCAAGCGCTTTAAGGTCAATGGCAGAAAAGGAAATGTCTTCGTTTCAAAACTAGACAGAATCATTCCCAAAAACTGCGTTGTGATGTGTTCGTTCAACTCACAGCAGTTTAACCTTTCTTTTCATAGAGCAGTTAGGAAACAGTCTGTTTGTAAATTCTGTAAGTGGATATTCTGACATCTTGTGGCCTTCGTTGGAAACGGGATTTCTTCATATTCTGCTAGACAGAATAATTCTCAGTAACTTCCTTGTGTTGTGTGTATTCAACTCACAGAGTTGAACGATCCTTTACACAGAGCAGACTTGAAACACTGTTTTTGTGGAATTTGCAAGTGGAGATTTCAGCCGCTTTGAGCTCAATGGTAGAATAGGAAATATCTTCCTATAGAAACTAGACAGAATGATTCTCAGAAACTCCTTTGTGATGTGTGCGTTCAACTCACAGAGTTTAACCTTTCTTTTCATAGAGCAGTTAGGAAACACTCTGTTTGTAAAGTCTGCAAGTGGATATTCAGACCTCTTTGAGGCCTTCGTTGGAAACGGGATTTCTTCATATTCTGCCAGACAGAAGAATTCCCAGTAACTTCCTTGTGTTGTGTGTGTTCAACTCACAGAGTTGAACTTTCATTTACACAGAGCAGATTTGAAACACTCTTTTTGTGGAATTTGCAAGTGGAGATTTCAAGCGCTTTGAGGCCAAAGGCAGAAAAGGAAATATCTTCGTATAAAAACTACACAGAATCATTCTCAGAAACTGCTGCGTGATGTGTGCGTTCAACACTCAGAGTTTAACTTTTCTTTTCATTCAGCGGTTTGGAAACACTCTGTTTGTAAAGTCGGAACGTGCATATTTTGACCACTTAGAGGCCTTCGTTGGAAACGGGTTTTTTTCATGTAAGGCTAGACAGAAGAATTCCCAGTAACTTCCTTGTGTTGTGTACATTCAACTCACAGAGTTGAACGTTCCCTTAGACAGAGCAGATTTGAAACACTCTTTTTGTGCAATTGGCAAGTGGAGATTTCAAGCGCTTTAAGGTCAATGGCAGAAAAGGAAATAACTTCGTTTCAAAACTAGACAGAATCATTCCCACAAACTGCGTTGTGATCTGTTAGGTAAACTCACAGAGTTTAACCATTCTTTTCATAGAGCAGTTAGGAAACAGTCTGTTTGTAAATTCTGTAAGTGGATATTCTGACATCTTGTGGCCTTCGTTGGAAACGGGATTTCTTCATATTCTGCTAGACAGAAGAACTCTCAGAATCTTCCTTGTGTTGTGTGTATTCAACTCACAGAGTTGAACGATGGTTTACACAGAGCAGATTTGAAACACTCTTTTTGTGGAATTTGCAAGTGGAGATTTCAGCCGCTTTGAGGTCAATGGTAGAAAAGGAAATATCTTCGTATAAAAACTAGACAGAATGATTCTCAGAAACTCCTTTGTGATGTGTGTGTTCAACTCACAGAGTTTAACCTTTCTATTCATAGAGTAGTTAGGAAACACTCTGTTTGTAATGTCTGCAAGTGGATATTTTGACCTCTTTGAGGCCTTCGTTGGAAACGGGTTTTTTTCATGTAAGGCTAGACAGAAGAATTCTCAGTAACTTCCTTGTGTTGTGTGTATTCAACTGACAGAGTTGAACTTTCATTTAGAGAGAGCAGATTTGAAACACTGTTTTTGTGGAATTTGCAAGTGGAGATTTCAAGCGCTTTGGGGCCAAAGGCAGAAAACGAAATATCTTCGTATAAAAACTAGACAGAATCATTCTCAGAAACTGCTGCGTGATGTGTGCGTTCAACTCTCAGAGTTTAACTTTTCTTTTCATTCAGCGGTTTGGAAACACTCTCGTTTGTAAAGCCTGCACGTGGATATTTTGACCACTTAGAGGCCTTCGTTGGAAACGGGTTTTTTTCATGTAAGGCTAGACAGAAGAATTCCCAGTAACTTCCTTGTGTTGTGTGCATTCAACTCACAGAGTTGAACGTTCCCTTAGACAGAGCAGATTTGAAACACTCTATTTGTGCAATTTGTAAGTGTAGTTTTCAAGCTCTTTAAGGTCAACGGCAGAAAAGGAAATATCTTCGTTTCAAAACTAGATCAGAATCATTCCCACAAACTGCGTTGTGATGTGTTCGTTCAACTAACAGAGTTTAACCTTTCTTTTCATAGAGCAGTTAGGAAACACTCTGTTGGTAAATTCTGTAAGTGGATATTCTGACATCTTGTGGCCTTCGTTGGAAACGGGATTTCTACATATTCTGCTAGACAGAGGAATTCTCAGTAACTTCCTTGTGTTGTGTGTATTCAACTCACGGAGTTGAACGATCCTTTACACAGAGCAGACTTGAAACACTCTTTTTGTGGAATTTGCAAGTGGAGATTTCAGCCGCTTTGAGGTCAATAGTAGAAAAGGAAATATCTTCGTAGAAAAACTAGACAGAATGATTCTCAGAAACTCCTTTGTGATGTGTGTGTTCAACTCACAGAGTTTAACCTTTCTTTTCATAGAGCAGTTAGTAAACACTCTGTTTATAAAGTCTGCAAGTGGATATTCAGACCCATTTGAGGCCTTCGTTGGAAACGGGATTTCTTCATATTCTGCTAGACAGAAGAATTCCCAGTAACTTCCTTGTGTTGTGTGTGTTCAACTCACAGAGTTGAACTTTCATTTACACAGAGCAGATTTGAAACACTCTTTTTGTGGAATATGCAAGTGGAGATTTCAAGCGCTTTGAGACCAAAGGCAGAAAAGGAACTATCTTCGTTTGAAAACTAGACAGAATCATTCTCAGAAACTGCTCTGCGATGTGTGCGTTCAACTCTCAGAGTTTAACTTTTCTTTTCATTCAGCAGTTTGGAAACACTCTGTTTGTAAAGTCTGCACGTGGATATTTTGACCACTTAGAGGCCTTCGTTGGAAACGGGTTTTTTTCCTATAAGGCTAGACAGAAGAATTCCCAGTAACTTCCTTGTGTTGTGTACATTCAACTCACAGAGTTGAACGTTCCCTTAGACAGAGCAGATTTGAAACACTCTTTTTGTGCAATTGGCAAGTGGAGATTTCAAGCGCTTTAAGGTTAATGGCAGAAAAGGAAATATCTTCGTTTCAAAACTAGACAGAATCATTCCCACAAACTGCGTTGTGATGTGTTCGTTCAACACACAGAGTTTAACCTTTCTTTTCATAGAGCAGTTAGGAAACAGTCTGTTTGTAAATTCTGTAAGTGGATATTCTGACATCTTGTGGCCTTCGTTGGAAACGGGATTTCTTCATATTCTGCTAGACAGAAGAATTCTCAGTAACTTCCTTGTGTTGTGTGTATTCAACTCACAGAGTTGAACGATCCTTTACACAGAGCAGATTTGAAACACTCTTTTTCTGGAATTTGCAAGTGGAGATTTCAGCCGCTTTGTGGTCAATGGTAGAAAAGGAAATATCTTCATATAAAAACTAGACAGAATGATTCTCAGAAACTCCTTTGAGATGTGTGTGTTCAACTCACAGAGTTTAACCTTTCTTTTCATAGAGCAGTTAGGAATCACTCTGTTTGTAAAGTCTGCAAGTGGATATTCAGACCTCTTTGAGGCCTTCGTTGGAAAAGGGTTTTTTTCATATAAGGCTAGAGAGAAGAATTCCCAGTAACTTCCTTGTGTTGTGTGTGTTCAACTCACAGAGTTGAACTTCCATTTACACAGAGCAGATTTGAAACACTCTTTTTGTGGAATTTGCAAGTGGAGATTTCAAGCGCTTTGAGGCCAAAGGCAGAAAAGGAAATATCTTCGTTTCAAAACTAGACAGAATCATTCTCAGAAACTGCTCTGCGATGTGTGCGTTCAACTCTCAGAGTTTAACTTTTCTTTTCATTCAGCAGTTTGGAAACACTCTGTTTGTAAAGTCTGCACGTGGATATTTTGACCACTTAGAGGCCTTCGTTGGAAACGGGTTTTTTTCCTGTAAGACTAGACAGAAGAATTCCCAGTAACTTCTTTGTGTTGTGTACATTCAACTCACAGAGTTGAACGTTCCCTTAGACAGAGCAGATTTGAAACACTCTTTTTGTGCAATTGGCAAGTGGAGATTTCAAGCGCTTTAAGGTCAATGGCAGAAAAGGAAATATCTTCGTTTCAAAACTAGACAGAATGATTCTCAGAAACTCCTTTGTGATGTGTGCGTTCAACTCACAGAGTTTAACCTTTGTTTTCATAGAGCAGTTAGGAAACACTCTGTTTGTAAAGTCTGAAAGTGGATATTCAGACCTCTTTGAGGCCTTCGTTGGAAACGGGTTTTTTTCATATAAGGCTAGAGAGAAGAATTCCCAGTAACTTCCTTGTGTTGTGTGTATTCAACTCACAGAGTTGAACGATCCTTTACACAGAGCAGACTTGTAACACTCTTTTTGTGGAATTTGCAAGTGGAGATTTCTGCCGCTTTGAAGTCAAAGGTAGAAAAGGAAATATCTTCCTATAAAAACTAGACAGAATGATTCTCAGAAACTCCTTTGTGATGTGTGCGTTCAACTCACAGAGTTTACCCTTTCTTTTCATAGAGCAGTTAGGAAACACTCTGTTTGTAAAGTTTGCAAGTGGATATTCAGACATCCTTGAGGCTTTCGTTGGAAACGGGATTTCTTCATATTCTGCCAGAAAGAAGAATTCCCAGTAACTTCCTTGTGTTGTGTGTGTTCAACTCACAGAGTTGAACATTCATTTACACAGAGCAGATTTGAAACACTCTTTTTGTGGAATTTGCAAGTGGAGATTTCAAGCGCTTTGAGGCCAAAGGCAGAAAAGGAAATATCTTCGTTTCAAAACTAGACAGAATCATTCTCAGAAACTGCTCTGCGATGTGTGCGTTCAACTCTCAGAGTTTAACTTTTCTTTTCATTCAGCAGTTTGGAAACACTCTGTTTGTAAAGTCTGCACGTGGATATTTTGACCACTTAGAGGCCTTCGTTGGAAACGGTTTTTTTTCCTGTAAGGCTAAAAAGAAGAATTCTCAGTAACTTCCTTGTGTTGTGTGTATTCAACTCACACAGTTGAACGATCCTTTACACAGAGCAGACTTGTAACACTCTTTTTGTGGAATTTGCAAGTGGGGATTTCAGCCGCTTTGAAGTCAAAGGTAGAAAAGGAAATATCTTCCTATAAAAACTAGACAGAATGATTCTCAGAAACTCCTTTGTGATGTGTGCTTTCAACTCACAGAGTTTAACCTTTCTTTTCATAGAGCAGTTAGGAAACACTCTGTTTGTAAAGTCTGCAAGTGGATATTCAGACCTCTTTGAGGCCTTCGTTGGAAACGGGTTTTTTTCATATAAGGCTAGACAGAAGAATTCTCAGTAACTTCCTTGTGTTGTGTGTATTCAACTCACAGTGTTGAACGATCCTTTACACAGAGCAGACTTGAAACACTCTTTTTGTGGAATTTGCAAGTGGAGATTTCAGCCGCTTTGAGGTCAATAGTAGAAAAGGAAATATCTTCGTAGAAAAACTAGACAGAATGATTCTCAGAAACTCCTTTGTTATGTGTGCGTTCAACTCACAGAGTTTAACCTTTCTTTTCATAGAGCAGTTAGGAAACACTCTGTTTGTAAAGTCTGCAAGTGGATATTCAGACATCCTTGAGGCTTTCGTTGGAAACGGGATTTCTTCATATTCTGCTAGAAAGAAGAATTCCCAGTAACTTCCTTGTGTTGTGTGTGTTCAACTCACAGAGTTGAACTTTCATTTACACAGAGCAGATTTGAAACACTCTTTTTGTGGAATTTGCAAATGGAGATTTCAAGCGCTTTGAGGCCAAATGCAGAAAAGAAAATATCTTCGTATAAAAACTAGACAGAATCATTCTCAGAAACTGCTCTGCGATGTGTGCGTTCAACTCTCAGAGTTTAACTTTTCCTTTCATTCAGCAGTTTGGAAACACTCTGTTTGTAAAATCTGCACGTGCATAATTTGACCACTTAGAGGCCTTCGTTGGAAACGGGTTTTTTCCATGTAAGGCTAGACAGAAGAATTCCCAGTAACTTCCTTGTGTTGTGTTCATTCAACTCACAGAGTTGAACGTTCCCTTAGACAGAGTAGATTTGAAACACTCTTTTTGTGCAATTGGCAAGTGGAGATTTCAAGCGATTTAAGGTCAATGGCAGAAAAGGAAATATCTTCGTTTCAAAACTAGACAGAATCATTCCCACAAACTGCGTTGTGATGTGTTCGTTCAACTCACAGAGTTTAACCTTTCTGTTCATAGAGCAGTTAGGAAACACTCTGTTTGTAAAGTCTCTAAGTGGATATTCTGACATCTTGTGGCCTTCGTTGGAAACGGGATTTCTTCATATTCTGCTAGACAGAAGAATTCTCAGTAACTTCCTTGTGTTGTGTGTATTCAACTCACAGAGTTGAACGATCCTTTACACAGAGCAGACTTGAAACACTCTTTTTGTGGAATTTGCAAGTGGAGATTTCAGCCGCTTTGAGGTCAATGGTAGAAAAGGAAATCTCTTCGTATAAAGACTAGACAGAATGATTCTCAGAAACTCCTTTGTGATGTGTGCGTTCAACTCACAGAGTTTAACCTTTCTTTTCATAGAGCAGTTAGGAAACACTCTGTTTGTAAAGTCTGCAAGTGGATATTCAGACTTCTTTGAGGCTTTCGTTGGAAACGGGATTTCTTCATATTCTGCTATACAGAAGAATTCCCAGTAACTTCCTTGTGTTGTGTGTGTTCAACTCACAGAGTTGAACTTTCATTTACACAGAGCAGATTTGAAACACTCTTTTTGTGGAATTTGCAAATGGAGATTTCAAGCGCTTTGAGGCCAAAGGCAGAAAAGGAAATATCTTCGTATAAAAACTCGACAGAATCATTCTCAGAAACTGCTCTGCGATGTGTGCGTTCAACTCTCAGAGTTTAACTTTTCTTTTCATTCAGCAGTTTGGAAACACTCTGTTTGTAAAGTCTGCACATGGAAAACTTGACCACTTAGAGGCCTTCGTTGGAAACGGGTTTTTTTTATGTAAGGCTAGACAGAAGAATTCTCAGTAACTTCCTTGTGTTGTGTGTATTCAACTCAAAGAGTTGAACGATCCTTTACACAGAGCAGACTTGTAACACTCTTTTTGTGGAATTTGCAAGTGGAGATTTCAGCCGCTTTGAAGTCAAAGGTAGAAAATGAAATATCTTCCTATAAAAACTAGACAGAATCATTCCCACAAACTGCGTTGTGATGTGTTCGTTCAACTCACAGAGTTTAACCTTTCTGTTCATAGAGCAGTTAGGAAACACTCTGTTTGTAAAGTCTGTAAGTGGATATTCTGACATCTTGTGGCCTTCGTTGGAAACGGGATTTCTTCGTATTCTGCTAGACAGAAGAATTCTCAGTAACTTCCTTGTGTTGTGTGTATTCAACTCACAGGATTTGAACGATCCTTTACACAGAGCGGACTTGAAACACTCTTTTTGTGGAATTTGCAAGTGGAGATTTCAGCCGCGTTGAGGTCAATGGTAGAAAAGGAAATATCTTCGTATAAAAACTAGACAGAGTGATTCTCAGAAACTCCTTTGTGATGTCTGCGTTCAACTGACAGAGTTTAACCTTTCTTTTCATAGAGCAGTTAGGAAACACTCTGTTTGTAAAGTCTGCAAGTGGATATTCAGACCTCCTTGAGGCCTTCGTTGGAAACGGGATTTCTTCATATTCTGCTATACAGAAGAATTCCCAGTAACTTCCTTGTGTTGTGTGTGTTCAACTCACAGAGATGAACTCTCATTTACACAGAGCAGATTTGAAACACTCTTTTTGTGGAATTTGCAAGTGGAGATTTCAAGCGCTTTGAGGCCAAAGGCAGAAAAGGAAATATCTTCGTATAAAAACTAGACAAAATCATTCTCAGAAACTGCTCTGCGATGTGTGTGTTCAACTCTCAGAGTTTAACTTTTCTTTTCATTCAGCAGTTTGGAAACACTCTGTTTGTAAAGTCTGCACGTGGATAATTTGACCACTTAGAGGCCTTCGTTGGAAACGGGTTTTTTTCATGTAAGGCTAGACAGAAGAATTCCCAGTAAATTCCTTGTGTTGTGTACATTCAACTCACAGAGTTGAACGTTCCCTTAGACAGAGCAGATTTGATACACTCTTTTTGTGCAATTGGCAAGTGGAGATTTCAAGCGCTTTAAGGTCAATGGCAGAAAAGGAAATATCTTCGTTTCAAAACTAGACAGAATGATTCTCAGAAACTCCTTTGTGATGTGTGCGTTCAACACACAGAGTTTAACTTTTCTTTTCATAGAGCAGTTAGGAAACACTCTGTTTGTAAAGTCTGCAAGTGGATATTCAGACCTCTTTGAGGCCTTCTTTGGAAACGGGATTTCTTCATATTATGCTAGACAGAATAATTCTCAGTAACTTCCTTGTGTTGTGTGTATTCAAGTCACAGAGTTGAACGATCCTTTACAGAGAGCAGACTTGAAACACTCTTTTTGTGGAATTTGCAAGTGGAGATTTCAGCCGCTTTGAGGTCAATAGTAGAAAAGGAAATATCTTCGTAGAAAAACTAGAAAGAATGATTCTCAGAAACTCCTTTGTGATGTGTGTGTTCAACTCACAGAGTTTAACCTTTCTTTTCATAGAGCAGTTTGGAAACACTCTGTTTGTAAAGTCTGCAAGTGGATATTCAGACCTCGTTGAGGCCTTCGTTGGAAACGGGATTTCTTCATATTCTGCTAGACAGAAGAATTCCCAGTAACTTCCTTGTGTTGTGTGTGTTCAACTCACAGAGTTGAACTTTGATTTACACAGAGCAGATTTGAAACACTCTTTTTGTGGAATTTGCAAGTGGAAATTTCAAGCGCTTTGAGGCCAAAGGCAGAAAAGGAAATATCTTCGTATAAAAACTAGACAGAATCATTCTCAGAAACTGCTGTGTGATGTGTGCGTTCAACTCTCAGAGTTTAACTTTTCTTTTCATTCAGCGGTTTGGAAACACTCTGTTTGTAAAGTCTGCACGTGGATATTTTGACCACTTAGAGGCCTTCGTTGGAAACGGGTTTTTTTCATGTAAGGCTAGACAGAAGAATTCCCAGTAACTTCCTTGTGTTGTGTGCATTCAACTCACAGAGATGAACGTTCCCTTAGACAGAACAGATTTGAAACACTCTATTTGTGCAATTTGCAAGTGTAGATTTCAAGCGCTTTAAGGTCAATGGCAGAAAAGGAAATATCTTCGTTTCAAAACTAGACAGAATCATTCCCACAAACTGCGTTGTGATGTGTTCGTTCAACTCACAGAGTTTAACCTTTCTGTTCATAGAGCAGTTAGGAAACACTCTGTTTCTAAAGTCTGTAAGTGGATATTCTGACATATTGTGGCCTTCGTTGGAAACGGGATTTCTTCATATTCTGCTAGACAGAAAAATTCTCAGTAACTTCTTTGTGTTGTGTGTATTCAACTCACAGAGTTGAACGATCCTTTACACAGAGCAGACTTGAAACACTCTTTTTGTGGAATTTGCAAGTGGAGATTTCAGCCGCTTTGAGGTCAACGGTAGAATAGGAAATATCTTCCTATAGAAACTAGACAGAATTATTCTCAGAAACTCCTTTGTGATGTGTGCGTTCAACTCACAGAGTTTAACCTTTCTTTTCATAGAGCAGTTAGGAAACACTCTGTTTGTAAGGTCTGCAAGTGGATATTCAGAGCTCCTTGAGGCCTTCTTTGGAAACGGGATTTCTTCATATTATGCTGGACAGAAGAATTCTCAGTAATTTCCTTGTGTTGTGTGTATTCAACTCACAGAGTTGAACGATCCTTTACACAGAGCAGACTTGAAACACTCTTTTTGTGGAATTTGCAAGGAGATTTCAGCCGCTTTGAGGTCAATGGTAGAATAGGAAATATGTACCTATAGAAACTAGACAGAATGATTCTCAGAAACTCCTTTGTGATGTGTGCGTTCAACTCACAGAGGTTAACCTTTCTTTTCATAGAGCAGTTAGGAAACACTCTGTTTGTAAAGTCTGCAAGTGGATATTCAGACCTCCTTGAGGCCTTCGTTGGAAACGGGATTTCTTCATATTATGCTAGACAGAAGAATTCCCAGTAACTTCCTTGTGTTGTGTACATTCAGCTCACAGAGTTGAACGTTCCCTTAGACAGAGCAGATTTGAAACACTCTTTTTGTGCAATTGGCAAATGGAGATTTCAAGCGCTTTAAGGTCAATGGCAGAAAAGGAAATATCTTCGTTTCAAAACTAGACAGAAGCATTCCCACAAACTGCGTTGTGATGTGTTCGTTCAACTCACAGAGTTTAACCTTTCTTTTCATAGAGCAGTTAGGAAACAGTCTGTTTGTCAATTCTGTAAGTGGATATTCTGACATCTTGTGGCCTTCGTTGGAAACGGGATTTCTTCATATTCTGCTAGACAGAAGAATTCTCAGTAACTTCCTTGTGTTGTGTGTATTCAACTCACAGAGTTGAACGATCCTTTACACAGAGCAGACTTGAAACACTCTTTTTGTGGAATTTGCAAGTGGAGATATCAGCCGCTTTGAGGTCAATGGTAGAATAGGAAATATCTTCCTATAGAAAATAGACAGAATGATTCTCAGAAACTCCTTTGTGATGTGTGTGTTCAACTCACAGCAGTTTAACCTTTCTTTTCATAGAGCAGTTAGTAAACACTCTGTTTATAAAGTCTGCAAGTGGATATTCAGACCCCTTTGAGGCCTTCGTTGGAAACGGGATTTCTTCATATTATGCTAGACAGAAGAATTCCCAGTGACTTCCTTGTGTTGTGTGTGTTCAACTCACAGAGTTGAACTTTCATTTACCCAGAGCAGATGTGAAACACTCTTTTTGTGGAATTTGCAAGTGGAGATTTCAAGCGCTTTGAGGCCAAAGGCAGAAAAGGAAATATCTTCGTTTCAAAACTAGACAGAATCATTCTCAGAAACTGCTGCGTGATGTGTGCGTTCAACTCTCAGAGTTTAACTTTTCTTTTCATTCAGCGGTTTGGAAACACTCTGTTTGTAAAGTCTGCACGTGGATATTTTGACCACTTAGAGGCCTTCGTTGGAAACGGAATTTTTTCATGTGAGGCTAGACAGAAGAATTCCCAAGTAACTTCCTTGTGTTGTGTACATTCAACTCACAGAGTTGAACGTTCCCTTAGACAGAGCAGATTTGAAACACTCTTTTTGTGCAATTGGCAAATGGAGATTTCAAGCGCTTTAAGGTCAATGGCAGAAAAGGAAATATCTTCGTTTCAAAACTAGACAGAATCATTCCCACAAACTGCGTTGTGATGTGTTCGTTCAACTCACAGAGTTTAACCTTTCTGTTCATAGAGCAGTTAGGAAACACTCTGTTTGTAAAGTCTGTAAGTGGCTATTCTGACATCTTGTGGCCTTTGTTGGAAACGGGATTTCTTCATATTCTGCTAGACAGAAGAATTCTCAGTAACTTCCTTGTGTTGTGTGTATTCAACTCACAGAGTTGAACGATCCTTTACACAGAGCAGACTTGAAACACACTTTTTGTGGAATTTGCAAGTGGAGATTTCAGCCGCTTTGAGGTCAATGGTAGAAAAGGAAATATCTTCGTATAAAGACTAGACAGAATGATTCTCAGAAACGCCTTTGTGATGTGTGCTTTCAACTCACAGAGTTTAACTTTTCTTTTCATAGAGCAGTTAGGAAACACTCTGTTTATAAAGTCTGCAAGTGGATATTCAGACCTCTTTGAGGTCTTCGTTGGAAACGGGATTTCTCCATACTATGCTAGACAGAAGAATTCCCAGTAACTTCCTTGTGTTGTGTGTGTTCAACTCACAGAGTTGAACTTTCATTTACACAGAGCAGATTTGAAACACTCTTTTTGTGGAATTTGCAAGTGGAGATGTCAAGCGCTTTGAGGCCAAAGGCAGAAAAGGAAATATCTTCGTTTCAAAACTAGACAGAATCATTCTCAGAAACTGCTCTGCGATGTGTGCGTTCAACTCTCAGAGTTTAACTTTTCTTTTCATTCAGCAGTTTGGAAACACTGTGTTTGTAAAGTCTGCACGTGGATAATTTGACCACTTAGAGGTCTTCGTTGGAAACGGGTTTTTTTCATGTAAGGCTAGACAGAAGAATTCTCAGTAACTTCCTTGTGTTGTGTGTATTCAACTCACAGAGTTGAACGATCCTTTACACAGAGCAGACTTGTAACACTCTTTTTGTGGAATTTGCAAGTGGAGATTTCATCCGCTTTGAAGTCAAAGGTAGAAAAGGAAATCTCTTCGTATAAAAACTAGACAGAATGATTCTCAGAAACTTCTTTGTGATGTGTGCGTTCAACACATAGAGTTTAACCTTTCTTTTCATAGAGCAGTTAGGAAACACTCTGTTTGTAAAGTCTGCAAGTGGATATTCAGACCTCTTTGGGGCCTTCGTTGGAAAAGAGATTTCTTCATACTGTGCTAGACAGAAGAATTCTCAGTAACTTCCTTGTGTTGTGTGTATTCAACTCACAGAGTTGAACGATCCTTTACACAGAGCAGACTTGTCACACTCTTTTTGTGGAATTTGCAAGTGGAGATTTCAGCCGCTTTGAAGTCAAAGGTAGAAAAGGAAATATCTTCCTATAAAAACTAGACAGAATGATTCTCAGAAACTCCTTTGTGATGTGTGCGTTCAACTCACAGAGTTTAACCTTTCTTTTCATACAGCAGTTAGGAAACACTCTGTTTCTAAAGTCTGCAAGTGGATATTCAGACCTCCTTGAGGCCTTCGTTGGAAACGGGATTTCTTCATATTATGCTAGACAGAAGAATTCTCAGTAACTTCCTTGTGTTGTGTGTATTCAACTGACAGAGTTGAACTATCATTTACAGAGAGCAGATTTGAAACACTGTTTTTGTGGAATTTGCAAGTGGAGATTTCAAGCGCTTTGGGGCCAAAGGAAGAAAAGGAAATATCTTCGTATAAAAACTAGACAGAATCATTCTCAGAAACTGCTCTGCGATGTGTGCGTTCAACTCTCAGAGTTTAACTTTTCTTTTCATTCAGCAGTTTGGAAACACTCTGTTTGTAAAGTCTGCACGTGGATATTTTGACCACTTAGAGGCCTTCGTTGGAAACGGGTTTTTTTCTTGTAAGGCTAGACAGAAGAATTCCTAGTAACTTCCTTGTGTTGTGTACATTCAACTCACAGAGTTGAACGTTCCCTTAGACAGAGCAGATTTGAAACACTCTTTTTGTGCAATTGGCAAGTGGAGATTTCAGCCGCTTTGAGGTCCATGGTAGAAAAGGAAATATCTTCGTATAAAAACTAGACAGAATCATTCCCACAAACTGCGTTGTGATGTGTTCGTTCAACTCACAGAGTTTAACCTTTCTGTTCATAGAGCAGTTAGGAAACACTCTGTTTGTAAAGTCTGTAAGTGGATATTCTGACATCTTGTTGCCTTGTTGGAAAAGGGATTTCTTCATATTCTGGTAGACAGAAGAATTCTCAGTAACTTCCCTTGTGTTGTGTGTATTCAACTCACAGAGTTGAACGATCCTTTACACAGAGCAGACTTGAAACACTCTTTTTGTGGAATTTGCAAGTGGAGATTTCAGCCGCTTTGAGGTCAATGGTAGAATAGGAAATATCTTCCTATAGAAACTAGACAGAATGATTCTCAGAAACTCCTTTGTGATGTGTGCGTTCAACTCAAAGAGTTTAACCTTTCTTTTCATAGAGCAGTTAGGAAACACTCTGTTTGTAAAGTCTGCAAGTGGATATTCAGACATCCTTGAGGCTTTCGTTGGAAACGGGATTTCTTCATATTCTGCTAGAAAGAAGAATTCCCAGTAACTTCGTTGTGTTGTGTGTGTTCAACTCACAGAGTTGAACTTCCATTTACACAGAGCAGATTTGAAACACTCTTTTTGTGGAATTTGCAAGTGGAGATTTCAAGCACTTTGAGGCCAAAGGCAGAAAAGGAAATATCTTCGTTTCAAAACTAGACAGAATCATTCTCAGAAACTGCTGCGTGATGTGTGCGTTCAACTCTCAGAGTTTAACTTTTCTTTTCATTCAGCGGTTTGGAAACACTCTGTTTGTAAAGTCTGCACGTGGATATTTTGACCACTTAGAGGCCTTCGTTGGAAACGGGTTTTTTTTATGTAAGGCTAGACAGAAGAATTCCCAGTAACTTCCTTGTGTTGTGTGCATTCAACTCACAGAGTTGAACGTTCCCTTAGACAGAGCAGATTTGAAACACTCTATTTGTGTAATTTGCAAGTGTAGATTTCAAGCGCTTTCAGGTCAACGGCAGAAAAGGAAATATCTTCGTTTCAAAACTAGACAGAATCATTCCCACAAACTGCGTTGTGATGTGTTCGTTCAACTCACAGAGTTTAACCTTCCTGTTCATAGAGCAGTTAGGAAACACTCTGTTTGTAAAGTCTGCAAGTGGATATTCAGACCTCCTTGAGGCCTTCGTTGGAAACGGGATTTCTTCATATTCTGCTAGACAGAAGAATTCTCAGTAACTGCCGTCTGTTGTGTGTATTCAACTCACAGAGTTGAACGATCCTTTACACAGAGCAGACTTGAAACACTCTTTTTGTGGAATTTGCAAGTGGAGATTTCAGCCGCTTTGAGGTCAATGGTAGAATAGGAAATATCTTCCTATAGAAACTAGACAGAATGATTCTCAGTAAACTCCTTTGTGATGTGTGTGTTCAACTCACAGAGTTTAACCTTTCTTTTCATAGAGCAGTTAGGAAACACTCTGTTTGTAAAGACTGCAGGTGGATATTCAGGCCTCTTTGAGGCCTTCGTTGGAAACGGGTTTTTTTCATATAAGGCTAGACAGAAGAATTCCCAGTAACTTCCTTGTGTGTGTTCAACTCACAGAGTTGAACTTTCATTTACACAGAGCAGATTTGAAACACTCTTTTTGTGGAATTTGCAAATGGAGATTTCAAGCGCTTTGAGGCCAAAGGCAGAAAAGGAAATATCTTCGTATAAAAACGAGACAGAATCATTCTCAGAAACTCCTTTGTGATGTGTGCGTTCAACTCTCAGAGTTTAACTTTTCTTTTCATTCAGCGGTTTGGAAACACTCTGTTTGTAAAGTCTGCACGTGGAAATTTTGACCACTTAGAGGCCTTCGTTGGAAACGGGTTTTTTTCATGTAAGGCTAGACAGAAGAATTCCCAGTAACTTCCTTGTGTTGTGTGCATTCAACTCACAGAGTTGAACGTTCCCTTAGACAGAGCAGATTTGAAACACTCTATTTGTGCAATTTGCAAGTGTAGTTTTCAAGCTCTTTAAGGTCAACGGCAGAAAAGGAAATATCTTCGTTTCAAAACTAGACAGAATGATTCTCAGAAACTCCTTTGTGCTGTGTGCGTTCAGCTCACAGAGTTTAACCTTTCTTTTCATAGAGCAGTTAGGAAACACTCTGTTTGTAAAGTCTGCAAGTGGATATTCAGACATCTTTGAGGCCTTCGTTGGAAACGGGATTTCTTCATATTCTGCTAGACAGAAGAATTCTCAGAAACTTCCTTGTGTTGTGTGTTTTCAACTCACAGAGTTGAACGATGCTTTACACAGAGTAGACTTGAAACACTCTTTTTGTGTAATTTGCAAGTGGAGATTTCAGCCGCTTTGAGGTCAATGCTAGAAAAGGAAATATCTTCGTATAAAAACTAGACAGAATGATTCTCAGAAACTCCTTTGTGATGTGTGCGTTCAACTCACAGAGTTTAACCTTTCTTTTCATAGAGCAGTTAGGAAACACTCTGTAAAGTCTGCAAGTGGATATTCAGACCTCCTTGAGGCCTTCGTTGGAAACGGGATTTCTTCATATTTTGCTAGACAGAAGAATTCCCAGTAACTTCCTTGTGTTGTGTGCGTTCAACTCACAGAGTTGAACTTTCATTTACACAGAGCAGATTTGAAACACTCTTTTTGTGGAATTTGCAAGTGGAGATTTCAAGCGCTTTGAGGCCAAAGGCAGAAAAGGAAATATCTTGGTATAAAAACTAGACAGAATGATTCTCAGAAACTCCTTTGTGATGTGTGCGTTCAACTCATCAGAGTTTAACTTTTCTTTTCATTCAGCAGTTTGGAAACACTCTGTTTGTAAAGTCTGCACGTGGATATTTTGACCACTTAGAGGCCTTCGTTGGAAACGGGTTTTTTTCATGTAAGGCTAGACAGAAGAATTCCCAGTAACTTCCTTGTGTTGTGTACATTCAACTCACAGAGTTGAACGTTCCCTTAGACAGAGCAGATTTGAAACACTCTTTTTGTGCAATTGGCAAATGGAGATTTCAAGCGCTTTAAGGTCAATGGCAGAAAAGGAAATATCTTCGTTTCAAAACTAGACAGAATCATTCCCACAAACTGCGTTGTGATGTGTTCGTTCAACTCACAGAGTTTAACCTTTCTTTTCATACAGCAGTTAGGAAACAGTCTGTTTGTCAATTCTGTAAGTGGATATTCTGACATCTTGTGGCCTTCGTTGGAAACGGGATTTCTTCATATTCTGCTAGACAGAAGAATTCTCAGTAACTTCCTTGTGTTGTGTGTATTCAACTCACAGAGTTGAATGATCCTTTACACAGAGCAGACTTGAAACACTCTTTTTGTGGAATTTGCAAGTGGAGATTTCAGCCGCTTTGAAGTCAATGGTAGAAAAGAAAATATCTTCGTATAAAGACTAGACAGAATGATTCTGAGAAATCCTTTGTGATGTGTGCGTTCAACTCACAGAGTTTAACCTTTCTTTTCATAGAGCAGTTAGGAAACACTCTGTTTGTAAAGTCTGCAAGTGGATATTCAGACCTCCTTGAGGCCTTCGTTGGAAACGGGATTTCTTCATATTATGCTAGACAGAAGAATTCTCAGTAACTTCCTTGTGTTGTGTGTATTCAACTGACAGAGTTGAACTTTCATTTAGAGAGAGCAGGTTTGAAACACTGTTTTTGTGGAATTTGCAAGTGGAGATTTCAAGCGCTTTGGGGCCAAAGGCAGAAAACGAAATATCTTCGTTTAAAAACTAGACAGAATCATTCTCAGAAACTGCTCTGCGATGTGTGCGTTCAACTCTCAGAGTTTAACTTTTCTTTTCATTCAGCAGTTTGGAAACACTCTGTTTGTAAAGTCTGCAGGTGGATATTTTGACCACTTAGAGGCCTTCGTTGGAAACGGGTTTTTTTCCTGTAAGGCTAGACAGAAGAATTCCCAGTAACTTCCTTGTGTTGTGTGCATTCAACTCACAGAGTTGAACGTTCCCTTAGACAGAGCAGATTTGAAACACTCTATTTGTGCAATTTGCAAGTGTAGATTTCAAGCGCTTTAAGGTCAATGGCAGAAAAGGAAATATCTTCGTTTTAAAACTAGACAGAATCATTCCCACAAACTGCGTTGTGACGTGTTCGTTCAACTCACAGAGTTTAACCTTTCTGTTCATAGAGCAGTTAGGAAACACTCTGTTTGTAAAGTCTGCAAGTGGATATTCAGACCTCCTTGAGGCCTTCGTTGGAAACGGGATTTCTTCATATTCTGCTAGACAGAATAATTCTCAGTAACTTCCTTGTGTTTTGTGTTTTCAACTCACCGAGTTGAAGGATCCTTTACAGAGAGCAGGCTTGAAACACTCTTTTTCTCGAATTTGCAAGTGGAGATTACAGCCGCTTTGAGGTCAATGGTAGAAAAGGAAATATCTTCGTATAAAGACTAGACAGAATGATTCTCAGAAACTCCTTTGTGATGTGTGCGTTCAACTCACAGAGTTTAACCTTTCTTTTCATAGAGCAGTTAGGAAACACTCTGTTTGTGAAGTCTGCAAGTGGATATTCAGACATCCTTGAGGCTTTCGTTGGAAACGGGATTTCTTCATATTCTGCTAGAAAGAAGAATTCTCAGTAACTTCCTTGTGTTGTGTGTATTCAACTGACAGAGTTGAACTTTCATTTAGAGTGAGCAGATTTGAAACACTGTTTTTGTGGAATTTGCAAGTGGAGATTTCAAGCGCTTTGGGGCCAAAGGCAGAAAAGGAAATATCTTCGTATAAAAACTAGACAGAATCATTCTCAGAAACTGCTGCGTGATGTGTGCGTTCCACTCTCAGAGTTTAACTTTTCTTTTCATTCAGCGGTTTGGAAACACTCTGTTTGTAAAGTCTGCACGTGGATATTTTGACCACTTAGAGGCCTTCGTTGGAAACGGGTTTTTTTTCATGTAAGGCTAGACAGAAGAATTCCCAGTAACTTCCTTGTGTTGTGTGCATTCAACTCACAGAGATGAACATTCCCTTAGACAGAGCAGATTTGAAACACTCTATTTGTGTAATTTGCAAGTGTAGATTTCAATCGCTTTAAGGTCAATGGCAAAAAAGGAAATATCTGCGTTTCAAAACTAGACAGACTCATTCCCAAAAACTGCGTTGTGATGTGTTCGTTAAACTCACAGAGTTTAACCTTTCTGTTCATAGAGCAGTTAGGAAACACTCTGTTTGTGAAGTCTGTAAGTGGATATTCAGACCTCCTTGAGGCCTTCGTTGGAAACGGGATTTCTTCATATTCTGCTAGACAGAAGAATTCTCAGAATCTTCCTTGTGTTGTGTGTATTCAACTCACAGAGTTGAACGATCCTTTACACAGAGCAGACTTGAAACACTCTTTTTGTGGAATTTGCAAGTGGAGATTTCAAGCGCTTTGAGGCCAAAGGCAGAAAAGGAAATATCTTCGTTTCAAAACTAGACAGAATGATTCTCAGAAACTCCTTTGTGATGTGTGCGTTCAACTCACAGAGTTTAACCTTTCTTTTCATAGAGCAGTTAGGAAACACTCTGTTTGTAAAGTCTGCAAGTGGATATTCAGACATCCTTGAGGCTTTCGTTGGAAACGGGATTTCTTCATATTCTGCCAGAAAGAAGAATTCCCAGTAACTTCCTTGTGTTGTGTGTGTTCAACTCACAGAGTTGAACTTTCATTTACACAGAGCACATTTGAAACACTCTTTTTGTGGAATTTGCAAGTGGAGATTTCAAGCGCTTTGAGGCCAAAGGCAGAAAAGGAAATATCTTCGTATAAAAACTAGACAGAATCATTCTCAGAAACTGCTCTGCGATGTGTGCGTTCAACTCTCAGAGTTTAACTTTTCTTTTCATTCAGCAGTTTGGAAACACTCTGTTTGTAAAGTCTGCACGTGGATATTTTGACCACTTAGAGGCCTTCGTTGGAAAGGGGTTTTTTTCCTATAAGGCTAGCCAGAAGAATTCCCAGTAACTTCCTTGTGTTGTGTGCATTCAACTCACAGAGTTGAACGTTCCCTTAGACAGAGCAGATTTGAAACACTCTATTTGTGCAATTTGCAAGTGTAGTTTTCAAGCTCTTTAAGGTCAACGGCAGAAAAGGAAATATCTTGGTTTCAAAACTAGACAGAATCATTTCCACAAACTGCGTTGTGATGTGTTCGTTCAACTCACAGAGTTTAACCTTTCTGTTCATAGAGCAGTTAGGAAACACTCTGTTTGTAAAGTCTGTAAGTGGATATTCTGACATCTTGTGGCCTTCGTTGGAAACGGGATTTCTTCATATTCTGCTAGACAGAAGAATTCTCAGTAACTTCCTTGTGTTGTGTGTATTCAACTCACAGAGTTGAACGATCCTTTACACAGAGCGGACTTGAAACACTCGTTTTGTGGAATTTGCAAGTGCAGATTTCAGCCGCGTTGAGGTCAATGGTAGAAAAGGAAATATCTTCGTATAAAAACTAGACAGAATGATTCTCATAAACTCCTTTGTGATGTGTGCGTTCAACTCACAGAGTTTAACCTTTCTTTTCATAGAGCAGTTAGGAAACACTCTGTTTGTAAAGTCTGCAAGTGGATATTCAGACCTCCTTGAGTCCTTCGTTGGAAACGGGATTTCTTCATATTCTGCTAGACAGAAGAATTCTCAGTAACTTCCTTCTGTTGTGTGTATTCAACTGACAGAGTTGAACTTTCATTTAGAGAGAGCAGATTTGAAACACTGTTTTTGTGGAATTTGCAAGTGGAGATTTCAAGCGCTTTGGGGCCAAAGGCAGAAAAGGAAATAACTTCGTATAAAAACTTGACAGAATCATTCTCAGAAACTGCTGCGTGATGTGTGCGTTCAACTCTCAGAGTTTAACTTTTCTTTTCATTCAGCGGTTTGGAAACACTCTGTTTGTAAAGTCTGCACGTGGATATTTTGACCACTTAGAGGCCTTCGTTGGAAACGGGTTTTTTTCATGTAGGGCTAGACAGAAGAATTCCCAGTAACTTCCTTGTGTTGTGTACATTCAACTCACAGAGTTGAACGTTCCCTTAGAGCAGATTTGAAACACTCTTTTTGTGCAATTGGCAAGTGGAGATTTCAAGCGCTTTAAGGTCAATGGCAGAAAAGGAAATATCTTCGTTTCAAAACTAGACAGAATCATTCCCACAAACTGCGTTGTGAGGTGTTCGTTCAACTCACAGAGTTTAACCTTTCTTTTCATAGAGCAGTTAGGAAACAGTCTGTTTGTAAATTCTGTAAGAGTATATTCTGAAATATTGTGGCCTTCGTTGGAAACGGGATTTCTTCATATTCTGCTAGACAGAAGAATTCTCAGTAACTTCCTTGTGTTGTGTGTATTCAACTCACAGAGTTGAACGATCCTTTCCAGAGAGCAGACTTGAAACACTTTTTGTGGAATTTGCAAGTGGAGATTTCTGTCGCTTTGAGGTCAAAGGTAGAATAGGAAATATCTTCCTATAGAAACTAGACAGAGTGATTCTCAGAAACTCCTTTGTGATGTCTGCGTTCAACTCACAGAGTTTAACCTTTCTTTTCATAGAGCAGTTAGGAAACACTCTGTTTGTAAAGTCTGCAAGTGGATATTCAGACCTCCTTGAGGCCTTCGTTGTAAACGGGATTTCTAAATATTATGCTAGACAGAAGAATTCTCAGTAAATTCCTTGTGTTGTGTGTATTCAACTGACAGAGTTGAACTTTCATTTGGAGAGAGCAGATTTGAAACACTGTTTTTGTGGAATTTGCAAGTGGAGATTTCAAGCGCTTTGGGGCCAAAGGCAGAAAAGGAAATATCTTCGTATAAAAACTAGACAGAATCATTCTCAGAAAATGCTCTGTGATGTGTGCGTTCAACTCTCAGAGTTTAACTTTTGTTTTCATTCAGCAGTTTGGAAACACTCTGTTTGTAAAGTCTGCACGTGGATATTTTGACCACTTAGAGGCCTTCGTTGGAAACGGGTTTTTTTCATGAAAGGGTAGACAGAAGAATTCCCAGTAACTTCCTTGTGTTGTGTGCATTCAACTCACAGAGTTGAACGTTCCCTTAGACAGAGGAGATTTGAAACACTCTATTTGTGCAATTTGCAATTGTAGATTTCAAGCGCTTTAAGGTCAATGGCAGAAAAGGAAATATCTTCGTTTCAAAACTAGACAGAATCATTCCCACAAACTGCATTGTGATGTGTTCGTTCAACTCACAGAGTTTAACCTTTCTTTTCATAGAGCAGTTAGGAAACAGTCTGTTTGTCAATTCTGTAAGTGGATATTCTGACATCTTGTGGCCTTCGTTGGAAACGGGATTTCTTCATATTCCGCTAGACAGAAGAATTCTCAGTAACTTCCTTGTGTTGTGTGTATTCAACTCACAGAGTTGAACGATCCTTTACACAGAGCAGACTTGTAACACTCTTTTTGTGGAATTTGCAAGTGGAGAATTCAGCCGCTTTGAAGTCAAAGGTAGAAAAGGAAATAACTTCCTATAAAAACTAGACAGAAGAATTCCCAGTAACTTCCTTGTGTTGTGTGTGTTCAACTCACAGAGTTGAACTTTCATTTACACAGAGTAGATTTGAAACACTCTTTTTGTGGAATTTGCAAGTGGAGATTTCAAGCGCTTTGAGGCCAAAGGCAGAAAAGGAAATATCTTCGTATAAAAACTAGACAGAATCATTCTCAGAAACTGCTGCGTGATGTGTGCGTTAAACTCTCAGAGTTTAACTTTTCTTTTCATTCAGCGGTTTGGAAACACTCTGTTTGTAAAGTCTGCACGTGGATATTTTGACCACTTAGAGGCCTTCGTTGGAAACGGGTTTTTTTCATGTAAGGCTAGACAGAAGAATTCCCAGTAACTTCCTTGTGTTGTGTGCATTCCACTCACAGAGTTGAACGTTCCCTTAGACAGAGCAGATTTGAAACACTCTATTTGTGCAATTTGCAAGTGTAGATTTCAAGCGCTTTAAGGTCAATGGCAGAAAAGGAAATATCTTCGTTTCAAAACTAGACAGAATCATTCCCACAAACTGCGTTGTGATGTGTTCGTTCAACTCACAGAGTTTAACCTTTCTTTTCATAGAGCAGTTAGGAAACAGTCTGTTTGTAAATTCTCTAAGTGGATATTCTGACATCTTGTGGCCTTCGTTGGAAACGGGATTTCTTCATATTCTGGTAGACAGAAGAATTCTCAGTAACTTCCTTGTGTTGTGTGTATTCAACTCACAGAGTTGAATGATCCTTTACACAGAACAGACTTGAAACACTCTTTTTGTGGAATTTGCAAGTGGAGATTTCAGCCGCTTTGAGGTCAATGGTAGAATAGGAAATATCTTCCTATAGAAACTAGACAGAATGATTCTCAGAAACTCCTTTGTGATGTGTGCGTTCAACTCACAGAGTTTAACCTTTCTGTTCATAGAGCCGTTAGGAAACACACTGTTTGTAAAGTCTGCAAGTGGATATTCAGACCTCTTTGAGGCCTTCGTTGGAAACGGGATTTCTTCATATTATGCTAGACAGAAGAATTCTCAGTAACTTCCTTGTGTTGTGTGTATTCAACTGACAGAGTTGAACTTTCATTTAGAGAGAGAAGATTTGAAACACTGTTTTTGTGGAATTTGCAATTGGAGATTTCAAGCGCTTTGGGGCCAAATGCAGAAAAGGATATATCTTCGTATAAAAACTAGACAGAATGATTCTCAGAAACTTCTTTGTGATGTGTGCGTTCAACTCACAGAGTTTAAACTTTCTTTTCATAGAGTAGTTAGGAATCACTCTGTTTGTAAAGTCTGCAAGTAGATATTTTGACCTCTTTGAGGCCTTCGTTGGAAACGGGTTTTTTTCCAGTAAGGCTAGACAGAAGAATTCCCAGTAACTTCCTTGTGTTGTGTACATTCAACTCACAGAGTTGAACGTTCCCTTAGACAGAGCTGATTTGAAACACTCTTTTTGTGCAATTGGCAAGTGGAGATTTCTAGCGCTTTAAGGTCAATGGCAGAAAAGGAAATATCTTCGTTTCAAAACTAGACAGATAATCATTCCCACAAACTGCGTTGTGATGTGTTCGTTCATCTCACAGAGTTTAACCTTTCTTTTCGTAGAGCAGTTAGGAAACAGTCTGTTTGTAAATTCTGTAAGTGGATATTCTGACATCTTGTGGCCTTCGTTGGAAACGGGATTTCTTCATATTCTGCTAGACAGAAGAATTCTCAGAATCTTCCTTGTGTTGTGTGTATTCAACTCACACAGTTGAACGATGGTTTACACAGAGCAGATTTGAAACACTCTTTTTGTGGAATTTGCAAGTGGAGATTTCAGCCGCTTTGAGGTCAATGGTAGAAAAGGAAATATCTTCGTATAAAAACTAGACAGAATGATTCTCAGAAACTCCTTTGTGATGTGTGTGTTCAACTCACAGAGTTTAACCTTTCTTTTCATAGAGCAGTTAGTAAACACTGTTTATAAAGTCTGCAAGTGGATATTCAGACCCCTTTGAGGCCTTCGTTGGAAACGGGATTTCTTCATATTATGCTAGACAGAAGAATTCCCAGTAACTTTCCTTGTGTTGTGTGTGTTCAACTCACAGAGTTGAACTTTCATTTACACAGAGCAGATTTGAAACACTCTTTTTGTGGAATTTGCAAGTGGAGATTTCAAGCGCTTTGAGGCCAAAGGCAGAAAAGGAAATAGTCTTCGTTTCAAAACTAGACAGAATCATTCTCAGAAACTGCTCTGCGATGTGTGCGTTCAACTCTCAAAGTTTAACTTTTCTTTTCATTCAGCAGTTTGGAAACACTCTGTTTGTAAAGTCTGCACGTGGATAACTTGACCACTTAGAGGCCTTCGTTGGAAACAGGTTTTTTTCCTGTAAGGCTAGACAGAATAATTCCCAGTAACTTCCTTGTGTTGTGTACATTCAACTCACAGAGTTGAACGTTCCCTTAGAGAGAGCAGATTTGAAACACTCGTTTTGTGAAATTGGCAAGTGGAGATTTCAAGGGCTTTAAGGTCAATGGCAGAAAAGGAAATATCTTCGTTTCAAAACTAGACAGAATCATTCCCACAAACTGCGTTGTGATGTGTTCGTTCAACTCACAGAGTTTAACCTTTCTTTTCATAGAGCAGTTAGGAAACACTCTGTTTGTAAATTCTGTAAGTGGATATTCTGACATCTTGTGGCCTTCGTTGGAAACGGGATTTCTTCATATTCTGCTAGACAGAAGAATTCTCAGTAACTGCCTTGTGTTGTGTGTATTCAACTCACAGAGTTGAACGATCCTTTACACAGAGCAGACTTGAAACACTCTTTTTGTGGAATTTGCAAGTGGAGATTTCAGCCGCTTTGACGTCAATGGTAGAATAGGAAATATCTTCCTATAGAAACTAGACAGAATGATTCTCAGAAACTCCTTTGTGGTGTGTGTGTTCAACTCACAGAGTTTAACCTTTCTTTTCATAGAGCAGTTAGTAAACACTCTGTTTATAAAGTCTGCAAGTGGATATTCAGACCCCTTTGAGGCCTTCGTTGGAAACGGGATTTCTTCATATTATGCTAGACAGAAGAATTCTCAGTAACTTCCTTGTGTTGTGTGTATTCAACTGACAGATTTGAACTTTCATTTAGAGAGAGTAGATTTGAAACACTGTTTTTGTGGAATTTGCAAGTGGAGATTTCAAGCGCTTTGGGGCCAAAGGCAGAAAAGGAAATATCTTCGTATAAAAACTAGACAGAATCATTCTCAGAAACTGCTGCGTGATGTGTGCGTTCACCTCTCAGAGTTTAACTTTTCTTTTCATTCAGCGGTTTGGAAACACTCTGTCTGTAAAGTCTGCACGTGGATATTTTGACCACTTAGAGGCCTTCGTTGGAAACGGGTTTTTTTCATGTAAGGCTAGACAGAAGAATTCTCAGTAACTTCCTTGTGTTGTGTGTATTCAACTCACACAGTTGAACGATCCTTTACACAGAGCAGACTTGTAACACTCCTTTTGTGGAATTTGCAAGTGGAGATTTCAGCCGCTTTGAAGTCAAATGTAGAAAAGGAAATATCTTCCTATAAAAACTAGACAGAATGATTCTCAGAAACCCCTTTGTGATGTGTGCGTTCAACTCACAGAGTTTAACCTTTCTGTTCATAGAGCAGTTAGGAAACACTCTGTTTGTAAAGTCTGTAAGTGGATATTCTGACATCTTGTGGCCTTCGTTGGAAAAGGGATTTCTTCCTATTCTGCTAGACAGAAGAATTCTCAGAATCTTCCTTGTGTTGTGTGTATTCAACTCACAGAGTTGAACGATCCTTTACACAGAGCAGACTTGAAACACTCTTTTTGTGGAATTTGCAAGTGGAGATTTCAGCCGCTTTGAGGTCCATGGTAGAAAAGGAAATATCTTCGTACAAAAACTAGACAGAAATGATTCTCAGAAACTCCTTTGTGATGTGTGTGTTCAACTCACAGAGTTTCACCTTTCTTTTCATAGAGCAGATAGGAAACACTCTGTTTGTAAAGTCTGCAAGTGGATATTCAGACCTCTTTGAGGCCTTCGTTGGAAACGGGTTTTTTTCATATAAGGCTAGACAGAAGAATTCCCGGTAACTTCCTTGTGTTTTGTGTGTTCAACTCACAGAGTTGAACTTTCATTTACACAGAGCAGATTTGAAACACTCTTTTTGTGGAATTTGCAAGTGGAGATTTCAAGCGCTTTGAGGCCAAAGGCAGAAAAGGAAATATCTTCGTTTCAAAACTAGACAGAATCATTCTCAGAAACTGCTCTGCGATGTGTGCGTTCAACTCTCAGAGTTTAACTTTTCTATTCATTCAGCAGTTTGGAAACACTCTGTTTGTAAAGTCTGCACGTGGATATTTTGACCACTTAGAGGCCTTCGTTGGAAACGGGTTTCTTTCCTGTAAGGCTAGACAGAAGAATTCCCAGTAACTTCCTTGTGTTGTGTACATTCAACTCACAGAGTTGAACGTTCCCTTAGACAGAGCAGATTTGAAACACTCTTTTTGTGCAATTGGCAAGTGGTGATTTCAGCCGCTTTGAGGTCAATGGTAGAAAAGGAAATATCTTCGTATAAAAACTAGACAGAATGATTCTCAGAAACTCCTTTGTGATGTGTGCGTTCAACTCACAGAGTTTAACCTTTCTTTTCATAGAGCAGTTAGGAAACACTCTGTTTGTAAAGTCTGCAAATGGATATTCAGACCTCCTTGAGGCCTTCGTTGGAAACGGGATTTCTTCATATTATGCTAGACAGAAGAATTCTCAGTAACTTCCTTGTGTTGTCTGTATTCAACTCACAGAGTTCAACGATTCTTTACACAGAGCAGACTTGAAACAGTCTTTTTGTGGAATTTGCAAGTGGAGATTTCAGCCGCTTTGAGGTCAATTGTAGAAAAGGAAATATCTTCGTATAAAAACTGGACAGAATGATTCTCATAAACTCCTTTGTGATGTGTGCGTTCAACTCACAGAGTTTAACCTTTCTTTTCATAGAGCAGTTAGTAAACACTCTGTTTATAAAGTCTGCAAGTGGATATTCAGACCCCTTTGAGGCCTTCGTTGGAAACGGGATTTCTTCATATTATGCTAGACAGAAGAATTCTCAGTAACTTCCTTGTGTTGTGTGTATTCAACTGACAGAGTTGAACTTTCATTTAGAAAGAGCAGATTTGAAACACTGTTTTTGTGGAATTTGCAAGTGGAGATTTCAAGCGCTTTGGGGCCAAAGGCAGAAAAGGAAATATCTTCGTATAAAAACTAGACAGAATCATTCTCAGAAACTGCTGCGTGATGTGTGCGTTCAACTCTCAAGAGTTTAACTTTTCTTTTCATTCAGCGGTTTGGAAACACTCTGTTTGTAAAGTCTGCACGTGGATATTTTGACCACTTAGAGGCCTTCGTTGGAAACGGGTTTTTTTCATGTAAGGCTAGACAGAAGAATTCCCAGTAACTTCCTTGTGTTGTGTACATTCAACTCACAGAGTTGAACGTTCCCTTAGACAGAGCAGATTTGAAACACTCTTTTTGTGCAATTGGCAAATGGAGATTTCAAGCGCTTTAAGGTCAATGGCAGAAAAGGAAATATCTTCGTTTCAAAACTAGACAGAATGATTCTCAGAAACTCCTTTGTGATGTGTGGGTTCAACTCACAGAGTTTAACCTTTCTTTTCATAGAGCAGTTAGGAAACACTCTGTTTGTAAAGTCTGCAAGTGGATATTCAGACATCCTTGAGGCTTTCGTTGGAAACGGGATTTCTTCATATTCTGCTAGAAAGAAGAATTCTCAGTAACTTCCTTGTGTTGTGTGTATTCAACTCACAGAGTTGAACGATCCTTTACACAGAGCAGACTTGAAACACTCTTTTTGTGGAATTTGCAAGTGGATATTTCAGCCGCTTTGAGTTCAATGGTAGAATAGGAAATATCTTCCTATAGAAACTAGACAGAATGATTCTCAGAAACTCCTTTGTGATGTGTGTGTTCAACTCACAGAGTTTAACCTTTCTTTTCATAGAGCAGTTAGTAAACACTCTGTTTATAAAGTCTGCAAGTGGATATTCAGACCCATTTGAGGCCTTCGTTGGAAACGGGATTTCTTCATATTATGCTAGACAGAAGAATTCCCAGTAACTTCCCTTGTGTTGTGTGTGTTCAACTCACAGAGTTGAACTTTCATTTACACAGAGCAGATTTGAAACACTCTTTTTGTGCAATTTGCAAGTGGAGATTTCAAGCGCTTTGAGGCCAAAGGCAGAAAAGGAAATATCTTCGTTTCAAAACTAGACAGAATCATTCTCAGAAACTGCTGCGTGATGTGTGCGTTCAACTCTCAGAGTTTAACTTTTCTTTTCATTCAGCGGTTTGGAAACACTCTGTTTGTAAAGTCTGCACGTGGATATTTTGACGACTTAGAGGCCTTCGTTGGAAACGGGTTTTTTTCATGTAAGGCTAGACAGAAGAATTCCCAGTAACTTCCTTGTGTTGGGTGCATTCAACTCACAGAGTTGAACGTTCCCTTAGACAGAGCAGATTTGAAACACTCTATTTGTGCAATTTGCAAGTGTAGATTTCAAGCGCTTTAAGGTCAATGGAAGAAAAGGAAATATCTTCGTTTCAAAACTAGACAGAATCATTCCCACAAACTGCGTTGTGATGTGTTCGTTCAACTCACAGAGTTTAACCTTTCTGTTCATAGAGCAGTTAGGAAACACTCTGTTTTTAAAGTCTGTAAGTGGATATTCTGACATCTTGTGGCCATCGTTGGAAACGGGATTTCTTCATATTCTGCTAGACAGAAGAATTCTCAGTAACTTCCTTGTGTTGTGTGTATTCAACTCACAGAGTTGAACGATCCTTTACACAGAGCAGACTTGAAACACTCGTTTTGTGGAATTTGCAAGTGGAGATTTCAGCTGCTTTGAGGTCAATGGTAGAAAAGGAAATATCTTCGTATAAAAACTAGACAGAATGATTCTCAGAAACTCCTTTGTGATGTAAGCGTTCAACTCACAGAGTTTAACCTTTCTTTACATAGAGCAGTTAGGAAACACTCTGTTTGTAAAGTCTGCAAGTGGATATTCAGACCTCCTTGAGGCCTTCGTTGGAAACGGGATTTCTTCATATTATGCTAGACAGAAGAATTCCGAGTAACTTCCTTGTGTTGTGTGTGTTCAACTCACAGAGTTGAACTTTCATTTACACAGAGCAGATTTGAAACACTCTTTTTGTGGAATTTGCAAGTGGAGATTTCAAGCGCTTTGAGGCCAAAGGCAGAAAAGGAAATATCTTCGTATAAAAACTAGACAGAATCACTCTCAGAAACTGCTCTGCGATGTGTGCGTTCAACTCTCAGAGTTTAACTTTTCTTTTCATTCAGCAGTTTGGAAACACTCTGTTTGTAAAGTCTGCACGTGGATAACTTGACCACTTAGAGGCCTTCGTTGGAAACGGGTTTTTTTCCTGTAAGGCTAGACAGAAGAATTCCCAGTAACTTCCTTGTGTTGTGTACATTCAACTCACAGAGTTGAACGTTCCCTTAGACAGAGCAGATTTGAAACACTCTTTTTGTGCAATTGGCAAATGGAGATTTCAAGCGCTTTAAGGTCAATGGCAGAAAAGGAAATATCTTCGTTTCAAAACTAGACAGAATCATTCCCACAAACTGCGTTGTGATGTGTACGTTCAACTCACAGAGTTTAACCTTTCTGTTCATAGAGCAGTTAGGAAACACGCTGTTTGTAAAGTCTGTAAGTGGATATTCTGACATCTTGTGGCCTTCGTTGGAAACGGGATTTCTTCATATTCTGCTAGACAGAAGAATTCTCAGTACCTTCCTTGTGTTGTGTGTATTCAACTCACAGAGTTGAACGATCCTTTACACAGAGCAGACTTGTAACACTCTTTTTGTGGAATTTGCAAGTGGAGATTTCAGCCGCTTTGAAGTCAAAGGTAGAAAAGGAAATATCTTCCTATAAAAACTAGACAGAATGATTCTGAGAAACTCGTTTGTGATGTGTGCGTTCAACTCACAGAGTTTAACCTTTCTTTTCATAGAGCAGTTAGGAAACACTCTGTTTGTAAAGTCTGCAAGTGGATATTCAGACCTCCTTGAGGCCTTCGTTGGAAACGGGATTTCTTCATATTATGCTAGACAAAAGAATTCTCAGTAACTTCCTTGTGTTGTGTGTATTCAACTGAAAGAGTTGAACTTTCATTTAGAGAGAGCAGATTTGAAACACTGTTTTTATGGAATTTGCAAGTGGAGATTTCAAGCGCTTTGGGGCCAAAGGCAGAAAAGGAAATATCTTCGTATAAAAACTAGACAGAATCATTCTCAGAAACTGCTGCGTGATGTGTGCGTTCAACTCTCAGAGTTTAACTTTTCTTTTCATTCAGCGGTTTGGAAACACTCTGTTTGTAAAGACTGCAGGTGGATATTTTGACCACTTAGAGGCCTTCGTTGGAAACGGGTTTTTTTTCATGTAAGGCTAGACAGAAGAATTCCCAGTAACTTCCTTGTGTTGTGTGCATTCAACTCACAGAGTTGAACGTTCCCTTAGACAGAGCAGATTTGAAACACTCTATTTGTGCAATTTGCAAGTGTAGATTTCAAGCGCTTTAAGGTCAATGGCAGAAAAGGAAATATCTTCGTTTCAAAACTAGACAGAATCATTCCCACAAACTGCGTTGTGATGTGTTCGTTCAACTCACAGAGTTTAACCTTTCCGTTCATAGAGCAGTTAGGAAACACTCTCTAAAGTCTGTAAGTGGATATTCAGACCTCCTTGAGGTCTTCGTTGGAAACGGGATTTCTTCATATTCTGCTAGACAGAAGAATTCTCAGTAACTTCCTTGTGTTGTGTGTATTCAACTCACAGAGTTGAACGATCCTTTACACAGAGCAGACTTGAAACACTCTTTTTGTGGAATTTGCAAGTGGAGATTTCAGCCGCTTTGAGGTCAATGGTAGAAAAGAAAATATCTTCGTATAAAGACTAGACAGAATGATTCTCAGAAACTCCTTTGTGATGTGTGCGTTGAACTCACACAGTTTAACCTTTCTTTTCATAGAGCAGTTAGGAAACACTCTGTTTGTAAAGTCTGCAAGTGGATATTCAGACCTCCTTGAGGCCTTCGTTGGAAACGGGATTTCTTCATATTATGCTAGACAGAAGAAATCCCAGTAACTTCCTTGTGTTGTGTGTGTTCAACTCACAGAGTTGAACTTTCATTTACACAGAGCAGATTTGAAACACTCTTTTTGTGGAATTTGCAAGTGGAGATTTCAAGCGCTGTGAGGCCAAAGGCAGAAAAGGAAATATCTTCGTATAAAAACTAGACAGAATCATTCTCAGAAACTGCTCTGCGATGTGTGCGTTCAACTCTCAGAGTTTAACTTTTCTTTTCATTCAGCAGTTTGGAAACACTCTGTTTGTAAAGTCTGCACGTGGATATTTCGACCACTTAGAGGCCTTCGTTGGAAACGGGTTTCTTTCCTGTAAGGCTAGACAGAAGAATTCCCAGTAACTTCCTTGTGTTGTGTACATTCAACTCACAGAGTTGAACGTTCCCTTAGACAGAGCAGATTTGAAACACTCTTTTTGTGCAATTGGCAAGTGGAGATTTCAAGCGCTTTGAGGTCAATGGCAGAAAAGGAAATATCTTCGTTTCAAACTAGACAGAATCATTCCCACAAACTGCGTTGTGATGTGTTCGTTCAACTCACAGAGTTTAACCTTTCTTTTCATAGATCAGTTAGGAAACAGTCTGTTTGTCAATTCTGTAAGTGGATATTCTGACATCTTGTGGCCTTCGTTGGAAACGGGATTTCTTCATATTCTGCTAGACAGAATAATTCTCAGTAACTTCCTTGTGTTGTGTGCATTCAACTCACAGAGTTGAACGATCCTTTACAGAGAGCAGAGTTGAAACACTTTTTGTGGAATTTGCAAGTGGAGATTTCAGCCGCTTTGAGGTCAAAAGTAGAATAGGAAATATCTTCCTATAGAAACTAGACAGAATGATTCTCAGAAACTCCTTTGTGATGTGTGTGTTCAACTCACAGAGTTTAACCTTTCTTTTCATAGAGCAGTTAGTAAACACTCTGTTTATATAGTCTGTAAGTGGATATTCTGACATTTTGTGGCCTTGGTTGGAAATGGGATTTCTTCATATTCTCCAAGACAGAAGAATTCCCAGTAACTTCCTTGTGTTGTGTGTGTTCAACTCTGTGAGTTGAACTTTCATTTACACAGAGCAGATTTGAAACACTCTTTTTGTGGAATTTGCAAGTGGAGATTTCAAGCGCTTTGAGGCCAAAGGCAGAAAAGGAAATATCTTCGTATAAAAACTAGACAGAATCATTCTCAGAAACTGCTGCGTGATGTGTGCGTTCAACTCTCAGAGTTTAACTTTTCTTTTCATTCAGCGGTTTGGAAACACTCTGTTTGTAAAGTCTGCACGTGGATATTTTGACCACTTAGAGGCCTTAGTTGGAAACGGGTTTTTTGCATGTAAGGCTAGACAGAAGAATTCCCAGTAACTTCATTGTGTTGTGTGAATTCAACTCACAGAGTTGAACGTTCCCTTAGACAGAGCAGATTTGAAACACTCTATTTGTGCAATTTGCAAGTGTAGATTTCAAGCGCTTTAAGGTCAATGGCAGAAAAGGAAATATCTTCGTTTCAAAACTAGACAGAATCATTCCCACAAACTGCGTTGTGATGTGTTCGTTCAACTCACAGAGTTTAACCTTTCTGTTCATAGAGCAGTTAGGAAACACTCTGTTTGTAAAGTCTGCAAGTGGGTATTCAGACCTCCTTGAGGCCTTCGTTGGAAACGGGATTTCTTCATATTCTGCTAGACAGAAGAACTCTCAGTAACTTCCTTGTGTTGTGTGTATTCAACTCACAGAGTTGAACGATCCTTTACACAGAGCAGACTTGAAACACTCTATTTGTGGAATTTGCAAGTGGAGATTTCAGCCGCTTTGAGTTCAATGGTAGAATAGGAAATATCTTCCTATAGAAACTAGACAGAATGATTCTCAGAAACTCCTTTGTGATATGTGCGTTCAACTCACAGAGTTAAACCTTTCTTTTCATAGAGCAGTTGGGAAACACTCTGTTTGTAAAGTCTGCAAGTGGATATTCAGACTTCTTTGAGGCCTTCGTTGGAAGCGGGATTTCTTCATATTCTGCTAGACAGAAGAATTCTCAGTAACTTCCTTGTGTTGTGTGTATTCAACTCACAGAGTTGAACGATCCTTTACACAGAGCGGACTTGAAACACACTTTTTGAGGAATTTGCAAGTGGAGATTTCAGCCGCGTTGAGGTCAATGGTAGAAAAGGAAATATCTTCGTATAAAAACTAGACAGAATCATTCTCAGAAACTGCTGCGTGATGTGTGCGTTCAACTCTCAGAGTTTAACTTTTCTTGTCATTCAGCGGTTTGGAAACACTCTGTTTGTAAAGTCTGCACGTGGATATTTTGACCACTTAGTGGCCTTCGTTGGAAACGGGTTTTTTTTCATGTAAGGCTAGACAGAAGATTTCCCAGTAAATTCCTTGTGTTGTGTACATTCAACTCACAGAGTTGAACGTTCCCTTAGACAGAGCAGATTTGAAACACTCTTTTTGTGCAATTGGCAAGTGGAGATTTCAAGCGCTTTAAGGTCAATGGCAGAAAAGGAAATATCTTCGTTTCAAAACTAGACAGAATCATTCCCACAAACTGCGTTGTGATGTGTTTGTTCAACTCACAGAGTTTAACCTTTCTGTTCATAGAGCAGTTAGGAAACACTCTGTTTGTAAAGTCTGCAAGTGGATATTCAGACCTCCTTGAGGCCTTCGTTGGAAACGGGATTTCTTCATATTCTGCTAGACAGAAGAATTCTCAGAATCTTCCCTTGTGTTGTGTGTATTCAACTCACAGAGTTGAACGATCCTTTACACAGAGCAGACTTGAAACACTCTTTTTGTGGAATTTGCAAGTGGAGATTTCAGCCGCTTTGAGGTCCATGGTAGAAAAGGAAATATCTTCGTATAAAAACTAGACAGAATGATTCTCAGAAACTCCTTTGTGATGTGTGCGTTCAACTCACAGAGTTTAACCTTTCTTTTCATAGAGCAGTTAGGAAACACTCTGTTTGTAAAGTCTGCAAGTGGATATTCAGACCTCTTTGAGGCCTTCGTTGGAAACGGGTTTTTTACATATAAGGCTTGACAGAAGAATTCCCAGTAACTTCCTTGTGTTGTGTGTGTTCAACTGACAGAGTTGAACTTTCATTTACACAGAGCAGATTTGAAACACTCTTTTTGTGGAATTTGCAAGTGGAGATTTCAAGCGCTTTGAGGCCAAAGGCAGAAAAGGAAATATCTTCGCATAAAAACTAGACAGAATCATTCTCAGAAAATCCTCTGTGATGTGTGCGTTCAACTCTCAGAGTTTAACATTTCTTTTCATTCAGCAGTTTGAAAACACTCTGTTTGTAAAGTCTGCACGTGGATATTTTGACCACTTAGAGGCCTTCGTTGGAAACGGGTTTTTTTCATGTAAGTGTAGACAGAAGAATTCCCAGTAACTTCCTTGTGTTGTGTGCATTCAACTCACAGAGTTGAACGTTCCCTTAGACAGAGCAGATTTGAAACAGTCTATTTGTGTAATTTGCAAGTGTAGATTTCAAGCGCTTTCAGGTCAACGGCAGAAAAGGAAATATCTTCGTTTCAAAACTAGACAGAATCATTCCCACAAACTGCGTTGTGATGGGTTCGTTCAACTCACAGAGTTTAACCTTTCTTTTCATAGAGCAGTTAGGAAACAGTCTGTTTGTCAATTCTGTAAGTGGATATTCTGACATCTTGTGGCCTTCGTTGGAAACGGGATTTCTTCATATTCTGCTAGACAGAAGAATTCTCAGTGACTTCCTTGTGTTGTGTGTATTCTACTCACAGAGTTGAACGATCCTTTACACAGAGCAGACTTGAAACACTCTTTTTGTGGAATTTGAAAGTGGAGATTTCAGCCGCTTTGAGGTCAATGGTAGAAAAGGAAATATCTTCGTATAAAGACTAGACAGAATGATTCTCATAAACTCCTTTGTGATGTGTGCGTTCAACTCACAGAGTTTAACTTTTCTTTTCATAGAGCAGTTAGGAAACACTCTGTTTGTAAAGTCTGCAAGTGGATATTCAGACCTCTTTGAGGCCTTCGTTGGAAACGGGATTTCTTCATATTATGCTAGACAGAAGAATTCCCAGTAACTTCCTTGAGTTGTGTGTGTTCAACTCACAGAGTTGAACATTCATTTACCCAGAGCAGATTTGAAACACTCTTTTTGTGGAATTTGCAAGTGGAGATTTCAAGCGCTTTGAGGCCAAAGGCAGAAAAGGAAATATCTTCGTTTCAAAACTAGACAGAATCATTCTCAGAATCTGCTCTGCGATGTGTGCGTTCAACTCTCAGAGTTTAACTTTTCTTTTCATTCAGCAGTTTGGAAACACTCTGTTTGTAAAGTCTGCACGTGGATATTTTGACCACTTAGAGGCCTTCGTTGGAAACGGGTTTTTTTCCTGTAAGGCTAGACAGAAGAATTCCCAGTAACTTCCTTGTGTTGTGTACGGTTCAACTCACAGAGTTGAACGTTCCCTTAGACAGAGCAGATTTGAAACACTCTTTTTGTGCAATTGGCAAGTGGAGATTTCAAGCGCTTTAAGGTCAATGGCAGAAAAGGAAATATCTTCGTTTCAAAACTAGACAGAATCATTCCCACAAACTGTGTTGTGATGTGTTCGTTCAACTCACAGAGTTTAACCTTTCTGTTCATAGAGCAGTTAGGAAACACTCTGTTTGTAAAGTCTGTAAGTGGATATTCTGACATCTTGTGGCCTTCGTTGGAAACGGGATTTCTTCATATTCTGCTAGACAGAAGAATTCTCAGTAACTTCCTTGTGTTGTGTGTATTCAACTCACAGAGTTGAACGATCCTTTACACAGAGCAGACTTGAAACACTCTTTTTGTGGAATTTGCAAGTGGAGATTTCAGCCGCTTTGAGGTCAATAGTAGAAAAGGAAACTATCTTCATATAAAGACTAGACAGAATGATTCTCAGAAACTCCTTTGTGATGTGTGCGTTCAACTCACAGAGTTTAACTTTTCTTTTCATAGAGCAGTTAGGAAACACTCTGTTTGTAACGTCTGCAAGTGGATATTCAGACCTCTTTGAGGCCTTCGTTGGAAACGGGATTTCTTCATATTATGCTAGACAGAAGAATTCTCAGTAACTTCCTTGTGTTGTGTGTATTCAACTCACAGAGTTGAACGATCCTTTACACGAGAGCAGAGCTTGAAACACTCTTTTTGTGGAATTTGCAAGTGGAGATTTCATGCCGCTTTGAGGTCAGTGGTAGAAAAGGAAATATCTTCGTATAAAGACTAGACAGAATCATTCTCAGAAACTGCTCTGCGATGTGTGCGTTCAACTCTCAGAGTTTAACTTTGCTTTTCATTCAGCAGTTTGGAAACACTCTGTTTGTAAAGTCTGCACGTGGATATTTTGACCACTTAGAGGCCTTCGTTGGAAACGGGTTTCTTTCCTGTAAGGCTAGACAGAAGAATTCCCAGTAACTTCCTTGTGTTGTGTACATTCAACTCACAGAGTTGAACGTTCCCTTAGACAGAGCAGATTTGAAACACTCTTTTTGTGCAATTGGCAAGTGGTGATTTTAGCCGCTTTGAGGTCAATGGTATAAAAGGAAATATCTTCGTATTAAAACTAGACAGAATCATTCCCACAAACTGCGTTGTGAGGTGTTCGGTAAACTCACAGAGTTTAACCTTTCTTTTCATAGAGCAGTTAGGAAACAGTCTGTTTGTAAATTCTGTAAGTGGATATTCTGACATCTTGTGGCCTTCGTTGGAAACGGGATTTCTTCATATTCTGCTATACAGAATAATTCTCAGTAACTTCCTTGTGTTGTGTGTATTCAACTCACAGAGTTGAACGATCCTTTACAGAGAGCAGACTTGAAACACTCTTTTTGTGGAATTTGCAAGTGGAGATTTCAGCCGCTTTGAGGTCAAAGGTAGAATAGGAAATATGCTTCCTACAGAAAATAGACAGAATGATTCTCATAAACTCCTTTGTGATGTGTGCGTTCAACACACAGAGTTTAACCTTTCTGTTCATAGAGCAGTTAGGAAACACTCTGTTTGTAAAGTCTGTAAGTGCATATTCTGACATCTTGAGGCCTTCGTTGGAAACGGGATTTCTTCATATTCTGCTAGACAGAAGAATTCCCAGTAACTTCCTTGTGTTGTGTGTGTTCAACTCACAGAGTTGAACTTTCATTTACACAGAGCAGATTTGAAACACTCTTTTTGTGGAATTTGCAAGTGGAGATTTCAAGCGCTTTGAGGCCACAGGCAGAAAAGGAAATATCTTCGTTTCAAAACTAGACAGAATCATTCTCAGAAACTGCTGCGTGATGTGTGCGTTCAACTCTCAGAGTTTAACTTTTCTAGTCATTCAGCGGTTTGGAAACACTCTGTTTGTAAAGTCTGCACGTGGATATTTTGACCACTTAGAGGCCTTCGTTGGAAACGGGATTTTTTCATGTAAGGCTAGACAGAAGAATTCTCAGTAACTTCCTTGTGTTGTGTGTATTCAACTCACAGAGTTGAACGAATCCTTTACAGAGAGCAGACTTGAAACACTCTTTTTGTGGAATTTGCAAGTGGAGATTTCAGCCGCTTTGAGGTCAATGGTAGAATAGGAAATATCTTCCTATAGAAAATAGACAGAATGATTCTCAGAAACTCCTTTGTGATGTGTGCGTTCACCTCACAGAGATTAACCTTTCTTTTCATAGAGCAGTTAGGAAACACTCTGTTTGTAAAGTCTGCAAGTGGATATTCAGACCTCTTTGAGGCCTTCGTTGGAAACGGGATTTCTTCATATTCTGCTACACAGAAGAATTCTCAGTAACTTCCTTGTGTTGTGTGTATTCAACTCACAGAGTTGAACGATCCTTTACACAGAGCAGTCTTGAAACACTCTTTTTGTGGAATTTGCAAGTGGAGATTTCAGCCGCTTTGAGGTCAATAGTAGAAAAGGAAATATCTTCGTAGAAAAACTAGACAGAATGATTCTCAGAAACTCCTTTGTGATGTGTGCGTTCAACTCACAGAGTTTAACCTTTCTTTTCATAGAGCAGTTAGGAAACACTCTGTTTGTAAAGTCTCTAAGTGGATATTCAGACCTCTTTGAGGCCTTCGTTGGAAACGGGTTTTTTTCATATAAGGCTAGACAGAAGAATTCCCAGTAACTTCCATGTGTTGTGTGTGTTCAACTCACAGAGTTGAACTTTCATTTACACAGAGCAGATTTGAAACACTCTTTTTGTGGAATTTGCAAATGGAGATTTCAAGCGCTTTGAGGCCAAAGGCAGAAAAGGAAATATCTTCGTATAAAAACTAGACAGAATCATTCTCAGAAACTGCTATGCGATGTGTGCGTTCAACTCTCTGAGTTTAACTTTTCTTTTCATTCAGCAGTTTGGAAACACTCTGTTTGTAAAGTCTGCACGTGGATAATTTGACCACTTAGAGGTCTTCGTTGGAAACGGGTTTTTTTCATGTAAGGGTAGACAGAAGAATTCCCAGTAACTTCCTTGTGTTTTGTGCATTCAACTCACAGAGTTGAACGTTCCCTTAGACAGAGCAGATTTGAAACACTCTATTTGTGCAATTTGCAAGTGTAGATTTCAAGCGCTTTAAGGTCAATGGCAGAAAAGGAAATATCTTCGTTTCAAAACTAGACAGAATCATTCCCACAAACTGTGTTGTGATGTGTTCGTTCATCTCACAGAGTTTAACCTTTCTTTTCATAGAGCAGTTAGGAAACACTATGTTTGTAAATTCTGTAAGTGGATATTCTGACATCTTGTGGCCTTCGTTGGAAACGGGATTTCTTCATATTCTGCTAGACAGAAGAATTCTCAGTAACTTCCTTGTGTTGTGTGTATTCAACTCACAGAGTTGAACGATCCTTTACAGAGAGCAGACTTGAAACACTCTTTTTGTGGAATTTGCAAGTGGAGATTTCAGGGGTTTTGAGGTCAATGGTAGAAAAGGAAATATCTTCGTATAAAGACTAGACAGAATGATTCTCAGAAACTCCTTTGTGATGTGTGCGTTCAACTCAAAGAGTTTAACTTTTCTTTTCATAGAGCAGTTAGGAAACACTCTGTTTGTAAAGTCTGCAAGTGGATATTCAGACCTCTTTGAAGCCTTCGTTGGAAACGGGATTTCTTCATATTATGCTAGACAGAAGAATTCCCAGTAACTTCCTTGTGTTGTGTGTGTTCAACTCACAGAGTTGAACTTTCATTTACACAGAGCAGATTTGAAACACTCTTTTTGTGGAATTTGCAAATGGAGATTTCAAGCGCTTTGAGGCCAAAGGCAGAAAAGGAAATATCTTTGTATAAAAACTAGACAGAATCATTCTCAGAAACTGCTCTGCGATGTGTGCGTTCAACTCTCAAAGTTTAACTTTGCTTTTCATTCAGCAGTTTGGAAACACTCTGTTTGTAAAGTCTGCACGTGGATAATTTGACCACTTAGAGGCCTTCGTTGGAAACGGGTTTTTTTCATGTAAGGCTAGACAGAAGAATTCCCAGTAACTTCCTTGCGTTGTGTACATTCAACTCACAGAGTTGAACGTTCCCTTAGACAGAGCAGATTTGAAACACTCTTTTTGTGCAATTGGCAAGTGGAGATTTCAAGCGCTTTAAGGTCAATGGCAGAAAAGGAAATATCTTCGTTTCAAAACTAGACAGAATGATTCTCATAAACTCCTTTGTGATGTGTGCGTTCAACTCACAGAGTTTAACCTTTCTTGTCATAGAGCAGTTAGGAAACACTCTGTTTGAAAAGTCTGCAAGTGGATATTCAGACCTCCTTGAGGCCTTCGTTGGAAACGGGATTTCTTCATATTCTGCTAGACAGAAGAATTCTCAGTAACTTCCTTGTGTTGTGTGTATTCAACTCACAGAGTTGAACGATCCTTTACACAGAGCAGACTTGAAACACTCTTTTTGGGGAATTTGCAAGTGGAGATTTCAGCCGCTTTGAGGTCAATGGTAGAAAAGGAAATATCTTCGTATAAAGACTAGACAGAATGATTCTCAGAAACTCCTTTGTGATGTGTGCGTTCAACTCACAGAGTTTAACTTGTCTTTTCATAGAGCAGTTAGGAAACACTCTGTAAAGTCTGCAAGTGGATATTCAGACCTCTTTGAGGCCTTCGTTGGAAACGGGATTTCTTCATATTATGCTAGACAGAAGAATTCTCAGTAACTTCCTTGTGTTGTGTGTATTCAACTGACAGAGTTGAACCTTCATTTAGAGAGAGCAGATTTGAAACACTGTTTTTGTGGAATTTGCAAGTGGAGATTTCAAGCGCTTTGGGGCCAAAGGCAGAAAAGGAAATATCTTCGTATAAAAACTAGACAGAATCATTCTCAGAAACTGCTCTGCGATGTGTGCGTTCAACTCTCAGAGTTTAACTTTTCTTTTCATTCAGCAGTTTGGAAACACTCTGTTTGTAAAGTCTGCACGTGGATATTTTGACCTCTTAGAGGCCTTCGTTGGAAACGGGTTTTTTTCCTGTAAGGCTAGACAAGAAGAATTGCCAGTAACTTCCTTGTGTTGTGTGCATTCAACTCACAGAGTTGAACGTTCCCTTAGACAGAGCAGATATGAAACACTCTATTTGTGCAATTTGCAAGTGTAGATTTCAAGCGCTTTAAGGTCAATGGCAGAAAAGGAAATATCTTCGTTTCAAAACTAGACAGAATCATTCTCAGAAACTGCTCTGCGATGTGTGCGTTCAACTCTCAGAGTTTAACTTCTCTTTTCATTCAGTAGTTTGGAAACACTCTGTTTGTAAAGTCTGCACGTGGATAACTTGACCACTTAGAGGCCTTCGTTGGAAACGAGTTTTTTTCATGTAAGGCTAGACAGAAGAATTCTCAGTAACTTCCTTGTGTTGTGTGTATTCATCTCACAGAGTTGAACGATCCTTTACACAGAGCAGACTTGTAAAACTCTTTTTGTGGAATTTGCAAGTGGAGATTTCAGCCGCTTTGAAGTCAAAGGTAGAAAAGGAAATATCTTCCTATAAAAACTAGACAGAATGATTCTCAGAAACTCCTTTGTGATGTGTGTGTTCAACTCACAGAGTTTAACCTTTCTTTTCATAGAGCAGTTAGGAAACACTCTGTTTGTAAAGTCTGCAAGTGGATATTCTGACCTCTTTGAGGCCTTCTTCGGAAACGGGTTTTTTTCATATAAGGCTAGACAGAAGAATTCCCAGTAACTTCCTTGTGTTGTGTGTGTTCAACTGACAGAGTTGAACTTTCATTTACACAGAGCAGATTTGAAACACTCTTTTTGTGGAATTTGCAGGTGGAGATTTCAAGCGCTTTGAGGCCAAAGGCAGAAAAGGAAATATCTTCGTATAAAAACTAGACAGAATCATTCTCAGAAACTGCTGCGTGATGTGTGCGTTCAACTCTCAGAGTTTAACTTTTCTTTTCATTCAGCGGTTTGGAAACACTCTCTTTGTAAAGTCTGCACGTGGATATTTTGACCACTTAGAGGCCTTCGTTGGAAACGGGTTTTTTTCATGTAAGGCTAGACAGAAGAATTCCCAGTAACTTCCTTGTGTTGTGTACATTCAACTCACAGAGTTGAACGTTCCCTTAGACAGAGCAGATTTGAAACACTCTTTTTGTGCAATTGGCAAATGGAGATTTCAAGCGCTTTAAGGTCAATGGCAGAAAAGGAAATATTCTTCGTTTCAAAACTAGACAGAATGATTCTCATAAACTCCTTTGTGATGTGTGCGTTCAACACACAGAGTTTAACCTTTCTGTTCATAGAGCTGTTAGGAAACACTCTGTTTGTAAAGTCTGTAAGTGGATATTCTGACATCTTTTGGCCTTCGTTGGAAACGGGATTTCTTCATATTCTGCTAGACAGAAGAATTCTCAGTAACTTCCTTGTGTTGTGTGTATTCAACTCACAGAGTTGAACGATCCTTTACACAGAGCAGACTTGTAACACTCTTTTTGTGGAATTTGCAAGTGGAGATTTCAGCCGCTTTGAGGTCAAAGGTAGAAAAGGAAATATCTTCCTATAAAAACTAGACAGAATGATTCTCAGAAACTCCTTTGTGATGTGTGCGTTCAACTCACAGAGTTTAACCTTTCTTTTCATAGAGCAGTTAGGAAACACTCTGTTTGTAAAGTCTGCAAGTGGATATTCAGACCTCCTTGAGGCCTTCGTTGGAAATGGGATTTCTTCATATTCTGCTAGACAGAAGAATTCCCAGTAACTTCCTTGTGTTGTGTGTGTTCAACTCACAGAGTTGAACTTTCATTTACACAGAGCAGATTTGAAACACTCTTTTTGTGGAATTTGCAAGTGGAGATTTCAAGCGCTTTGAGGCCAAAGGCAGAAAAGGAAATATGTTCGTTTCAAAACTAGACAGAATCATTCTCAGAAACTGCTCTGCGATGTGTGCGTTCAACTCTCAGAGTTTAACTTTTCTTTTCATTCAGCAGTTTGGAAACACTGTGTTTGTAAAGTCTGCACGTGGATATTTTGACCACTTAGAGGCCTTCGTTGGAAACGGGTTTTTTTTCCTGTAAGGCTAGAGAGAAGAATTCCCAGTAACTTCCTTGTGTTGTGTGCATTCAACTCACAGAGTTGAACGTTCCCTTAGACAGAGCAGATTTGAAACACTCTATTTGTGCAATTTGCAAGTGTAGATTTCAAGCGCTTTAAGGTCAATGGCAGAAAAGGAAATATCTTCGTTTCAAAACTAGACAGAATCATTCCCACAAACTGCGTTGTGACGTGTTCGTTCAACTCACAGAGTTTAACCTTTCTGTTCATAGAGCAGTTAGGAAACACTCTGTTTGTAAAGTCTGTAAGTGGATATTCTGACATCTTGTGGCCTTCGTTGGAAACAGGATTTCTTCGAATTCTGCTAGACAGAAGAATTCTCAGTAACTTCCTTGTGTTGTGTGTATTCAACTCACAGAGTTGAACGATCCTTTACACAGAGCAGATTTGTAACACTCTTTTTGTGGAATTTGCAAGTGGAGATTTCAGCCGCTTTGAAGTCAAAGGTAGAAAAGGAAATAACTTCCTATAAAAACTAGACAGAATGATTCTCAGAAACTCCTTTGTGATGTGTACGTTCAACTCACAGAGTTTAACCTTTCTTTTCATAGAGCAGTTAGGAAACACTCTGTTTGTAAAGTCTGCAAGTGGATATTGAGACCTCTTTGAGGCCTTCGTTGGAAACGGGTTTTTTTCATGTAAGGCTAGACAGAAGAATTCTCAGTAACTTCCTTGTGTTGTGTGTATTCAACTGACAGAGTTGAACTTTCATTTAGAGAGAGCAGATTTGAAACCCTGTTTTGTGGAATTTGCAAGTGGAGATTTCAAGCGCTTTGGGGCCAAAGGCAGAAAAGGAAATATCTTCGTATAAAAACTAGACAGAATGATTCTCAGAAACTGCTCTGCGATGTGTGCGTTCACCTCTCAGAGTTTAACTTTTCTTTTCATTCAGCAGTTTGGAAACCCTCTGTTTGTAAAGTCTGCACGTGCATAATTTGACCACTTAGAGGCCTTCGTTGGCAACGGGTTTTTTTCATGTAAGGCTAGACAGAAGAATTCCCAGTAACTTCCCTTGTGTTGTGTACATTTAACTCACAGAGTTGAACGTTCCCTTAGACAGAGCAGATTTGAAACACTCTTTTTGTGCAATTGGCAAGTGGAGATTTCAAGCGCTTTAAGGTCAATGGCAGAAAAGGAAATATCTTATTTTCAAAACTAGACAGAACGATTCTCAGAAACTCCTTTGTGATGTGTGCGTTCAACTCACAGAGTTTAACCTTTCTTTTCATAGAGCAGTTAGGAAACTGTCTGTTTGTAAAGTCTGCAAGTGGATATTCAGACCTCTTTGAGGCCTTCGTTGGAAACGGGATTTCTTCATATTCTGCTAGACAGAAGAATTCTCAGTAACTTCCTTGTGTTGTGTGTATTGAACTCGCAGAGTTGAACGATCCTTTACAGAGAGCAGACTTGAAACACTCTTTTTGTGGAATTTGCAAGTGGAGATTTCAGCCGCTTTGAGGTCAATGGTAGAAAAGGAAATATCTTCGTATAAAGACTAGACAGAATGATTCTCAGAAACTCCTTTGTGATGTGTGCGTTCAACACACAGAGTTTAACTTTTCTTTTCATAGAGAAGTTAGTAAACACTCTGTTTATAAAGTCTGCAAGTGGATATTCAGACCCCTTTGAGGCCTTCGTTGGAAACGGGATTTCTTCATATTATGCTAGACAGAAGAATTCCAAGTAACTTCCTTGTGTTGTGTGTGTCCAACTCACAGAGTTGAACTTTCATTTACACAGAGCAGATTTGAAACACTCTTTTTGTGGAATTTGCAAATGGAGATTTCAAGCGCTTTGAGGCCAAAGGCAGAAAAGGAAATATCTTCGTATAAAAACCAGACAGAATCATTCTCAGAAACTGCTCGTGCGATGTGTGCGTTCGACTCTCAGAGTTTAACTTTTCTTTTCATTCAGCAGTTTGGAAACACTCTGTTTGTAAAGTCTGCACGTGGATAATTTGACCACTTAGAGGCCTTCGTTGGAAACGGGTTTTTTTCATGTAAGGCTAGACAGAAGAATTCCCAGTAACTTCCTTGTGTTGTGTACATTCAACTCACAGAGTTGAACCGTTCCCTTAGACAGAGCAGATTTGAAACACTCTTTTTGTGCAATTGGCAAGTGGAGATTTCAAGCGCTTTAAGGTCAATGGCAGAAAAGGAAATATCTTCGTTTCAAAACTAGGCAGAATGATTCTCAGAAACTCCTTTGTGATGTGTGCGTTCAACTCACAGAGTTTAACCTTTCTTTTCATAGAGCAGTTAGGAAACGCTCTGTTTGTAAAGTCTGCAAGTGGATATTCAGACATCCTTGAGGCTTTCGTTGGAAACGGGATTTCTTCATATTCTGCTAGAAAGAAGAATTCTCAGTAACTTCCTTGTGTTGTGTGCATTCAACTCACAGAGTTGAACGATCCTTTACACAGAGCAGACTTGAAACACTCTTTTTGTGGAATTTGCAAGTGGAGATTTCAGCCGCTTTGAGGTCAATGGTAGAAAAGGATACTATCTTCGTATAAAGACTAGACAGAATGATTCTCAGAAACTCCTTTGTGATGTGTGCGTTCAACTCACAGAGTTTAACCTTTCTTTTCATAGAGCAGTTAGGAAACACTCTGTTTGTAAAGTCTGCAAGTGGATATTCAGACATCTTTGAGGCTTTCGTTGGAAACGGGATTTCTTCATATTCTGCTAGACAGAAGAATTCTCAGTAACTTCCTTCTGTTGTGTGTATTCAACTCACAGAGTTGAACGATCCTTTACACAGAGCAGACTTGAAACACTCTTTTTGTGGAATTTGCAAGTGGAGATTTCAGCCGCTTTGAGGTCAATGGTAGAATAGGAAATATCTTCCTATAGAAACTAGACAGAATCATTCTCAGAAACTGCTCTGCGATGTGTGCGTTCAACTCTCAGAGTTTAACTTTTCTTTTCATTCAGCAGTTTGGAAACACTCTGTTTGTAAATTCTGCACGTGGATAACTTGACCACTTAGAGGCCTTCGTTGGAAACGGGTTTTTTTCCTGTAAGGCTAGACAGAAGAATTCCCAGTAACTTCCTTGTGTTGTGTACATTCAACTCACAGAGTTGAACGTTCCCTTAGACAGAGCAGATTTGAAACACTCTTTTTGTGCAATTGGCAAATGGAGATTTCAAGCGCTTTAAGGTCAATGGCAGAAAAGGAAATATCTTCGTTTCAAAACTAGACAGAATCATTCCCACAAACTGCGTTGTGATGTGTTCGTTCAACTCACAGAGTTTAACCTTTCTGTTCATAGAGCAGTTAGGAAACACTGTGTTTGTAAAGTCTGTAAGTGGATATTCTGACATCTTGTGGCCTTCGTTGGAAACGGGATTTCTTCATTTTCTGCTAGACAGAAGAATTCTCAGTAACTTCCTTGTGTTGTGTTTATTCAACTCACAGAGTTGAACGATCCTATACACAGAGCAGACTTGAAACACTCTTTTTGTGGAATTTGCAAGTGGAGATTTCAGCCGCTTTGAGGTCAATGGTAGAATAGGAAATATCTTCCTATAGAAACTAGACAGAGTGATTCTCAGAAACTCCTTTGGGATGTCTGCGTTCAACTCACAGAGTTTAACCTTTCTTTTCATAGAGCAGTTAGGAAACACTCTGTTTGTAAAGTCTGCAAGTGGATATTCAGACCTCCTTGAGGCCTTCGTTGGAAACGGGATTTCTTCATATTCTGCTATACAGAAGAATTCTCAGAAACTTCCTTGTGTTGTGTGTATTCAACTCACAGAGTTGAACGATCGTTTACACAGAGCAGACTTGAGACACTCTTTTTGTGGAATTTGTAAGTGGAGATTTCAGCCGCTTTGAGGTCAATGGTAGAAAAGGAAATATCTTCATATAAAGACTAGACAGAATCATTCTCAGAAACTGCTCTGCGATGTGTGCGTTCAACTCTCAGAGTTTAACTTTTCTTTTCATTCAGCAGTTTGGAAACACTCTGGTTGTAAAGTCTGCACGTGGATAACTTGACCACTTAGAGGCCTTCGTTGGAAACGGGTTTTTTTCCTGTAAGGCTAGACAGAAGAATTCCCAGTAACTTCCTTGTGTTGTGTACATTCAACTCACAGAGTTGAACGTTCCCTTAGACAGAGCAGATTTGAAACACTCTTTTTGTGCAATTGGCAAGTGGAGATTTCAAGCGCTTTGAGGTCAATGGCAGAAAAGGAAATATCTTCGTTTCAAAACTAGACAGAATGATTCTCAGAAACTCCTTTGTGATGTGTGAGTTCAACTCACAGAGTTTATCCTTTCTTTTCATAGAGCAGTTAGGAAACACTCTGTTTGTAAAGTGTGCAAGTGGATATTCAGACCTCTTTGAGGCCTTCGTTGGAAACGGGATTTCTTCATATTCTGCTAGACAGAAGAATTCTCAGTAACTTCCTTGTGTTGTGTGCATTGAACTCACAGAGTTGAACGATCCTTTACACAGGGCAGACTTGAAACACTCTTTTTGTGGAATTTGCAAGCGGAGATTTCAGCCTCTTTGAGGTTAATGGTAGAAATTGAAATATCTTCGTATAGAAACTAGACAAAATGATTCTCAGAAACTCCTTTGTGATGTGTGCGTTCAACTCACAGAGTTTAACTTTTCTTTTCATAGAGCAGTTAGGAAACACTCTGTTTGTAAAGTCTGCAAGTGGATATTCAGACCTCTTTGAGGCCTTCGTTGGAAACGGGATTCTTCATATTATGCTAGACAGAAGTATTCTCAGTAACTTCCTTGTGTTGTGTGTATTCAACTGACAGAGTTGAACTTTCATTTAGAGAGAGCAGATTTGAAACACTGTTTTTGTGGAATTTGCAAGTGGAGATTTCAAGCGCTTTGGGGCCAAAGGCAGAAAAAGAAATATCTTCGTATAAAAACTAGACAGAATCATTCTCAGAAACTGCTCTGCGATGTGTGCGTTCAACTCTCAGAGTTTAACTTTTCTTTTCATTCAGCAGTTTGGAAACACTCTGTTTGTAAAGTCTGCACGTGGATATTTTGAGCACTTAGAGGCCTTCGTTGGAAACGGGTTTTTTTCCTGTAAGGCTAGACAGAAGAATTCCCAGTAACTTCCTTGTGTTGTGTACATTCAACTCACAGAGTTGAACGTTCCCTTAGACAGAGCAGATTTGAAACACTCTTTTTGTGCAATTGGCAAATGGAGATTTCAAGCGCTTTAAGGTCAATGGCAGAAAAGGAAATATCTTCGTTTCAAAACTAGACAGAATCATTCCCACAAACTGCGTTGTGATGTGTTCGTTCAACTCACAGAGTTTAACCTTTCTTTTCATAGAGCAGTTAGGAAACAGTCTGTTTGTCAATTCTGTAAGTGGATATTCTGACATCTTGTGGCCTTCGTTGGAAACGGGATATTCTTCATATTCTGCTAGACAGAAGAATTCTCAGTAACTTCCTTGTGTTGTGTGTATTCAACTCACAGAGTTGAACGATCCTTTACACAGAGCAGACTTGAAACACTCTTTTTGTGGAATTTGCAAGTGGAGATTTCAGGCGCTTTGAGGTCAATAGTAGAAAAGGAAATATCTTCGTAGAAAAACTAGACAGAATGATTCTCAGAAACTCCTTTGTGATGTGTGTGTTCAACTCACAGAGTTTAACCTTTCTTTTCATAGAGCAGTTAGTAAACACTCTGTTTATAACGTCTGCAAGTGGATATTCAGACCCCTTTGAGGCCTTCGTTGGAAACGGGATTTCTTCATATTATGCTAGACAGAAGAATTCTCAGTAACTTCCTTGTGTTGTGTGTATTCAACTGACAGAGTTGAACTTTCTTTTAGAGAGAGCAGATTTGAAACACTGTTTTTGTGGAATTTGCAAGTGGAGATTTCAAGCGCTTTGGGGCCAAAGGCAGAAAAGGAAATATCTTCGTATAAAAACTAGACAGAATCATTCTCAGAAACTGCTCTGCGATGTGTGCGTTCAACTCTCAGAGTTTAACTTTTCTTTTCATTCAGCAGTTTGGAAACACTCTGTAAACTCTGCATGTGGATATTTTGACCACTTAGAGGCCTTCGTTGGAAACGGGTTTTTTTCCTGTAAGGCTAGACAGAAGAATTCCCAGTAACTTCCTTGTGTTGTGTACATTCAACTCACAGAGTTGAACGTTCCCTTAGACAGAGCAGATTTGAAACACTCTTTTTGTGCAATTGGCAAGTGGTGATTTCAGCCGCTTTGAGGTCAATGGTAGAAAAGGAAATATCTTCGTATAAAAACTAGACAGAATGATTCTCAGAAACTTCATTGTGATGTGTGCGTTCAACTCACAGAGTTTAACCTTTCTTTTCATACAGCAGTTAGGAAACACTCTGTTTGTAAACTCTGCAAGTCGATATTCACACCTCTTTGAGGCCTTCGTTGGAAACGGGATTTCTTCATACTATGCTAGACAGAAGAATTCTCAGTAACTTCCTTGTGTTGTGTGTATTCAACTCACAGAGTTGAACGATCCTTTACACAGAGCAGACTTGTAACACTCTTTTTGTGGAATTTGCAAGTGGAGATTTCAGCCGCTTTGAAGTCAAAGGTAGAAAAGGAAATAACTTCCTATAAAAACTAGAAAGAATGATTCTCAGAAACTCCTTTGTGATGTGTGTGTTCAACTCACAGAGTTTAACCTTTCTTTTCATAGAGCAGTTAGTAAACACTCTGTTTATAAAGTCTCCAAGTGGATATTCAGACCCCTTTGAGGCCTTCGTTGGAAACGGGATTTCTTCATATTATGCTAGACAGAAGAATTCCCAGTAACTTCTTTGTGTTGTGTGTGTTCAACTCACAGAGTTGAACTTTCATTTACACAGAGCAGATTTGAAACACTCTTTTTGTGGAATTTGCAAGTGGAGATTTCAAGCGCTTTGAGGCCAAAGGCAGAAAAGGAAATATCTTTGTATAAAAACTAGACAGAATCATTCTCAGAAACTGCTCTGCGATGTGTGTGTTCAACTCTCAGAGTTTAACTTTTCTTTTCATTCAGCAGTTTGGAAACACTCTGTTTGTAAAGTCTCCACGTGGATAATTTGACCACTTAGAGGCCTTCGTTGGAAACGGGTTTTTTTCATGTAAGGCTAGACAGAAGAATTCTCAGAATCTTCCTTGTGTTGTGTGTATTCAACTCACACAGTTGAACGACGGTTTACACAGAGCAGATTTGAAACACTCTTTTTGTGGAATTTGCAAGTGGAGATTTCAGCTGCTTTGAGGTCAATGGTAGAAAAGGAAATATCTTCGTATAAAAACTAGACAGAATGATTCTCAGAAACTTCTTTGTGATGTGTGCGTTCAACTCACAGAGTTTAACCTTTCTTTTCATAGAGCAGTTAGGAAACACTCTGTTTGTAAACTCTGCAAGTGGATATTCAGACCTTTTTGAGGCCTTCGTTGGAAACGGGATTTCTTCATACTGTGCTAGACAGAATAATTCTCAGTAACTTCCTTGTGTTGTGTGTATTCAACTCACAGAGTTGAAGGATCCTTTACAGAGAGCAGGCTTGAAACACTCTTTTTGTCGAATTTGCAAGTGGAGATTTCAGCCGCTTTCAGGTCAATGGTAGAATAGGAAGTATCTTCTTATAGAAACTAGACAGAATGATTCTCAGAAACTCTTTTGTGATGTGTGCGTTCAACTCACAGAGTTTAACCTTTCTTTTCATAGAGCAGTTAGGAAACACTCTGTTTGTAAAGGCTGCACGTGGATATTTGGACTTCTTTGAGGCCTTCATTGGAAACGGGTTTTTTTCATGTAAGGCTAGACAGAAGAATTCCCAGTAACTTCCTTGTGTTGTGTGTGTTCAAATCACAGAGTTGAACTTTCATTTACACAGAGCAGATTTGAAACACTCTTTTTGTGGAATTTGCAAATGGAGATTTCAAGCGCTTTGAGGCCAAAGGCAGAAAAGGAAATATCTTCGTATAAAAACTAGACAGAATCATTCTCAGAAACTGCTCTGCGATGTGTGCGTTCAACTCTCAGAGTTTAACTTTTCTTTTCATTCAGCAGTTTGGAAACACTCTGTTCGTAAAGTCTGCACGTGGATAACTTGACCACTTAGAGGCCTTCGTTGGAAACGGGTTTTTTTCCTGTAAGGCTAGACAGAAGAATTCCCAGTAACTTCCTTGTGTTGTGTGCATTCAACTCACAGAGTTGAACGTTCCCTTAGACAGAGCAGATTTGAAACACTCTGTGCAATTTGCAAGTGTAGATTTCAAGCGCTTTAAGGTCAACGGCAGAAAAGGAAATATCTTCGTTTCAAAACTAGACAGAAATCATTCCCACAAACTGCGTTGTGATGTGTTCGTTCAACTCACAGAAGTTTAACCTTTCTTTTCATAGAGCAGTTAGGAAACAGTCTGTTTGTAAATTCTGTAAGTGGATATTCTGACATCTTGTGGCCTTCGTTGGAAACGGGATTTCTTCATATTCTGCTAGACAGAAGAATTCTCAGTAACTTCCTTGTGTTGTGTGTATTCAACTCACGGAGTTGAACGATCGTTTACACAGAGCAGACTTGAAACACTCTTTTTGTGGAATTTGCAAGTGGAGATTTCAGCCGCGTTGAGGTCAATGGTAGAAAAGGAAATATCTTCGTATAAAAACTAGACAGAATGATTCTCAGAAACTTCATTGTGATGTGTGCGTTCAACTCACAGAGTTTAACCTTTCTTTTCATAGAGCAGTTAGGAAACACTCTGTTTGTAAACTCTGCAAGTGGATATTCAGACCTCTTTCAGGCCTTCGTTGGAAACGGGATTTCTTCATACTGTGCTAGACAGAAGATTTCCCAGTAACTTCCTTGTGTTGTGTGTGTTCAACTCACAGAGTTGAACTTTCATTTACACAGAGCAGATTTGAAACACTCTTTTTGTGGAATTTGCAAATGGAGATTTCAAGCGCTTTGAGGCCAAAGGCAGAAAAGGAAATATCTTCGTATAAAAACTAGACAGAATCATTCTCAGAAACTGCTCTGCGATGTGTGCGTTCAACTCTCACAGTTTAACTTTTCTTTTCATTCAGCAGTTTGGAAACACTCTGTTTGTAAAGTCTGCACGTGGATAATTTGACCACTTAGAGGCCTTTGTTGGAAACGGGTTATTTTCATGTAAGGCTAGACAGAAGAATTCCCAGTAACTTCCTTGTGTTGTGTGCAATCAAATCACAGAGTTGAACGTTCCCTTAGACAGAGTAGATTTGAAACACTCTATTTGTGCAATTTGCAAGTGTAGATTTCAAGCGCTTTAAGGTCAAAGGCAGAAAAGGAAATATCTTCGTTTCAAAACTAGACAGAACGATTCTCAGAAACTCCTTTGTGATGTGTGCGTTGAACTCACAGAGTTTAACCTTTCTTTTCATAGAGCAGTTAGGAAACACTCTGTTTGTAAAGTCTGCAAGTGGATATTCAGACCTCTTTGAGGCCTTCGTTGGAAACGGGATTTCTCCATATTCTGCTAGACAGAAGAATTCTCAGTAACTTCCTTGTGTTGTGTGTATTCAACTCACAGAGTTGAACGATCCTTTAAACAGAGCAGACTTGAAACACTCTTTTTGTGGAATTTGCAAGTGGAGATTTCAGCCGCTTTGAGGTCAATGGTAGAAAAGGAAACTACCTTCATATAAAGACTAGACAGAATGATTCTCAGAAACTCCTTTGTGATGTGTGCGTTCAACTCACAGAGTTTAACCTTTCTTTTCATAGAGCAGTTAGGAAACACTCTGCTTGTAAAGTCTGCAAGTGGATATTCAGTCCTCTTTGAGGCCTTCGTTGGAAACGGGTTTTTTTCATATAAGGCTAGACAGAAGAATTCCCAGTAACTTCCCTTGTGTTGTGTGTGTTCAACTCACAGAGTTGAACTTTCATTTACACAGAGCAGATTTGAAACACTCTTTTTGTGGAATTTGCAGGTGGAGATTTCAAGCGCTTTGAGGCCAAAGGCAGAAAAGGAAATATCTTCGTATAAAAACTAGACAGAATCATTCTCAGAAACTGCTCTGCGATGTGTGCGTTCAACTCTCAAGAGTTTAACTTTTCTTTTCATTCAGCAGTTTGGAAACACTCTGTTTGTAAAGTCTGCACGTGGATATTTTGACCACTTAGAGGCCTTCGTTGGAAACGGGTTTTTTTCCTGTAAGGCTAGACAGAAGAATTCCCAGTAACTTCCTTGTGTTGTGTACATTCAACTCACAGAGTTGAACGTTCCCTTAGACAGAGCAGATTTGAAACACTCTTTTTGTGCAATTGGCAAGTGGTGATTTCAGCCGCTTTGAGGTCAATGGTAGAAAAGGAAATATCTTCGTATAAAAACTAGACAGAATGATTCTGAGAAACTCCTTTGTGATGTGTGCGTTAAACTCACAGAGTTTACCCTTTCTTTTCATAGAGCAGTTAGGAAACACTCTGTTTGTAAAGTCTGCAAGTGGATATTCAGACATCCTTGAGGCTTTCGTTGGAAACGGGATTTCTTCATATTCTGCCAGAAAGAAGAATTCTCAGTAACTTCCTTGTGTTGTGTGTATTCAACTCACACAGTTGAACGATCCTTTACACAAAGCAGACTTGTAACACTCTTTTTGTGGAATTTGCAAGTGGGGATTTCAGCCGCTTTGAAGTCAAATGTAGAAAAGGAAATATCTTCCTATAAAAACTAGACAGAATGATTCTCAGAAACTTCTTTGTGATGTGTGCGTTCAACTCACAGAGTTTAACCTTTCTTTTCATAGAGCAGTTAGGAAACACTCTGTTTGTAAACTCTGCAAGTGGATATTCAGACCTACTTTGAGGCCTTCGTTGGAAACGGGATTTCTTCATACTGTGCTAGACAGAAGAATTCTCAGTAACTTCCTTGTGTTGTGTGTATTCAACTCACAGAGTTGAACGATCGTTTACACAGAGCGGACTTGAAACACTCTTTTTGTGGAATTTGCAATTGGAGATTTCAGCCGCGTTGAGGTCAATGGTAGAAAAGGAAATCTCTTCGTATAAAAACTAGACAGAACCATTCTCAGAAACTGCTCTGCGATGTGTGCGTTCAACTCTCAGAGTTTAACTTTTCTTTTCATTCAGCAGTTTGGAAACACTCTGTTTGTAAAGTCTGCACGTGGATATTTTGACCACTTAGAGGCCTTCGTTGGAAACGGGTTTTTTTCCTGTAAGGCTAGACAGAAGAATTCCCAGTAACTTCCTTGTGTTGTCTACATTCAACTCACAGAGTTGAACGTTCCCTTAGACAGAGCAGATTTGAAACACTCTTTTTGTGCAATTGGTAAGTGGTGATTTCAGCCGCTTTGAGGTCAAAGGTAGAAAAGGAAATATCTTCGTATAAAAACTAGACAGAATCATTCCCAAAAACTGCGTTGTGATGTGCTCGTTCAACTCACAGAGTTTAACCTTTCTTTTCATAGAGCAGTTAGGAAACAGTCTGTTTGTAAATTCTGTAAGTGGATATTCTGACATCTTGTGGCCTTCGTTGGAAACGGGATTTCTTCATATTCTGCTAGACAGAAGAATTCTCAGTAACTTCCGCGTGTTGTGTGTATTCAACTCACAGAGTTGAACGATCCTTTACACAGAGCAGACTTGACACACTCTTTTTGTGGAATTTGCAAGTGGAGATTTCAGCCGCTTTGAGGTCAATGGTAGAAAAGGAAATATCTTCGTATAAAAACTAGACAGAATGATTCTCAGAAACTCCTTTGTGATGTGTGCGTTCAACTCACAGAGTTTAACCTTTCTTTTCATAGAGCAGTTAGGAAACACTCTGTTTGTAAAGTCTGCAAGTGGATATTCAGCCCTCTTTGAGGCCTTCGTTGGAAACGGTTTTTTTTCATATAAGGCTAGACAGAAGAATTCTCAGTAACTTCCTTGTGTTGTGTGTATTCAACTCACAGAGTTGAACTTTCATTTAGAGAGAGCAGATTTGAAACACTGTTTTTGTGGAATTTGCAAGTGGAGATTTCAAGCGCTTTGCGGCCAAAGGTAGAAAACGAAATATCTTCGTATAAAAACTAGACAGAATCATTCTCAGAAACTGCTGCGTGATGTGTGCGCTCAACTCTCAGAGTTTAACTTTTCTTTTCATTCAGCGGTTTGGAAACACTCTGTTTGTAAAGTCTGCACGTGGACATTTTGACCACTTAGAGGCCTTCGTTGGAAACGGGTTTTTTTCATGTAAGGCTAGACAGAAGAATTCTCAGTAACTTCCTTGTGTTGTGTGTATTCAACTCACAGAGTTCAACGATGCTTTACACAGAGTAGACTTGAAACACACTTTTTGTTGAATTTGCAACTGGAGATTTCAGCCGCTTTGAGGTCAATGGTAGAATAGGTAATATCTTCCTATAGAAACTAGACAGAATGATTCTCAGAAACTCCTTTGTGATGTGTGCGCTCAACTCACAGAGTTTAGCCTTTCTTTTCATGGAGCAGTTAGGAAACACTCTGTTTGTAAAGTCTGCAAGTGGATATTCAGACCTCTTTGAGGCCTTCGTTGGAAACGGGATTTCTTCATATTCTGCTAGACAGAAGAATTCTCAGAAACTTCCTTGTGTTGTGTGTATTCAACTCACAGAGTTGAACGATCCTTTACACAGAGCAGACTTGAAACACTCTTTTTGTGGAATTTGCAAGTGGAGATTTCAGCCGCTTTGAGGTCAATGTTAGAATAGGAAATATCTTCCTATAGAAACTAGACAGAATGATTCTCAGAATCTCCTTTGTGATGTGTGCGTTCAACTCACAGAGTTTAACCTTTCTTTTCATAGAGCAGTTAGGAAACACTCTGTTTGTAAAGTCTGCAAGTGGATATTCAGACCTCTTTGAGGCCTTCGTTGGAAACGGGTTTTTTTCATATAAGGCTAGACAGAAGAATTCCCAGTAACTTCCTTGTGTTGTGTGTGTTCAACTCACAGAGTTGAACTTTGATTTACACAGAGCAGATTTGAAACACTCTTTTTGTGGAATTTGCAGGTGGAGATTTCAAGCGCTTTGAGGCCAAAGGCAGAAAAGGAAATATCTTCGTATAAAAACTAGACAGAATCATTCTCAGAAACTGCTCTGCGATGTGTGCGTTCAACTCTCAGAGTTTAACTTTTCTTTTCATTCAGAAGTTTGGAAACACTCTGTTTGTAAAGTCTGCACGTGGATAACTTGACCACTTAGAGGCCTTCGTTGGAAACGGGTTTTTTTCATGTACGGCTAGACAGAAGAATTCCCAGTAACTTCCTTGTGTTGTGTGCATTCAACTCACAGAGTTGAACGTTCCCTTAGACAGAGCAGATTTGAAACACTCTATTTGTGCAATTTGCAAGTGTAGATTTCAACCGCTTTAAGGTCAATGGCAGAAAAGGAAATATCTTCGTTTCAAAACTAGACAGAATCATTCTCAGAAACTGCTCTGCGATGTGTGCGTTCAACTCTCAGAGTTTAACTTTTCTTTTCATTCAGCAGTTTGGAAACACTCTGTTTGTAAAGTCTGCACGTGGATAATTTGTCCACTTAGAGGCCTTCGTTGGAAACGGGTTTTTTTCATGTAAGGCTAGACAGAAGAATTCTCAGTAACTTCCTTGTGTTGTGTGTATTCAACTCACAGAGTTGAACGATCCTTTACACAGAGCAGACTTGTAACACTCTTTTTGTGGAATTTGCAAGTGGAGATTTCAGCTGCTTTGAAGTCAAAGGTAGAAAAGGAAATATCTTCCTATAAAAACTAGACAGAATGATTGTCAGAAACTCCTTTGTGATGTGTGCGTTCAACTCACAGAGTTTAACCTTTCTTTTCATAGAGCAGTTAGGAAACACTCTGTTTGTAAAGTCTGCAAGTGGATATTCAGACTTCTTTGAAGCCTTCGTTGGAAGCGGGATTTCTTCATATTCTGCTAGAAAGAAGAATTCCCAGTAACTTCCCTTGTGTTGTGTGTGTTCAACTCACAGAGTTGAACTTTCATTTACACAGAGCAGATTTGAAACACTCTTTTTGTGGAATTTGCAAGTGGAGATTTCAAGCGCTTTGAGGCCGAAGGCAGAAAAGGAAATATCTTCGTTTCAAAACTAGACAGAATCATTCTCAGAAACTGCTCTGCGATGTGTGTGTTCAACTCTCAGAGTTTAACTTTTCTTTTCATTCAGCAGTTTGGAAACACTCTGTTTGTAAAGTCTGCACGTGGATATTTTGACCACTTAGAGGCCTTCGTTGGAAACGGGTTTTTTTCCTGTAAGGCTAGACAGTAGAATTCCCAGTAACTTCCTTGTGTTGTGTGCATTCAACTCACAGAGTTGAACGTTCCCTTAGACAGAGCAGATTTGAAACACTCTATTTGTGCAATTTGCAAGTGTAGTTTTCAAGCTCTTTAAGGTCAACGGCAGAAAAGGAAATATCTTGGTTTCAAAACTAGACAGAATCATTCCCACAAACTGCGTTGTGATGTGTTCGTTCAACTCACAGAGTTTAACCTTTCTTTTCATAGAGCAGTTAGGAAACAGTCTGTTTGTAAATTCTGTAAGTGGATATTCTGACATCCTTGTGGCCTTCGTTGGAAACGGGATTTCTTCATATTCTGCTAGACAGAAGAATTCTCAGTAACTTCCTTGTGTTGAGTGTATTCAACTCACAGAGTTGAACGATCCTTTACACAGAGCAGACTTGTAACACTCTTTTTGTGGAATTTGCAAGTGGAGATTTCAGCCGCTTTGAAGTCAAAGGTAGAAAAGGAAATATCTTCCTATAAAAACTAGACAGAATGATTCTCAGAAACTCCTTTGAGATGTGTGTGTTCAACTCACAGAGTTTAACCTTTCTTTTCATAGAGCAGTTAGGAATCACTCTGTTTGTAAAGTCTGCAGGTGGATATTCAGACCTCTTTGAGGCCTTCGTTGGAAACGGGTTTTTTTCATATAAGGCTAGAGAGAAGAATTCCCAGTAACTTCCTTGTGTTGGCTGTGTTCAACTCACAGAGTTGAACTTTCATTTACACAGAGCAGATTTGAAACACTCTTTTTGTGGAATTTGCAAATGGAGATTTCAAGCGCTTTGAGGCCAAAGGCAGAAAAGGAAATATCTTCGTATAAAAACTCGACAGAATCATTCTCAGAAACTGCTCTGCGATGTGTGCGTTCAACTCTCAGAGTTTAACTTTTCTTTTCATTCAGCAGTTTGGAAACACTCTGTTTGTAAAGTCTTCACGTGGATAATTTGACCACTTAGAGGCCTTCGTTGGAAACGGGTTTTTTTCATGTAAGGCTAGACAGAAGAATTCCCAGTAACTTCCTTGTGTTGTGTACATTCAACTCACAGAGTTGAACGTTCCCTTAGACAGAGCAGATTTGAAACACTCTTTTTGTGCAATTGGCAAGTGGAGATTTCAAGCGCTTTAAGGTCAATGGCAGAAAAGGAAATATCTTCGTTTCAAAACTAGACAGAATCATTCTCAGAAACTGCTCTGCGATGTGTGTGTTCAACTCTCAGAGTTTAACTTTTCTTTTCATTCAGCAGTTTGGAAACACTCTGTTTGTAAAGTCTGCACGTGGATAATTTGACCACTTAGAGGCCTTCATTGGAAACGGGTTTTTTTCATGTAAGGCTAGACAGAAGAATTCTCAGTAACTTCCTTGTGTTGTGTGTATTCAACTCACAGAGTTGACCGATCCTTTACACAGAGCAGACTTGTAACACTCTTTTTGTGGAATTTGCAAGTGGAGATTTCAGCCGCTTTGAAGTCAATGGTAGAAAAGGAAATATCTTCCTATAAAAACTAGACAGAATGATTCTCAGAAACTCCTTTGTGATGTGTGCGTTCAACTCACAGAGTTTAACCTTCCTTTTCATAGAGCAGTTAGGAAACACTCTGCTTGTAAAGTCTGCAAGTGGATATTCAGACCTCTTTGAGGCCTTCCTTGGAAACGGGATTTTTTCATATAAGGCTAGACAGAAGAATTCCCAGTAACTTCCTTGTGTTGTGTGTATTCAACTCACAGAGTTGAACTTTCATTTACACAGAGCAGATTTGAAACACTCTTTTTGTGGTATTTGCAAGTGGAGATTTCAGCCGCTTTGATGTCAATGATAGAAAAGGAAATATCTTCGTATAAAAACTAGACAGAATCATTCTCAGAAACTGCTGCGTGATGTGTGCGTTCAACTCTCAGAGTTTAACTTTTCTTTTCATTCAGCGGTTTGGAAACACTCTGTTTGTAAAGTCTGCACGTGGATATTTTGACCACTTAGAGGTCTTCGTTGGAAACGGGTTTTTTTTAATGTAAGGCTAGACAGAAGAATTCCCAGTAACTTCCTTGTGTTGTGTACATTCAACTCACAGAGTTGAACGTTCCCTTAGACAGAGCAGATTTGAAACACTCTTTTTGTGCAATTGGCAAATGGAGATTTCAAGCGCTTTAAGGTCAATGGCAGAAAAGGAAATATCTTCGTTTCAAAACTAGACAGAATCATTCCCACAAACTGCGTTGTGATGTGTTCGTTCAACTCACAGAGTTTAACCTTTCTGTTCATAGAGCAGTTAGGAAACACTCTGTTTGTAAAGTCTGCAAGTGGATATTCAGACCTCCTTGAGGCTTTCGTTGGAAACGGGATTTCTTCATATTCTGCTAGACAGAGAAGATTCTCAGAAACTTCCTTGTGTTGTGTGTTTTCAACTCACAGAGTTGAACGATCCTTTACACAGAGCAGACTTGAAACACTCCTTTTGTGGAATTTGCAAGTGGAGATTTCAGCCGCTTTGAGGTCAATGGTAGAATAGGAAATATCTTCCTATAGAAACTAGACAGATGATTCTCAGAAACTCCTTTGAGATGTGTGCGTTCAACTCACAGAGTTTAACCTTTCTTTTCATAGAGCAGTTAGGAAACACTCTGTTTGTAAAGTCTGCAAGTTGATATTCAGACCTCCTTGAGGCCTTCGTTGGAAACGGGATTTCTTCATATTATGCTAGACAGAAGAATTCCCAGTAACTTCCCTTGTGTTGTGTGTGTTCAACTCACAGAGTTGAACTTTCATTTACACAGAGCAGATTTGAAACACTCTTTTTGTGGAATTTGCAAATGGAGATTTCAAGCGCTTTGCGGCCAAAGGCAGAAAAGGAAATATCTTCGTATAAAAACTAGACAGAATCATTCTCAGAAACTGCTCTGCGATGTGTGCGTTTAACTCTCAGAGTTTAACTTTTCTTTTCATTCAGCAGTTTGGAAACACTCTGTTTGTAAAGTCTGCACGTGGATAACTTGACCACTTAGAGGCCTTCGTTGGAAACGGGTTTTTTTCATGTAAGGCTAGACAGAAGAATTCCCAGTAACTTCCTTGTGTTGTGTGCATTCAACTCACAGAGTTGAACGTTCCCTTAGACAGAGCAGATTTGAAACACTCTATTTGTGCAATTTGCAAGTGTAGTTTTCAAGCTCTTTAAGGTCAACGGCAGAAAAGGAAATATCTTGGTTTCAAAACTAGACAGAATCATTCTCAGAAACTGCTCTGCGATGTGTGCTTTCAACTCTCAGAGTTTAACTTTTCTTTTCATTCAGCAGTTTGGAAACACTCTGTTTGTAAAGTCTGCACGTGGATAACTTGACCACTTAGAGGCCTTCGTTGGAAACGGGTTTTTTTCATGTAAGGCTAGACAGAAGAATTCTCAGTAACTTCCTTGTATTGTGTGTATTCAACTCACATAGTTGAACGATCCTTTACACAGAGCATACTTGAAACACTCTTCTTGTGGAATTTGCAAGTGGAGATTTCAGCCGCTTTGAGGTCAATGGTAGAATAGGAAATATCTTCCTATAGAAACTAGACAGAATGATTCTCAGAAACTCCTTTGTGATGTGTGCGTTCAACTCACAGAGTTTAACCTTTGTTTTCATAGAGCAGTTAGGAAACACTCTGTTTGTAAAGTCTGCAAGTGGATATTCAGACCTGCTTGAGGCCTTCTTTGGAAACGGGATTTCTTCTTATTATGCCAGACAGAAGAATTCCCAGTAACTTCCTTGTGTTGTGTGTGTTCAACTCACAGAGTTGAACTTTCATTTACACAGAGCAGATTTGAAACACTCTTTTTGTGGAATTTGCAAATGGAGATTTCAAGCGCTTTGAGGCCAAAGGCAGAAAACGAAATATCTTCGTATAAAAACTAGACAGAATCATTCTCAGAAACTGCTGCGTGATGTGTGCGTTCAACTCTCAGAGTTTAACTTTTCTTTTCATTCAGCGGTTTGGAAACATTCTGTTTGTAAAGTCTGCACGTGGATATTTTGACCACTTAGAGGCCTTCGTTGGAAACGGGTTTTTTTCATGTAAGGCTAGACAGAAGAATTCCCAGGAACTTCCTTGTGTTGTGTACATTCAACTCACAGAGTTGAACGTTCCCTTAGACAGAGCAGATTTGAAACACTCTTTTTGTGCAATTGGCAAATGGAGATTTCAAGCGCTTTAAGTTCAATGGCAGAAAAGGAAATATCTTCGTTTCAAAACTAGACAGAATCATTCCCACAAGCTGCGTTGTGATGTGTTCGTTCAACTCACAGAGTTTAACCTTTCTGTTCATAGAGCAGTTAGGAAACACTCTGTTTGTAAAGTCTGTAAGTGGATATTCTGACATCTTGTGGCCTTCGTTGGAAACGGGATTTCTTCATATTCTGCAAGACAGAAGAATTCTCAGTTACTTCCTTGTGTTGTGTGTATTCAACTCACAGAGTTGAACGATCCTTTACACAGAGCAGACTTGAAACACTCTTTTTATGGAATTTGCAAGTGGAGATTTCAGCCGCTTTGAGGTCAATGGTAGAAAAGGAAATATCTTCGTATAAAGACTAGACAGAATGATTCTCAGAAACTCCTTTGTGATGTGTGCGTTCAACTCACAGAGTTTCACTTTTCTTTTCATAGAGCAGTTAGGAATCACTCTGTTTGTAAAGTCTGCAAGTGGATATTCAGACCTCTTTGAGGCCTTCGGTGGAAACGGGATTTCTTCATATTATGCTAGACAGAAGAATTCTCAGTAACTTCCTTGTGTTGTGTGTATTCAACTCACAGAGTTGAAAGATCCTTTACAGAGAGCAGGCTTGAAACACTCTTTTTGTCGAATTTGCAAGTGGAGATTTCAGCCGCTTTGAGGTCAATGGTAGAATAGGAAATATCTTCTTATAGAAACTAGACAGAATCATTCTCAGAAACTGCTGCGTGATGTGTGCGTTCAACTCTCTGAGTTTAACTTTTCTTTTCATTCAGCGGTTTGGAAACACTCTGTTTGTAAAGTCTGCACGTGGATATTTTGACCACTTAGAGGCCTTCGTTGGAAACGGGTTTTTTTCATGTAAGGCTAGACAGAAGAATTCCCAGTAACTTCCTTGTGTTGTGTGCATTCAACTCACAGAGTTGAACGTTCCCTTAGACAGAGCAGATTTGAAACACTCTATTTGTGCAATTTGCAAGTGTAGATTTCAAGCGCTTTAAGGTCAACGGCAGAAAAGGAAATATGTTCGTTTCAAAACTAGACAGAATGATTCTCAGAAACTCCTTTGTGATGTGTGCGTTCAACTCACAGAGTTTCACCTTTCTTTTCATAGAGCCGTTAGGAAACACTCTGTTTGTAAAGTCTGCAAGTGGATATTCAGACCTCCTTGAGGCCTTCGTTGGAAGCGGGATTTCTTCATATTATGCTAGACAGAAGAATTCTCAGTAACTTCCTTGTGTTGTGTGTATTCAACTCACAGAGTTGAACGATCCTTTACACAGAGCATACTTGAAACACTCTTGTTGTGGAATTTGCAAGTGGAGATTTCAGCCGCTTTGAGGTCAATGGTAGAATAGGAAGTATCTTCCTATAGAAACTAGACAGAATGATTCTCAGAAACTCCTTTGTGATGTGTGCGTTCAACTCACAGAGTTTAACCTTTCTTTTCATAGAGCAGTTAGGAAACACTCTGTTTGTAATGTCTGCAAGTGGATATTCAGACCTCTTTGAGGCCTTCGTTGGAAACGGGATTTCTTCATATTATGCTAGACAGAAGAATTCCCAGTAACTTCCTTGTGTTGTGTGTGTTCAACTCACAGAGTTGAACTTTCATTTACCCAGAGCAGATTTGAAACACTCTTTTTGTGGAATTTGCAAGTGGAGATTTCAAGCGCTTTGAGGCCAAAGGCAGAAAAGGAAATATCTTCGTTTCAAAACTAGACAGCATCATTCTCAGAAACTGCTCTGCGATGTATGCGTTCAACTCTCAGAGTTTAACTTTTCTTTTCATTCAGCAGTTTGGAAACACTCTGTTTGTAAAGTCTGCACGTGGATATTTTGACCACTTAGAGGCCTTGGTTGGAAACGGGTTTTTTTCATGTAAGGCTAGACAGAAGAATTCCCAGTAACTTCCTTGTGTTGTGTACATTCAACTCACAGAGTTGAACGTTCCCTTAGACAGAGCAGATTTGAAACACTCTTTTTGTGCAATTGGCAAGTGGAGATTTCAAGCGCTTTAAGGTCAATGGCAGAAAAGGAAATATCTTCGTTTCAAAACTAGGCAGAATCATTCCCACAAACTGCGTTGTGATGTGTTCGTTCAACTCACAGAGTTTAACCTTTCCGTTCATAGAGCAGTTAGGAAACACACTGTTTGTAAAGTCTGTAAGTGGATATTCTGACATCTTGTGGCCTTCGTTGGAAACGGGATTTCTTCATATTCTGCTAGACAGAAGAATTCTCAGTAACTTCCTTGTGTTGTGTGTATTCAACTCACAGAGTTGCACGATCCTTTACACAGAGCAGACTTGAAACACTCTTTTTGTGGAATTTGCAAGTGGAGATTTCAGCCGCTTTGAGTTCAATGGTAGAATAGGAAATATCTTCCTATAGAAACTAGACAGAATGATTCTCAGAATCTCCTTTGTGATGTGTGCGTTCAACTCACAGAGTTCAACCTTTCTTTTAATAGAGTAGTTGGGAAACACTCTGTTTGTAAAGTCTGCAAGTGGATATTCAGACTTCTTTGAGGCCTTCGTTGGAAGCGGGATTTCTTCATATTCTGCTAGACAGAAGAATTCTCAGTAACCTCCTTGTGTTGTGTGTATTCAACTCACAGAGTTGAACGACCCTTTACACAGAGCAGACTTGAAACACTCTTTTTGTGGAATTTGCAAGTGGAGATTTCAGCCGCTTTGAGGTCAATGGTAGAATAGGAAATATCTTCCTATAGAAACTAGACAGAATCATTCTCAGAAACTGCTGCGTGATGTGTGCGTTCAACTCTCAGAGTTTAACTTTTCTTTTCATTCAGCGGTTTGGAAACCCTCTGTTTGTAAAGTCTGCACGTGGATATTTTGACCACTTAGAGGCCTTCGTTGGAAACGGGTTTTTTGTATGTAAGGCTAGACAGAAGAATTCCCAGTAACTTCCTTGTGTTGTGTGCATTCAACTCACAGAGTTGAACGTTCCCTTAGACAGAGCAGATTTGAAACACTCTATTTGTGCAATTTGCAAGTGTAGATTTCAAGCGCTTTAAGGTCAACGGCAGAAAAGGAAATATCTTCGTTTCAAAACTAGACAGAATGATTCTCAGTAAACTCCTTTGTGACGTGTGCGTTCAACTCACAGAGTTTAACCTTTCTGTTCATAGAGCAGTTAGGAAACACTCTGTTTGTAAAGTCTGCAAGTGGATATTCAGACCTCCTTGAGGCCTTCGTTGGAAACGGGATTTCTTCATATTCTGATAGACAGAAGAATTCTCAGTAACTTCCCTTGTGTTGTGTGTATTCAACTCACAGAGTTGAACGATCCTTTACACAGAGCAGACTTGAAACACTCTTTTTGTGGAATTTGCAAGTGGAGATTTCAGCCGCTTTGAGGTCAATGTTAGAATAGGAAATATCTTCCTATAGAAACTAGACAGAAATGATTCTCAGAAACTCCTTTGTGATGTGTGCGTTCAACTCACAGAGTTTAACCTTTCTTTTCATAGAGCAGTTAGGAAACACTCTGTTTGTAAAGTCTGCAAGTGGATATTCAGACCTGTTTGAGGCCTTCGTTGGAAACGGGTTTTTTTCATATAAGGCTAGACAGAAGAATTCTCAGGAACTTCCTTGTGTTGTGTGTATTCAACTGACAGAGTTGAACTTTCATTTAGAGAGAGCAGATTTGAAACACTGTTTTTGTGGAATTTGCAAGTGGAGATTCCAAGCGCTTTGGGGCCAAAGGCAGAAAAGGAAATATCTTCGTAGAAAAACTAGACAGAATCATTCTCAGAAACTGCTCTGCGATATGTGCGTTCAACTCTCAGAGTTTAACTTTTCTTTTCATTCAGCAGTTTGGAAACACTCTGTTTGTAAAGTCTGCACGTGGATATTTTGACCACTTAGAGGCCTTCGTTGGAAACGGGTTTCTTTCCTGTAAGGCTAGACAGAAGAATTCCCAGTAACTTCCTTGTGTTGTGTACATTCAACACACAGATTTGAACGTTCCCTTAGACAGAGCTGATTTGAAACACTCTTTTTGTGCAATTGGCAAGTGGAGATTTCAAGCGCTTTAAGGTCAATGGCAGAAAAGTAAATATCTTCGTTTCAAAACTAGACAGAATCATTCCCACAAACTGCGTTGTGATGTGTTCGTTCAACTCACAGAGTTTAACCTTTCTTTTCATAGAGCAGTTAGCAAACAGTCTGTTTGTCAATTCTGTAAGTGGATATTCTGACATCTTGTGGCCTTCGTTGGAAACGGGATTTCTTCATATTCTGCTAGACAGAAGAATTCTCAGTAACTTCCTTGTGTTGTGTGTATTCAACTCACAGAGTTGAATGATCCTTTACACAGAGCAGACTTGAAACACTCTTTTTGTGGAATTTGCAAGTGGAGATTTCAGCCGCTTTGAGGTCAATAGTAGAAAAGGAAATATCTTCGTAGAAAAACTAGACAGAATGATTCTCAGAAAATCCTTTGTGATGTGTGCGTTCAACTCACAGAGTTTAACTTTTCTTTTCATAGAGCAGTTTGGAAACACTCTGTTTGTAAAGTCTGCAAGTGGATATTCAGACCTCTTTCAGGCCTTCGTCGGAAACGGGATTTCTTCATATTATGCTAGACAGAAGAATTCCCAGTAACTTCCTTGTGTTGTGTGTGTTCAACTCACAGAGTTGAACTTTCATTTACACAGAGCAGATTTGAAACACTCTTTTTGTGGAATTTGCAAATGGAGATTTCAAGCGCTTTGAGGCCAAAAGCAGAAAAGGAAATATCTTCGTATAAAAACTAGACAGAATCATTCTCAGAAACTGCTGCGTGATGTGTGCGTTCAACTCTCAGAGTTTAACTATTCTTTTCATTCAGCGGTTTGGAAACACTCTGTTTGTAAAGTCTGCACGTGGAAATTTTGACCACTTAGAGGCCTTCGTTGGAAACGGGTTTTTTTCATGTAAGGCTAGACAGAAGAATTCCCAGTAACTTCCTTGTGTTGTGTACATTCAACTCACAGAGTTGAACGTTCCCTTAGACAGAGCAGATTTGAAATACTCTTTTTGTGCAATTGGCAAGTGGAGATTTCAAGCGCTTTAAGGTCAATGGCATAAAAGGAAATATCTTGGTTTCAAAACTAGACAGAATCATTCCCACAAACCGCGTTGTGATGTGTTCGTTCAACTCACAGAGTTTAACCTTTCTGTTCATAGAGCAGTTAGGAAACACTCTGTTTGTAAAGTCTGTAAGTGGATATTCTGACAACTTGTGGCCTTCGTTGGAAACGGGATTTCTTCATATTCTGCTAGACAGAAGAATTCTCAGTAACTTCCCTTGTGTTGTGTGTATTCAACTCACAGAGTTGAATGATCCTTTACACAGAACAGTCTTGAAACACTCTTTTTGTGGAATTTGCAAGTGGAGATTTCAGCCGCTTTGAGGTCAATGGTAGAATAGGATATATCTTCCTATAGAAACTAGACAGAATGATTCTCAGAAACTACTTTGTGATGTGTGCGTTCAACTCACAGAGTTTAACCTTTCTTTTCATAGAGCAGTTAGGAAACACTCTGTTTGTAAAGTCTGCAAGTGGATATTCAGACCTCTTTGAGGCCTTCGTTGGAAACGGGATTTCTTCATACTGTGCTAGACAGAAGAATTCTCAGTAACTTCCCTTGTGTTGTGTGTATTCAACTCACAGAGTTGAACGATCCTTTACACAGAGCGGACTTGAAACACACTTTTTGTGGAATTTGCAAGTGGAGATTTCAAGCGCTTTGAGGCCAAAGGCAGAAAAGGAAATATCTTCGTATAAAAACTAGACAGAATGATTCTCAGAAACTCCTTTGTAATGTGTGCGTTCAACTCACAGAGTTTAACCTTTCTTTTCATAGAGCAGTTAGGAAACACTCTGTTTGTAAAGTCTGCAAGTGGATATTCAGACCTCTTTGAGGCCTTCGTTGGAAACGGGTTATTTTCATATAAGGCTAGACAGAAGAATTCCCTTTAAATTGCTTGTGTTGTGTGTATTCAACTGACAGATTTGAACTTTCATTTAGACAGAGCAGATTTGAAACACTCTTTTTGTGCAATTTGCAAGTGGAAATTTCAAACGCTTTAAGGTCAATGGCAGAAAAGGAAATATCTTCGTTTCAAAACTAGACAGAATCATTCCCACAAACTGCGTTGTGCTGTGTTCGTTCAACTCACAGAGTTTAACCTTTCTTTTCATAGAGCAGTTAGGAAACACTCTGTTTGTAAACTCTGCAAGTGGATATTCACACCTCTTAGAGGCCTTCGTTGGAAACGGTATTTCTTCATATTATGCTAGATAGAAGAAATCTCAGTAACTTCCTTGTGTTGTGTTTATTCAACTCACAGAGTTGAACGATCCTTTACACAGAGCAGACTTGAAACACTCTTTTTGTGGAATTTGCAAGTGGAGATTTCAGCCGCTTTGAGGTCAATGGTAGAAAAGTAAATATCTTCGTATAAAGACTAGACAGAATGATTCTCAGAAACTTCTTGGTGATGTGTGCGTTCAACTCACAGAGTTTAACCTTTCTTTTCATAGAGCAGTTAGGAAACACTCTGTTTGTAAACTCTGCAAGTGGATATTCACACCTCTTTGAGGCCTTCGTTGGAAACGGGATTTCTTCATACTGTGCTACACAGAAGAATTCTCAGTAACTTCCTTGTGTAGTGTGTATTCAACTGACAGAGTTGAACTTTCATTTAGAGAGAGCAGATTTGAAACACTGTTTTTGTGGAATTTGCAAGTGGAGATTTCAAGCGCTTTGGGGCCAAAGGCAGAAAAGGAAATATCTTCGTATAAAAACTAGACAGAAACATTCTCAGAAACTGATGCGTGATGTGTGCGTTCAACTCTCAGAGTTTAACTTTTCTTTTCATTCAGCGGTTTGGAAACACTCTGTTTGTAAAGTCTGCACGTGGAAATTTTGACCACTTAGAGGCCTTCGTTGGAAACGGGTTTTTTTCATGTAAGGCTAGACAGAAGAATTCCCAGTAACTTCCTTGTGTTGTGTGCATTCAACTCACAGAGTTGAACGTTCCCTTAGACAGAGCAGATTTGAAACACTCTATTTGTGCAATTTGCAAGTGTAGTTTTCAAGCTCTTTAAGGTCAACGGCAGAAAAGGAAATATCTTCGTTTCAAAACTAGACAGAATCATTCCCACAAACTGCGTTGTGATGTGTACGTTCAACTCACAGAGTTTAACCTTTCCGTTCATAGAGCAGTTAGGAAACACTCTGTTTGTAAAGTCTGTAAGTGGATATTCTGACATCTTGTGGCCTTCGTTGGAAACGGGATTTCTTCATATTCTGCGAGACAGAAGAATTCTCAGTAACTTCCTTGTGTTGTGTGTATTCAACTCACAGAAGTTGAACGATCCTTTACACAGAGCAGACTTGTAACACTCTTTTTGTGGAATTTGCAAGTGGAGATTTCAGCCGCTTTGAAGTCAAAGGTAGAAAAGGAAATATCTTCCTATAAAAACTAGACAGAACGATTCTCAGAAACTCCTTTGTGATGTGTGCGTTCAACTCACAGAGTTTAACCTTTCTTTTCATAGAGCAGTTAGGAAACACTCTGTTTGTAAAGTCTGCAAGTGGATATTCAGACCTCTTTGAGGCCTTCGTTGGAAACGGGGATTTCTTCATATTCTGCTAGACAGAAGAATTCTCAGTAACTTCCTTGTGTTGTGTGTATTCAACTGACAGAGTTGAACTTTCATTTAGAGAGAGCAGATTTGAAACACTGTTTTTGTGGAATTTGCAAGTGGAGATTACAAGCGCTTTGGGGCCAAAGGCAGAAAAGGAAATATCTTCGTATAAAAACTAGACAGAATCATTCTCAGAAACTGCTGCGTGATGTGTGCGTTCAACTCTCAGAGTTTAACTTTTCTTTTCATTCAGCGGTTTGGAAAAACTCTGTTTGTAAAGACTGCACGTGGATATTTTGACCACTTAGAGGCCTTCGTTGGAAACGGGTTTTTTTTCATGTAAGGCTAGACAGAAGAATTCCCAGTAACTTCCTTGTGTTGTGTACATTCAACTCACGGAGTTGAACGTTCCCTTAGACAGAGCAGATTTGAAACACTCTTTTTGTGCAATTGGCAAATGGAGATTTCAAGCGCTTTAAGTTCAAAGGCAGAAAAGGAAATATCTTCGTTTCAAAACTAGACAGAATCATTCCCACAAACTGCGTTGTGATGTGTTCGTTCAACTCACAGAGTTTAACCTTTCTGTTCATAGAGCAGTTAGGAAACACTCTGTTTGTAAAGTCTGTAAGTGGATATTCTCACATCTTGTGGCCTTCGTTGGAAACGGGATTTCTTCATATTCTGCTAGACAGAAGAATTCTCAGTAACTTCCTTGTGTTGTGTGTATTCAACTCACAGAGTTGAACGATCCTTTACACAGAGCAGACTTGTAACACTCTTTTTGTGGAATTTGCAAGTGGAGATTTCAGCCGCTTTGAAGTCAAAGTAGAAAAGGAAATTTCTTCCTATAAAAACTAGACAGAATGATTCTCAGAAACTCCTTTGACATGTGTGCGTTCAACTCACAGAGTTTAACCTTTCTTTTCATAGAGCAGTTAGGAATCACTCTGTTTGTAAAGTCTGCAAGTGGATATTCAGACCTCTTTGAGGCCTTCGTTGGAAACGGGTTTTTTTCATATAAGGCTAGACAGAAGAATTCCCAGTAACTTCCTTGTGTTGTGTGTGTTCAACTCACAGAGTTGAACTTTCATTTACACAGAGCAGATTTGAAACACTCTTTTTGTGGAATTTGCAAGTGGAGATTTCAATTGCTTTGAGGCCAAAGGCAGAAAAGGAAATATCTTCGTATAAAAACTAGACAGAATCATTCTCAGAAACTGCTCTGTGATGTGTGCGTTCAACTCTCAGAGTTTAACTTTGCTTTTCATTCAGCAGTTTGGAAACACTCTGTTTGTAAAGTCTGCACGTGGATAATTTGACCACTTAGAGGCCTTCGTTGGAAACGGGTTTTTTTCATGTAAGGCTAGACAGAAGAATTCCCAGTAACTTCCTTGTGTTGTGTGCATTCAACTCACAGAGTTGAACGTTCCCTTAGACAGAGCAGATTTGAAACACTCTATTTGTGCAATTTCCAAGTGTAGATTTCAAGCGCTTTAAGGTCAACGGCAGAAAAGGAAATATCTTCGTTTCAAAACTAGAGAGAATCATTCCCACAAACTGCGTTGTGATGTGTTCGTTCAACTCACAGAGTTTAACCTTTCTGTTCATAGAGCAGTTAGGAAACACTCTGTTTGTACAGTCTGCCAGTGGATATTCAGACCTCCTTGAGGCCTTCGTTGGAAACGGGATTTCTTCATATTCTGCTAGACAGAAGAATTCTCAGTAACTTCCTTGTGTTGTGTGTATTCAACTCACAGAGTTGCACGATCCTTTACACAGAGCAGACTTGTAACACTCTTTTTGTGGAATTTGCAAGTGGAGATTTCAGCCGCTTTGAAGTCAAAGGTAGAAAAGGAAATATCTTCCTATAAAAACTAGACAGAATGATTCTCAGAAACTCCTTTGTGATGTGTGCGTTCAACTCACAGAGTTTAACCTTTCTTTTCATAGAGCAGTTAGGAAACACTCTGTTTGTACAGTCTGCAAGTGGATATTCAGACATCCTTGAGGCTTTCGTTGGAAACGGGATTTCTTCATATTCTGCTAGACAGAAGAATTCTCAGTAACTTCCTTGTGTTGTGTGTATTCAACTGTCAGAGTTGAACTTTCATTTAGAGAGAGCACATTTGAAACACTGTTTCTGTGGAATTTGCAAGTGGAGATTTCAAACGCTTTGGGGCCAAAGGCAGAAAAGGAAATATCTTCGTATAAAAACTAGACAGAATCATACTCAGAAACTGCTGCGTGATGTGTGCGTTCAACTCTCAGAGTTTAACTTTTCTTTTCATTCAACGGTTTGGAAACACTCTGTTTGTAAAGTCTGCACGTGGATATTTTGACCACTTAGAGGCCTTCGTTAGAAACGGGTTTTTTCATGTAAGGCTAGACAGAAGAATTCTCAGAAACTTCGTTGTGTTGTGTGTTTTCAACTCACAGAGTTCAACGATCCTTTACACAGAGTAGACTTGAAACACTCTTTTTGTGGAATTGGCAGGGTGGAGATTTCAGCCGCTTTGAGGTCAGTGGTAGAAAAGGAAATATCTTCGTATAAAAACTAGACAGAGTGATTCTCAGAAACTCCTTTGTGATGTCTGCGTTCAACTCACAGAGTTTAACCTTTCTTTTCATAGAGCAGTTAGGAAACACTGTGTTTGTAAAGTCTGCAAGTGGATATTCAGACCTCCTTGAGGCCTTCGTTGGAAACGGGATTTCTTCATATTCTGCTATACAGAAGAATTCTCAGAAACTTCCTTGTGTTGTGTGTATTCAACTCACAGAGTTGAACGATCCTTTACACAGAGCAGACTTGAAACACTCTTTTTGTGGAATTTGCAAGTGGAGATTTCAGCCGCTTTGAGGTCAATGGTAGAATAGGAAATATCTTCCTATAGAAACTAGACAGAATGATTCTCAGAAACTCCTTTGTGATGTGTGCGTTCAACTCACAGAGTTCAACCTTTCTTTTCATAGAGCAGTTGGGAAAAACTCTCTTTGTAAAGTCTGCAAGTGGATATTCAGACTTCTTTGAGGCCTTCGTTGGAAGCGGGGTTTCTTCATATTCTCCTAGACAGAAGAATTCCCAGTAACTTCCTTGTGTTGTGTGTGTTCAACTCACAGAGTTGAACTTTCATTTACACAGAGCAGATTTGAAACACTCTTTTTGTGGAATTTGCAAGTGGAGATTTCAAGCGCTTTGAGGCCAAAGGCAGAAAAGGAAATATCTTCGTTTGAAAACTAGACAGAATCATTCTCAGAAAATGCTCTGTGATGTGTGCGTTCAACTCTCAGAGTTTAACTTTTGTTTTCATTCAGCAGTTTGGAAACACTCTGTTTGTAAAGTCTGCACGTGGATATTTTGACCACTTAGAGGCCTTCGTTGGAAACGGGTTTTTTTCATGTAAGGGTAGACAGAAGAATTCCCAGTAACTTCCTTGTGTTGTGTACATTCAACTCACAGAGTTGAACGTTCCCTTAGACAGAGCAGATTTGAAACACTCTTTTTGTGCAATTGGCAAATGGAGATTTCAAGCGCTTTAAGGTCAATGGCAGAAAAGGAAATATCTTCGTTTCAAAACTAGACAGAATCATTCCCACAAACTGCGTTGTGATGTGTTCGTTCAACTCACAGAGTTTAACCTTTCTTTTCATAGAGCAGTTAGGAAACAGTCTGTTTGTAAATTCTGTAAGTGGATATTCTGACATCCTTGTGGCCTTCGTTGGAAACGGGATTTCTTCATATTCTGCTAGACAGAAGAATTCTCAGTAACTTCCTTGGGTTGTGTTTATTCAACTCACAGAGTTGAATGATCCTTTACACAGAGCAGACTTGAAACACTCTTTTTGTGGAATTTGCAAGTGGAGATTTCAGCCGCTTTGAGGTCAATGGTAGAAAAGTAAATATCTTCGTATAAAGACTAGACAGAATGATTGTCAGAAACTCCTTTGTGATGTGTGCGTTCAACTCACAGAGTTTAACCTTTCTTTTCATAGAGCAGTTAGGAAACACTCTGTTTGTAAAGTCTGCAAGTGGATATTCAGACCTCCTTGAGGCCTTCGTTGGAAACGGGATTTCTTCATATTCTGCTAGACAGAAGAATTCTCAGTAACTTCCTTGTGTTGTGTGTATTCAACTGACAGAGTTGAACTATCATTTAGAGAGAGCAGATTTGAAACACTGTTTTTGTGGAATTTGTAAGTGGAGATTTCAAGCGCTTTGGGGCCAAAGGCAGAAAAGGAAATATCTTCGTATAAAAACTAGACAGAATCATTCTCAGAAACTGCTGCGTGATGTGTGCGTTCAAGTCTCAGAGTTTAACTTTTCTTTTCATTCAGCGGTTTGGAAACACTCTGTTTGTAAAGTCTGCACGTGGAAATTTTGACCACTTAGAGGCCTTCGTTGGAAACGGGTTTTTTTCATGTAAGGCTAGACAGAAGAATTCCCAGTAACTTCCTTGTGTTGTGTGCATTCAACTCACAGAGTGGAACGTTCCCTTAGACAGGGCAGATTTGAAACACTCTATTTGTGCAATTTGCAAGTGTAGATTTCAAGCGCTTTAAGGTCAACGGCAGAAAAGGAAATATCTTCTTTTCAAAACTAGACAGAATCATTCCCACAAACTGCGTTGTGATGTGTTCGTTCATCTCACAGAGTTTAACCTTTCTTTTCGTAGAGCAGTTAGGAAACAGTCTGTTTGTAAATTCTGTAAGTGGATATTCTGACATCTTGTGGCCTTCGTTGGAAACGGGATTTCTTCATACTGTGCTAGACAGAAGAATTCTCAGTAACTTCCTTGTGTTCTGTGTATTCAACTCACAGAGTTGAACGATCCTTTACACAGAGCAGACTTGAAACACTCTTTTTGTGGAATTTGCAAGTGGAGATTTCAGCCGCTTTGAGGTCAATGGTAGAATAGGAAATATCTTTCTATAGAAACTAGACAGAGTGATTCTCAGAAACTCCTTTGTGATGTCTGCGTTCAACTCACAGAGTTTAACCTTTCTTTTCATAGAGCAGTTAGGAAACACTCTGTTTGTAAAGTCTGCAAGTGGATATTCAGACCTCCTTGAGGCCTTCGTTGGAAATGGGATTTCTTCATATTCTGCTATACAGAAGAATTCTCAGTAACTTCCTTGTGTTGTGTGTATTCAACTCACAGAGTTGAACGATCCTTTACACAGAGCATACTTGGAACACTCTTCTTGTGGAATTTGCAAGTGGAGATTTCAGCCGCTTTGAGATCAATGGTAGAATAGGAAATATCTTCGTATAAAAACTAGACAGAATCATTCTCAGAAACTGCTCTGTGATGTGTGCGTTCAACTCTCAAAGTTTAACTTTTCTTTTCATTCAGCAGTTTGGAAACACTCTGTTTGTAAAGTCTGCACGTGGATATTTTGACCACTTAGAGGCCTTCGTTGGAAACGGGTTTTTTTTCATGTAAGGCTAGACGGTAGAATTCCCAGTAACTTCCTTGTGTTGTGTGCATTCAACTCACAGAGTTGAACGTTCCCTTAGACAGAGCAGATTTGAAACACTCTATTTGTGCAATTTGCAAGTGTAGATATCAAGCGCTTTAAGGTCAATGGCAGAAAAGGAAATGTCTTAGTTTCAAAACTAGACAGAATGATTCTGAGAAAATCCTTTGTGATTTGTGCGTTCAACTCACAGAGTTTAACCTTTCTTTTCATAGAGCAGTTAGGAAACACTCTGTTTGTAAAGTCTGCAAGTGGATATTCAGACCTCCTTGAGGCCTTCGTTGGAAACGGGATTTCTTCATATTATGCTAGACAGAAGAATTCTCAGTAACTTCCTTGTGTTGTGTGTATTCAACTCACAGAGTTGAACGATCCTTTACACAGAGCAGACTTGAAACACTCTTTTTGTGGAATTTGCAAGTGGAGATTTCAGCCGCTTTGAGGTCAATGGTAGAATAGGAAATATCTTCCTATAGAAAGTAGACAGAATGATTCTCAGAAATTACTTTGTGATGTGTGCGTTCAACTCACAGAGTTTAACCTTTCTTTTCATAGAGCAGTTAGGAAACACTCTGTTTGTAAAGTCTGCAAGTGGATATTCAGACATCTTTGAGGCTTTCGTTGGAAACGGGATTTCTTCTTATTCTGCTATACAGAAGAATTCTCAGTAACTTCCTTTTGTTGTGTGTATTCAACTGACAGAGTTGAACTTTCATTTAGACAGAGCAGATTTGAAACATTCTTTTTGTGGAATTTGCAAGTGGAGATTTCAAGCGCTTTGAGGCCAAAGGCAGAAAAGGATATATCTTCGTATAAAAACTAGACAGAATCATTCTCAGAAACTGCTGCGTGATGTGTGCGTTCAACTCTCAGAGTTGAACTTTTCTTTTCATTCAGCGGTTTGGAAACACTCTGTTTGTAAAGTCTGCACGTGGAAATTTTGACCACTTAGAGGCCTTCGTTGGAAACGGGTTTTTTTCATGTAAGGCTAGACAGAAGAATTCCCAGTAACTTCCTTGTGTTGTGTACATTCAACTCACAGAGTTGAACGTTCCCTTAGACAGAGCAGATTTGAAACACTCTTTTTGTGCAATTGGCAAATGGAGATTTCAAGCGCTTTAAGGTCAATGGCAGAAAAGGAAATATCTTCGTTTCCAAACTAGACAGAATCATTCCCACAAACTGCGTTGTGATGTGTTCGTTCATCTCACAGAGTTTAACCTTTCTTTTCGTAGAGCAGTTAGGAAACAGTCTGTTTGTAAATTCTGTAAGTGGATATTCTGACATCTTGTGGCCTTCGTTGGAAACGGGATTTCTTCATATTCTGCTAGACAGAAGAATTCTCAGTAACTTCCTTGTGTTGTGTGTATTCAACTCACAGAGTTGAACGATCCTTTACACAGAGCAGACTTGAAACACTCTTTTTGTGGAATTTGCAAGTGGAGATTTCAGCCACTTTGAGGTCAATGTTAGAATAGGAAATATCTTCCTATAGAAACTAGACAGAATGATTCTCAGAAACTCCTTTGTGATGTGTGTGTTCAACTCACAGAGTTTAACCTTTCTTTTCATAGAGCAGTTAGTAAACACTCTGTTTATAAAGTCTGCAAGTGAATATTCAGACCCCTTTGAGGGCTTCGTTGGAAACGGGATTTCTTCATATTATGCTAGACAGAAGAATTCCCAGTAACTTCCTTGTGTTGTGTGTGTTCAACTCACAGAGTTGAACTTTCATTTACACAGAGCAGATTTGAAGCACTCTTTTTGTGGAATTTGCAAGTGGAGATTTCAAGCGCTTTGAGGCCAAAGGCAGAAAAGGAAATATCTTCGTTTCAAAACTAGACAGAATCATTCTCAGAAACTGCTCTGCGATGTGTGCGTTCAACTCTCAGAAGTTTAACTTTTCTTTTCATTCAGCAGTTTGAAAACACTCTGTTTGTAAAGTCTGCACGTGGATAATTTGACTACTTAGAGGCCTTCGTTGGACACGGGTTTTTTTCATGTAAGGCTAGACAGAAGAATTCCCAGTAACTTCCTTGTGTTGCGTACATTCAGCTCACAGAGTTGAACGTTCCCTTAGACAGAGCAGATTTGAAACACTCTTTTTGTGCAATTGGCAAGTGGAGATTTCAAGCGCTTTAAGGTCAATGGCAGAAAAGGAAATATCTTCGTTTCAAAACTAGACAGAATCATTCCCACAAACTGCGTTGTGATGTGTTCGTTCAACTCACAGAGTTTAACCTTTCTTTTCATAGAGCAGTTAGGAAACAGTCTGTTTGTAAATTCTGTAAGTGGATATTCTGACATCTTGTGGCCTTCGTTGGAAACAGGATTTCTTCATATTCTGCTAGACAGAAGAATTCTCAGTAACTTCCTTGTGTTGTGTGTATTCAACTCAGAGAGTTGAACGATCCTTTACACAGAGCAGACTTGAAACACTCTTTTTGTGGAATTTGCAAGTGGAGATTTCAGCCGCTTTGAGGTCAATGGTAGAATAGGAAATATCTTCCTATAGAAACTAGACAGAATGATTCTCAGAAACTCCTTTGTGATGTGTGCGTTCAACTCACAGACTTTAACCTTTCTTTTCATAGAGCAGTTAGGAAACACTCTGTTTGTAAAGTCTGCAAGTGGATATTCAGACATCTTTGAGGCTTTCGTTGGAAACGGGTTTTCTTCATATTCTGCTATACAGAAGAATTCTCAGAAACTTCCTTGTGTTGTGTGTCTTCAACTCACAGAGTTGAACGATGCTTTACACAGAGCAGACTTGAAACACTCTATTTGTGGAATTTGCAAGTGGAGATTTCAGCCGCTTTGAGGTCAATGGTAGAATAGGAAATATCTTCTTATAGAAACTAGACAGAATCATTCTCAGAAACTGCTCTGTGATGTGTGCGTTCAACTCTCAGAGTTTAACTTTTCTTTTCATTCAGTAGTTTGGAAACACTCTGTTTGTAAATCTGCACGTGGATATTTTGACCACTTAGAGGCTTTCGTTGGAAACGGGTTTTTTTCATGTAAGGCTAGACAGAAGAATTCCCAGTAACTTCCTTGTGTTGTGTGCATTCAACTCACAGAGTTGAACGTTCCCTTAGACAGAGCAGATTTGAAACACTCTATTTGTGCAATTTGCAAGTGTAGATTTCAAGCGCTTTAAGGTCAACGGCAGAAAAGGAAATATCTTCGTTTCAAAACTAGATAGAATCATTCCCACAAACTGCGTTGCGATGTGTTCGTTCAACTCACAGAGTTTAACATTTCTTTTCATAGAGCACTTAGGAAACAGTCTGTTTGTAAATTCTGTAAGTGGATATTCTGACATCTTGTGGCCTTCGTTGGAAACAGGATTTCTTCATATTCTGCTAGACAGAAGAATTCTCAGTAACTTCTTTGTGTTGTGTGTATTCAACTCACAGAGTTGAACGATCCTTTACACAGAGCAGACTTGAAATACTCGTTTTGTGGAATTTGCAAGTGGAGATTTCAGCCACTTTGAGGTCAATGGTAGAAAAGGAAATATCTTCGTATAAATACTAGACAGAATGATTCTCAGAAACTCCTTTGTGATGTGTGCGTTCAACTCACAGAGTTTAACTTTTCTTTTCATAGAGCAGTTAGGAAACACTCTGTTTGTAAAGTCTGCAAGTGGATATTCAGAGCTCCTTTGAGGCCTTCGTTGGAAACGGGATTTCTTCATATTCTGCTAGACAGAATAATTCTCAGTAACTTCCTTGTGTTGTGTGTATTCAAGTCACAGAGTTGAACGATCCTTTACAGAGAGCAGACTTGAAACACTCTTTTTGTGGAATTTGCAATTGGAGATTTCAACCGCTTTGAGGTCAATAGTAGAAAAGGAAATATCTTCGTAGAAAAACTAGAAAGAATCATTCTCAGAAACTGCTCTGCGATGTGTGCGTTCAACTCTCAGAGTTTAACTTTTCTTTTCATTCAACAGTTTGGAAACACTCTGTTTGTAAAGTCTGCACGTGGATAATTTGACCACTTAGAGGCCTTCGTTGGAAACGGGTTTTTTTCCTGTAAGGCTAGACAGAAGAATTCCCAGTAACTTCCTTGTGTTGTGTACATTCAACTCACAGAGTTGAACGTTCCCTTAGACAGAGCAGATTTGAAACACTCTTTTTGTGCAATTGGCAAGTGGTGATTTCAGCCGCTTTGAGGTCAATGGTAGAAAAGGAAATATCTTCGTATAAAAACTAGACAGAATGATTCTCAGAAACTTCTTTGTGACGTGTGCGTTCAACTCACAGAGTTTAACCTTTCTTTTCATAGAGCAGTTAGGAAACACTCTGTTTGTAAAGTCTGCAAGTGGATATTCAGACCTCCTCGAGGCTTTCGTTGGAAACGGGATTTCTTCATATTGTGCTAGACAGAAGAATTCTCAGTAACTTCCTTGTGTTGTGTGTATTCAACTCACAGAGTTGAACGATCCTTTACACAGAGCCGACTTGAAACACTCTTTTTGTGGAATTTGCAAGTGGAGATTTCAGCCGCTTTGAGGTCAATGGTGGAAAAGGAAATATCTTCGTATAAAAACTAGACAGAATGATTCTCAGAAACTCCTTTGTGATGTGTGCGTTCAACTCACAGAGGTTAACCTTTCTTTTCATAGAGCAGTTAGGAAACACTCTGTTTGTAAAGTCTGCAAGTGGATATTCAGACCTCTTTGAGGCCTTCGTTGGAAAAGGGTTTTTTTCATATAAGGCTAGACAGAAGAATTCCCAGTAACTTCCTTGTGTTGTGTGTGTTCAACTCACAGAGTTGAACTTTCATTTACACAGAGCAGATTTGAAACACTCTTTTTGTGGAATTTGCAAGTGGAGATTTCAAGCGCTTTGAGGCCAAATGCAGAAAAGGAAATATCTTCATATAAAAACTAGACAGAATCATTCTCAGAAACTGCTCTGCGAATGTGTGCGTTCAACTCTCAGAGTTTAACTTTTCTTTTCATTCAGCAGTTTGGAAACACTCTGTTTGTAAAGTCTGCACGTGGATAATTTGACCACTTAGAGGCCTTCGTTGGAAACGGGTTTTTTTCATGTAAGGCTAGACAGAAGAATTCCCAGTAACTTTCCTTGTGTTGTGTACATTCAACTCACAGAGTTGAACGTTCCCTTAGACAGAGCAGATTTGAAACACTCTTTTTGTGCAATTGGCAAGTGGTGATTTCAGCCGCTTTGAGGTCAATGGTAGAAAAGGAAATATCTTCGTATAAAAACTAGACAGAATCATTCCCACAAACTGCGTTGTGATGTGTTCGTCCAACTCACAGAGTTTAACCTTTCTGTTCATAGAGCAGTTAGGAAACACTCTGTTTGTAAAGTCTGTAAGTGGATATTCTGATATCTTGTGGCCTTCGTTGGAAACGGGATTTCTTCATATTCTGCTAGACAGAATAATTCTCAGTAACTTCCTTGTGTTGTGTGTATTCTACTCACAGAGTTGAACGATCCTTTACACAGAGCAGACTTGAAACACTCTTTTTGTGGAATTTGCAAGTGGAGATTTCAGCCGCTTTGAGGTCAATGGTAGAATAGGAAATATCTTCCTATAGAAACTAGACCGAATGATTCTCAGAAACTCCTTTGTGATGTGTGCGTTCAACTCACAGAGTTTAACCTTTCTTTTCATTGAGCAGTTAGGAAACACTCTGTTTGTAAAGTCTGCAAGTGGATATTCAGACCTCCTTGAGGACTTCGTTGGAAACGGGATTTCTTCATATTATGCTAGACAGAAGAATTCCCAGTAACTTCCTTGTGTTGTGTGTGTTCAACTCACAGAGTTGAACTTTCATTTACACAGAGCAGATTTGAAACACTCTTTTTGTGTAATTTGCAAGTGGAGATTTCAAGCGCTTTGAGGCCAAAGGCAGAAAAGGAAATATCTTCGTTTCAAAACTAGACAGAATCATTCTCAGAAACTGCTCTGTGATGTGTGCGTTCAACTCTCAGAGTTTAACTTTTCTTTTCATTCAGCAGTTTGGAAACACTCTCTTTGTAAAGTCTGCACGTGGATATTTTGACCACTTGGAGGCCTTCGTTGGAAACGGGTTTTTTTCATGTAAGGCTAGACAGGAGAATTCTCAGTAACTTCCTTGTGTTGTGTACATTCAACTCACAGAGTTGAACGTTCCCTTAGACAGAGCAGATTTGAAACACTCTTTTTGTGCAATTGGCAAGTGGTGATTTCAGCCGCTTTGAGGTCAATGGTAGAAAAGGAAATATCTTCGTATAAAAACTAGACAGAATGATTCTCAGAAACTCCTTTGTGATGTGTGCGTTCAACTCACAGAGTTTAACATTTCTTTTCATAGAGCAGTTAGGAAAAACTCTGTTTGTAAGGTCTGCAAGTGGATATTCAGACATCTTTGAGGCTTTCGTTGGAAACGGGTTTTCTTCATATTATGCTAGACAGAAGAATTCTCAGAAACTTCCTTGTGTTGTGTGTTTTCAACTCACAGAGTTGAACGATGCTTTACACAGAGTAGACTTGAAACACTCTTTTTGTGGAATTTGCAAGTGGAGATTTCAGCCGCTTTGAGGTCAATGGTAGAATAGGAAATATCTTCCTATAGAAACTAGACAGAACGATTCTCAGAAACTCCTTTGTGATGTGTGCGTTCAACTCACAGAGTTTAACCTTTCTTTTCATAGAGCAATTAGGAAACACTCTGTTTGTAAAGTCTGCAAGTGGATATTCAGACCTCTTTGAGGCCTTCGTTGGAAACGGGATTTCTTCATATTCTGCTAGACAGAAGAATTCCCAGTAACTTTCTTGTGTTGTGTGTGTTCAACTCACAGAGTTGAACTTTCATTTACACAGAGCAGATTTGAAACACTCTTTTTGTGGAATTTGCAAATGGAGATTTCAAGCGCTTTGAGGCCAAAGGCAGAAAAGGAAATATCTTCGTATAAAAACTAGACAGAATGATTCTCAGAAACTCCTTTGTGATGTGTGCGTTCAACTCACCGAGTTTAACCTTTCTTTTCATAGAGCAGTTAGGAAACACTCTGTTTGTAAAGTCTGCAAGTGGATATTCAGACCTCTTTGAGGCCTTCGTTGGAAACGGCTATTTTTCATATAAGGCTAGACAGAAGAATTCCCAGTAACTTCCTTGTGTTGTGTACATTCAACTCACAGAGTTGAACGTTCCCTTAGACAGAGCAGATTTGAAACACTCTTTTTGTGCAATTGGCAAGTGGAGATTTCAAGCGCTTTGAGGTCAATGGCAGAAAAGGAAATATCTTCGTTTCAAAACTAGACAGAATCATTCCCACAAACTGCGTTGTGATGTGTTCGTTCAACTCACAGAGTTTAACCTTTCTGTTCATAGAGCAGTTAGGAAACACTCTGTTTGTAAAGTCTGTAAGTGGATACTCTGACATCTTGTGGCCTTCGTAGGAAACGGGATTTCTTCATATTCTGCTAGACAGAAGAATTGTCAGTAACTTCCTTGTGTTGTGTGTATTCAACTCACAGAGTTGAACGATCCTTTACAGAGAGCAGACTTGAAACACTCTTTTTGTGGAATTTGCAAGTGGAGATTTCAGCCGCTTTGAGGTCAATAGTAGAAAAGGAAATATCTTCACAGAAAAACTAGACAGAATGATTCTCAGAAACTTCTTTGTTATGTGAGCATTCAACTCACAGAGTTGAACCTATCTTTTGATTGAGCAGTTTTGAATCTCTCATTTTGCAGAATCTGCAAGGGGATATTTGGAGCCCTTTGCGGCCTATGGTGGAAAAGGAAATACCTTCAAATGAAAAGCACACAGAAGAATTCTCAGTAACTTCCTTGTGTTCTGTGTATTCAACTGACAGAGTTGTACTTTCGTTTAGAGAGAGCAGATTTGAAACACTGTTTTTGTGGAATTTGCAAGTGGAGATTTCAAGCGCTTTGGGGCCAAAGGCAGAAAAGGAAATATCTTCGTATAAAAACTAGACAGAATCATTCTCAGAAACTGCTCTGCGATGTGTGCGTTCAACTCTCAGAGTTTAATTTTTCTTTTCATTCAGCAGTTTGGAAACACTCTGTTTGTAAAGTCTGCACGTGGATAACTTGACCACTTAGAGGCCTTCGTTGGAAACGGGTTTTTTTCACGTAAGGCTAGACAGAAGAATTCCCAGTAACTTCATTGTGTTGTGTGCATTCAACTCACAGAGTTGAACGTTCCCTTAGACAGAGCAGATTTGAAACACTCTATTTATGCAATTTGCAAGTGTAGATTTCAAGCGCTTTAAGGTCAATGGCAGAAAAGGAAATATCTTCGTTTCAAAACTAGACAGAATGATTCTCAGAAACTCCTTTGTGATGTGTGCGTTCAACTCACAGAGTTTAACCTTTCTTTTCATAGAGCAGTTAGGAAACACTCTGTTTGTAAATTCTGTAAGTGGATATTCTGACATCTTGTGGCCTTCGTTGGAAACGGGATTTCTTCATATTCTGCTAGACAGAAGAATTCTCAGTAACTTCCTTGTGTTGTGTGTATTCAACTCACAGAGTTGAATGATCCTTTACACAGAACAGACTTGAAACACTCTTGTTGTGGAATTTGCAAGTGGAGAATTCAGCCGCTTTGAGGTCAACGGTAGAATAGGAAATATCTTCCTATAGAAACTAGACAGAATGATTATCAGAAACTCCTTTGTGATGTGTGCGTTCAACTCACAGAGTTTAACCTTTCTTTTCATAGAGCAGTTAGGAAACACTCTGTTTGTAAAGTCTGCAAGTGGATATTCAGACATCCTTGAGGCTTTCGTTGGAAACGGGATTTCTTCATATTCTGCTAGAAAGAAGAATTCTCAGTAACTTCCTTGTGTTGTGTGTATTCAACTCACAGAGTTGAACGATCCTTTACACAGAGCAGACTTGAAACACTCTTTTTGTGTAATTTGCAAGTGGAGATTTCAGCCGCTTTGAGGTCAATGGTAGAAAAGGAAATATCTTCGTATAAAAACTAGACAGAATGATTCTCAGAAACTCCTTTGTGATGTGTGCGTTCAACTCACAGAATTTAACCTTTCTTTTCATAGAGCAGTTAGGAAACACTCTGTTTGTAAAGTCTGCAAGTGGATATTCAGACCTCCTTGAGGCCTTCGTTGGAAACGGGATTTCTTCATATTATGCTAGACAGAAGAATTCCCAGTAACTTCCTTGTGTTGTGTGCATTCAACTCACAGAGTTGAACGTTCCCTTAGACAGAGCAGATTTGAAACACTCTATTTGTGCAATTTCCAAGTGTAGATTTCAAGCGCTTTAAGGTCAACGGCAGAAAAGGAAATATCTTCGTTTCAAAACTAGACAGAATCATTCCCACAAACAGCGTTGTGATGTGTTCGTTCAACTCACAGAGTTTAACCCTTTCTGTTCATAGAGCAGTTAGGAAACACTCTGTTTGTAAAGTCTGTAAGTGGATATTCTGACATCTTGTGGCCTTCGTTGGAAACGGGATTTCTTCATATTCTGCTAGACAGAAGAATTCTCAGTAACTTCCTTGTGTTGTGTGTATTCAACTCACAGAGTTGAACGATCCTTTACACAGAGCAGACTTGAAACACTCTTTTTGTGGAATTTGCAAGTGGAGATTTCAGCCGCTTTGAGGTCAACGGTAGAAAAGGAAATATCTTCGTATAAAAACTAGACAGAATGATTCTCAGAAACTCCTTTGTGATGTGTGTGTTCAACTCACAGATTTTAACCTTTCTTTTCATAGAGCAGTTAGGAAACACTCTGTTTGTAAAGTCTGCAAGTGGATATTCAGACCTCTTTGAGGTCTTCGTTGGAAACGGGTTTTTTTCATATAAGGCTAGACAGAAGAATTCCCAGTAACTTCCTTGTGTTGTGTGTGTTCAACTCACAGAGTTGAACTTTCATTTACACAGAGCAGATTTGAAACACTCTTTTTGTGGAATTTGCAAGTGGAGATTTCAAGCGTTTTGAGGCCAAAGGCAGAAAAGGAAATATCTTCGTTTCAAAACTAGACAGAATCATTCTCAGAAACTGCTCTGCGATGTGTGCGTTCAACTCTCAGAGTTTAACTTTTCTTTTCATTTAGCAGTTTGGAAACACTCTGTTTGTAAAGTCTGCACGTGGATATTTTGACCACTTAGAGGCCTTCGTTGGAAACGGGTTTTTTTCCTGTAAGGCTAGACAGAAGAATTCCCAGTAACTTCCTTGTGTTGTGTACATTCATCTCACAGAGTTGAACGTTCCCTTAGACAGAGCAGATTTGAAACACTCTTTTTGTGCAATTGGCAAGTGGAGATTTCAAGCGCTTTAAGGTCAATGGCAGAAAAGGAAATATCTTCGTTTCAAAACTAGACAGAATCATTCCCACAAACTGCGTTGTGATGTGTTCGTTCAACTCACAGAGTTTAACCTTTGTTTTAATAGAGGAGTTAGGAAACAGTCTGTTTGTAAATTCTGTAAGTGGATATTCTGACATCTTGTGGCCTTCGTTGGAAACGGGATTTCTTCATATTCTGCTAGACAGAAGAATTCTCAGAAACTTTCCTTGTGTTGTGTGTTTTCAACTCACAGAGTTGAACGATGCTTTACACAGAGTAGACTTGAAACACTCTTTTTGTGTAATTTGCAAGTGGAGATTTCAGCCGCTTTGAGGTCAATGGTAGAAAAGGAAATATCTTCGTATAAAAACTAGACAGAATGATTCTAAGAAACTCCTTTGTGATGTGTGCGTTCAACTCACAGAGTTTAACCTTTCTTTTCATAGAGCAGTTAGGAAACACTCTGTTTGTAAAGTCTGCAAGTGGATATTCAGACATCTTTGAGGCTTTCGTTGGAAACGGGATTTCTTCATATTCTGCTAGACAGAAGAATTCTCAGAAACTTCGTTGCGTTGTGTGTTTTCAACTCACAGAGTTCAACGATCCTTTACACAGAGTAGACTTGAAACACTCTTTTTGTGGAATTGGCAGGGTGGAGATTTCAGCCGCTTTGAGGTCAATGGTAGAAAAGGAAATATCTTCGTATAAAAACTAGACAGAATCATTCTCAGAAACTGCTGCGTGATGTGTGCGTTCAACTCTCAGAGTTTAACTTTTCTTTTCATTCAGCGGTTTGGAAACACTCTGTTTGTAAAGTCTGCATGTGGAAATTTTGACCACTTAGAGGCCTTCGTTGGAAACGGGTTTTTTTCATGTAAGGCTAGACAGAAGAATTCTCAGTAACTTCCTTGTGTTGTGTGTATTCAACTCACAGAGTTGAACGATCCTTTACACAGAGCAGACTTGAAACACTCTTTTTGTGGAATTTACAAGTGGAGATTTCAGCCGCTTTGAGGTCAATGGTAGAAAAGGAAATATCTTCGTATAAAGACTAGACAGAATGATTCTCAGAAACTCCTTTGTGATGTGTGCGTTCAACTCACAGAGTTTAACTTTTCTTTTCATAGAGCAGTTAGGAAACACTCTGTTTGTAAAGTCTGCAAGTGGATATTCAGACCTCTTTGACGCCTTCGTTGGAAACGGGATTTCTTCATATTATGCTAGACAGAAGAATTCTCAGTAACTTCCTTGTGTTGTGTGTATTCAACTCACAGGAGTTGAACGATCCTTTACACAGAGCAGACTTGAAACACTCTTTTTGTGGAATTTGCAAGTGGAGATTTCAGCCGCTTTGAGGTCAATGGTAGAAAAGGAAACTATCTTCATATAAAGACTAGACAGAATGATTCTCATAAACTCCTTTGTGATGTGTGCGTTCAACTCACAGAGTTTAACCTTTCTTTTCATAGAGCAGTTAGGAAACACTCTGTTTGTAAAGTCTGCAAGTGGATATTCAGACCCCTTTGAGGCCTTCGTTGGAAACGGGATTTCTTCATATTATGCTAGACAGAAGAATTCCCAGTAACTTCCTTGTGTTGTGTGTGTTCAACTCACAGAGTTGAACTTTCATTTACACAGAGCAGATTTGAAACACTCATTTTGTGGAATTTGCAAGTGGAGATTTCAAGCGCTTGTGAGGCCAAAGGCAGAAAAGGAAATATCTTCAGTATAAAAACTAGACAGAATCATTCTCAGAAACTGCTCTGCGATGTGTGCGTTCAACTCTCAGAGTTTAACTTTTCTTTTCATTCAACAGTTTGGAAACACTCTGTTTTTAAAGTCTGCACGTGGATAACTTGACCACTTAGAGGCCTTCGTTGGAAACGGGTTTTTTTCATGTAAGGCTAGACAGAAGAATTCCCAGTAACTTCCATGTGTTGTGTGCATTCAACTCACAGAGTTGAACGTTCCCTTAGACAGAGCAGATTTGAAACACTCTATTTGTGCAATTTGCAAGTGTAGATTTCAAGCGCTTTAAGATCAATGGCAGAAAAGGAGATATCTTCGTTTCAAAACTAGACAGAATCATTCCCACAAACTGCGTTGTGATGTGTTCGTTCAACTCACAGAGTTTAACCTTTCTTTTCATAGAGCAGTTAGGAAACAGTCTGTTTGTCAATTCTGTAAGTGGATATTGTGACATCTTGTGGCCTTCGTTGGAAACGGGATTTCTTCATATTCTCCTAGACAGAAGAATTCTCAGTAACTTCCTTGTGTTGTGTGTATTCAACTCACAGAGTTGAACGATCCTTTACAGAGAGCAGGCTTGAAACACTCTTTTTGTCGAATTTGCAAGTGGAGATTTCAGCCGCTTTGAGGTCAATGGTAGAATAGGAAATGTCTTCTTATAGAAACTAGACAGAATGATTCTCAGAAAATCTTTTCTGTGTGTGCGTTCAACTCACAGAGTTTAACTTTTCTTCTCATAGAGCAGTTAGGAAACACTCTGTTTGTAAAGTGTGCAAGTGGATATTCAGACCTCTTTGAGGCCTTCGTTGGAAACGGGATTTCTTCATATTATGCTAGACAGAAGAATTCTCAGTAACTTCCTTGTGTTGTGTGTATTCAACTGACAGAGTTGAACTTTCATTTAGAGAGAGCAGATTTGAAACACTGTTTTTGTGGAATTTGCAAGTGGAGATTTCAAGTGCTTTGGGGCCAAAGGCAGAAAACGAAATATCTTCGTATAAAAAGTAGACAGAATCATTCTCAGAAACTGCTCTGCGATGTGTGCGTTCAACTCTCAGAGTTTAACTTTTCTTATCATTCAGCAGTTTGGAAACACTCTGTTTGTAAAGTCTGCACGTGGATAATTTGACCACTTAGAGGCCTTCGTTGGAAACGGGTTTTTTTCCTGTAAGGCTAGACAGAAGAATTCCCAGTAACTTCCTTGTGTTGTGTACATTCAACTCACAGAGTTGAACGTTCCCTTAGACAGAGCAGATTTGAAACACTCTTTTTGTGCAATTGGCAAGTGGAGATTTCAAGCGCTTTAAGGTCAATGGCAGAAAAGGAAATATCTTCGTTTCAAAACTAGACAGAATCATTCCCACAAACTGCGTTGTGATGTGTTCGTTCATCTCACAGAGTTTAACCTTTCTTTTCGTAGAGCAGTTAGGAAACAGTCTGTTTGTAAATTCTGTAAGTGGATATTCTGACATCTTGTGGCCTTCGTGGGAAACGGGATTTCTTCATATTCTGCTAGACAGAAGAATTCTCAGAAACTTCCTTGTGTTGTGTGTATTCAACTCAAAGAGTTGAACGATCGTTTACACAGAGCAGACTTGAGACACTCTTTTTGTGGAATTTGTAAGTGGAGATTTCAGCCGCTTTGAGGTCAATGGTAGAAAAGGAAATATCTTCATATAAAAACTAGACAGAATGATTCTCAGAAACGTCCTTTGTGATGTGTGCGTTCAACTCACAGAGTTTAACCTTTCTTTTCATAGAGCAGTTAGGAAACACTCTGTGTGTAAAGTCTGCAAGTGGATATTCAGACCTCCTTGAGGCCTTCGTTGGAAACGGGATTTCTTCATATTCTGCTAGACAGAAGAATTGTCAGTAACTTCCTTGTGTTGTGTGTATTCACCTCACAGAGTTGAACGATCCTTTACACAGAGCAGACTTGAAACACTCTTTTTGTGGAATTTGCAAGTGGAGATTTCAGCCGCTTTGAGGTCAATGGTAGAAAAGGAAACTATGTTCGTATACAGACTAGACAGAATCATTCTCAGAAACTGCTGCGTGATGTGTGCGTTCAACTCACAGAGTGTAAGTTTTCTTTTCATTCAGCGGTTTGGAAACACTCTGTTTGTAAAGTCTGCACGTGGATATTTTGACCACTTAGAGGCCTTCGTTGGAAACGGGATTTTTTCATGTAAGGCTAGACAGAAGAATTCCCAGTAACTTCCTTGTGTTGTTTGCATTCAACTCACAGAGTTGAACGTTCCCTTAGACAGAGCAGATTTGAAACACTCTATTTGTGCAATTTGCAAGTGTAGATTTCAAGCGCTTTAAGGTCAATGGCAGAAAAGGAAATATCTTCGTTTCAAAACTAGACAGAATCATTCTCAGAAACTGCTCTGCGATGTGTGCGTTCAACTCTCAGAGTTTAACTTTTCTTTTCATTCAGCAGTTTGGAAACAGTCTGTTTGTAAAGTCTGCACATGGATAACTTGACCACTTAGAGGCCTTCGTTGGAAACGGGTTTTTTTCATGTAAGGCTAGACAGAAGAATTCTCAGTAACTTCCTTGTGTTGTGTGTATTCAACTCACAGAGTTGAACGATCCTTTACACAGAGCAGACTTGTAACACTCTTTTTGTGGAATTTGCAAGTGGAGATTTCAGCCACTTTGAAGTCAAAGGTAGAAAAGGAAATAACTTCCTATAAAAACTAGACAGAATGATTCTCAGAAAATCTTTTGTGATGTGTGCGTTCAACTCACAGAGTTTAACTTTTCTTCTCATAGAGCAGTTAGGAAACACTCTGTTTGTAAAGTCTGCAAGTGTATATTCAGACCTCTTTGAGGCCTTCGTTGGAAACGGGATTTCTTCATATTATGCTAGACAGAAGAATTCTCAGTAACTTCCTTGTGTTGTGTGTATTCAACTCACAGAGTTGAAGGATCCTTTACAGAGAGCAGGCTTGAAACACTCTTTTTGTCGAATTTGAAAGTGGAGATTTCAGCCGCTTTGAGGTCAATGGTAGAATAGGATATATCTTCTTATACAAACTAGACAGAATCATTCTCAGAAACTGCTCTGCGAAGTGTGCGTTCAACTCTCAGAGTTTAACTTATCTTTTCATTCAGCAGTTTGGAAACACTCTGTTTGTAAAGTCTGCACGTGGATAATTTGACCACTTAGAGGTCTTCGTTGGAAACGGGTTTTTTTCATGTAAGGCTAGACAGAAGAATTCCCAGTAATTTCCTTGTGTTGTGTACATTCAACTCACAGAGTTGAACGTTCCCTTAGACAGAGCAGACTTGTAACACTCTTTTTGTGGAATTTGCAAGTGGAGATTTCAGCCGCTTTAAAGTCAAAGGTAGAAAAGGAAATATCTTCCTATAAAAACTAGACAGAATCATTCCCACAAACTGCGTTGTGAAGTGTTCGTTCAACTCACAGAGTTTAACCTTTCTGTTCATAGAGCAGTTAGGAAACACTCTGTTTGTAAAGTCTGAAAGTGGATATTCTGACATCTTGTGGCCTTCGTTGGAAACGGGATTTCTGCATATTCTGCTAGACAGAAGACTTCTCAGTAACTTCCTTGTATTGTGTGTATTCAGCTCACAGAGTTGAACGATCCTTTACACAGAGCAGACCTGAAACACTCTTTTTGTGGAATTTGCAAGTGGAGATTTCAGCCGCTTTGAGGTCAATGGTAGAATAGGAAATATCTTCCTATAGAAACTAGACAGAATGATTCTCAGAAACTTCTTTGTGATGTGTGCGTTCAACTCACACAGTTTAACCTTTCTTTTCATAGAGCAGTTAGGAAACACTCTGTTTGTAAAGTCTGCAAGTGGATATTCAGACCTCCTTGAGGCCTTCGTTGGAAACGGGATTTCTTCATATTATGCTAGACAGAAGAATTCTCAGTAACTTCCTTGTGTTGTGTGTATTCAACTGACAGAGTTGAACTTTCATTTAGAGAGAGTAGATTTGTAACACTGTTTTTGTGGAATTTGCAAGTGGAGATTTCAAGCGCTTTGGGGCCAAAGGCAGAAAAGGAAATATCTTCGTATAAAAACTAGACAGAATCATTCTCAGAAACTGCTCTGCGATGTGTGCGTTCAACTCTCAGAGTTTAACTTTTCTTTTCATTCAGCAGTTTGGAAACACTCTGTTTGTAAAGTCTGCACGTGGATATTTTGACCACTTAGAGGCCTTCGTTGGAAACGGGTTTTTTTCCTGTAAGGCTAAAAAGAAGAATTCCCAGTAACTTCCTTGTGTTGTGTGCATTCAACTCACAGAGTTGAACGTTCCCTTAGACAGAGCAGATTTGAAACACTCTATTTGTGCAATTTGCAAGTGTAGATTTCAAGCGCTTTAAGGTCAACGGCAGAAAAGGAAATATCTTCGTTTCAAAACTAGACAGAATGATTCTCAGAAACTCCTTTGTGATGTGTACGTTCAACACACAGAGTTTAACTTTTCTTTTCATAGAGCAGTTAGGAAACACTCTGTTTGTAAAGTCTGCAAGTGGATATTCAGACCTCTTTGAGGCCTTCGTTGGAAACGGGATTTCTTCATATTATGCTAGACAGAAGAATTCTCAGTAACTTCCTTCTGTTGTGTGTATTCAACTCACAGAGTTGAACGATCCTTTACAGAGAGCAGACTTGAAACATTCTTTTTGTGGAATTTGCAAGTGGAGATTTCAGCCGCTTTGAGGTCAATTGTAGAAAAGGAAATATCTTCGTATAAAGACTAGACAGAATGATTCTCAGAAACTCCTTTGTGATGTGTGCGTTCAACTCACAGAGTTTAACCTTTCTTTTCATAGAGCAGTTAGGAAACACTCTGTAAAGTCTGCAAGTGGATATTCAGACCTCCTTGAGGCCTTCGTTGGAAACGGGATTTCTTCATATTCTGCTATACAGAAGAATTCCCAGTAACTTCCTTGTGTTGTGTGTGTTCAACTCACAGTGTTGAACTTTCATTTATACAGAGCAGATTGGAAACACTCTTTTTGTGGAATTTGCAAGTGGAGATTTCAAGCGCTTTGAGGCCAAAGGCAGAAAAGGAAATATCTTCGTATAAAAACTAGACAGAAATCATTCTCAGAAACTGCTGCGTGATGTGTGCGTTCAACTCTCAGAGTTTAACTTTTCTTTTCATTCAGCGGTTTGGAAACACTCTGTTTGTAAAGTCTGCATGTGGAAATTTTGACCACTTAGAGGCCTTCGTTGGAAACGGGTTTTTTTCATGTAAGGCTAGACAGAAGAATTCCCAGTAACTTCCTTGTGTTGTGTGCATTCAAGTCACAGAGTTGAACGTTCCCTTAGACAGAGCAGATTTGAAACACTCTATTTGTGCAATTTGCAAGTGTAGATTTCAAGCGCTTTAAGGTCAACGGCAGAAAAGGAAATATCTTCGTTTCAAAACTAGACAGAATCATTCCCACAAACCGCGTTGTGATGTGTTCGTTCAACTCACAGAGTTTAACCTTTCTGTTCATAGAGCAGTTAGGAAACACTCTGTTTGTAAAGTCTGCCAGTGGATATTCAGACCTCCTTGAGGCCTTCGTTGGAAACGGGATTTCTTCATATTCTGCTAGACAGAAGAATTCTCAGTAACTTCCTTGTGTTATGTGTATTCAACTCACAGAGTTGAACGATCCTTTACACAGAGCACACTTGAAACACTCTATTTGTAGAATTTGCAAGTGGAGATTTCAGCCGCTTTGAGGTCAATAGTAGAAAAGGAAATATCTTCGTAGAAAAACTAGACAGAATGATTCTCAGAAACTCCTTTGTGATGTGTGTGTTCAACTCACAGAGTTCAACCTTTCTTTTCATAGAGCAGTTAGTAAACACTCTGTTTATAAAGTCTGCAAGTGGATATTCAGACCCCTTTGAGGCCTTCGTTGGAAACGGGATTTCTTCATATTATGCTAGACAGAAGAATTCTCAGTAACTTCTTTGTGTTGTGTGTATTCAACTGACAGATTTGAACTTTCATTTAGAGAGAGCAGATTTGAAACACTGTTTTTGTGGAATTTGCAAGTGGAGATTTCAAGCGCTTTGGGGCCAAAGTCAGAAAAGGAAATATTCTTCGTATAAAAACTAGACAGAATCATTCTCAGAAACTGCTCTGCGATGTGTCTGTTCAAAGCTCAGAGTTTAACTTTTCTTTTCATTCAGCAGTTTGGAAACACTCTGTTTGTAAAATCTGCACGTGGATAACTTGACCACTTAGAGGCCTTCGTTGGAAACGGGTTTTTTTCATGTAAGGCTAGACAGAAGAATTCCCAGTAACTTCCTTCTGTTGTGTACATTCAACTCACAGAGTTGAACGTTCCCTTAGACAGAGCAGATTTGAAACACTCTTTTTGTGCAATTGGCAAATGGAGATTTCAAGCGCTTTAAGGTCAATGGCAGAAAAGGAAATATCTTCGTTTCAAAACTAGACAGAATGATTCTCAGAAACTTCTTTGTGATGTGTGCGTCCAACTCACAGAGTTTAACCTTTCTTTTCATAGAGCAGTTAGGAAACACTCTGTTTGTAAAGTCTGCAAGTGGATAATCAGACCTCTTTGAGGCCTTCGTTGGAAACGGGATTTCTTCATACTATGCTAGACAGAAGAATTCTCAGTAACTTCCTTGTGTTGTGTGTATTCAACTCACAGAGTTGAACGATCCTTTACACAGAGCAGACTTGTAACACTCTTTTTGTGGAATTTGCAAGTGGAGATTTCAGCCGCTTTGAAGTCAAAGTTAGAAAAGGAAATATCTTCCTATAAAAACTAGACAGAATGATTCTCAGAAACTCCTTTGTGATGGGTGCTTTCAACTCACAGAGTTTAACCTTTCTTTTCATAGAGCAGTTAGGAAACACTCTGTTTGTAAAGTCTGCAAGTGGATATTCAGACCTCTTAGAGGCCTTCGTTGGAAACGGGATTTCTTCATATTATGCTAGACAGAAGAATTCTCAGTAACTTCCCTTGTGTTGTGTGTATTCAACTGACAGAGTTGAACTTTCATTTAGAGAGAGTAGTTTTGAAACACTGTTTTTGTGGAATTTGCAAGTGGAGATTTCAAGCGCTTTGGGGCCAAAGGCAGAAAAGGAAATATCTTCGTATAAAAACTAGACAGAATCATTCTCAGAAACTGCTGCGTGATGTGTGCGTTCAACTCTCAGAGTTTAACTTTTCTTTTCATTCAGCGGTTTGGAAACACTCTGTTTGTAAAGTCTGCACGTGGAAATTTTGACCACTTAGAGGCCTTCGTTGGAAACGGGTTTTTTTCATGTAAGGCTAGACAGAAGAATTCCCAGTAACTTCCTTGTGTTGTGTGCATTCAACTCACAGAGTTGAACGTTCCCTTAGACAGAGCAGATTTGAAACACTCTATTTGTGCAATTTGCAAGTGTAGATTTCAAGCGCTTTAAGGTCAAAGGCAGAAAAGGAAATATCTTCGTTTCAAAACTAGACAGAATCATTCCCACAAACTGCGTTGTGATGTGTTCGTTCAACTCACAGAGTTTAACCTTTCTGTTCATAGAGCAGTTAGGAAACACTCTGTTTGTAAAGTCTGTAAGTGGATATTCTGACATCTTGTGGCCTTCGTTGGAAACGGGATTTCTTCATATTTCGCTAGACAGAAGAATTCTCAGTAACTTCCTTGTGTTGTGTGTATTCAACTCACAGAGTTGAACGATCCTTTACACTGAGCAGACTTGAAACATTCTTTTTGTGGAATTTGCAAGTGGAGATTTCAGCCGCTTTGAGGTCAATGGTAGAATAGGAAATATCTTCCTATAGAAACTAGACAGAACGATTCTCAGAAACTCCTTTGTGATGTGTGTGTTCAACTCACAGAGTTTAACCTTTCTTTTCATAGAGCAGTTAGGAAACACTCTGTTTGTAAAGTCTGCAAGTGGATATTCAGACCTCTTTGAGGCCTTCGTTGGAAACGGGATTTCTTCATATTCTGCTAGACAGAAGAATTCTCAGTAACTTCCTTGTGTTGTGTTTATTCAACTGACAGAGTTGAACTTTCATTTAGAGAGAGCAGATTTGAAACACTGTTTTTGTGGAATTTGCAAGTGGAGATTTCAAGCGCTTTGGGGCCAAAGGCAGAAAACGAAATATCTTCGTATAAAAACTAGACAGAATCATTCTCAGAAACTGCTGCGTGATGTGTGCGTTCAACTCTCAGAGTTTAACTTTTCTTTTCATTCAGCGGTTTGGAAACACTCTGTTTGTAAAGTCTGCACGTGGATATTTTGACCACTTAGAGGCCTTCGTTGGAAACGGGTTTTTTGCATGTAAGGCTAGACAGAAAGAATTCCCAGTAACTTCCTTGTGTTGTGTGCATTCAACTCACAGAGTTGAACGTTCCCTTAGACAGAGCAGATTTGAAACACTCTATTTGTGCAATTTGCAAGTGTAGATTTCAAGCGCTTTAAAGTCAATGGCAGAAAAGGAAATATCTTCGTTTCAAAACTAGACAGAATGATTCTCAGAAACTCCTTTGTGATGTGTGTGTTCAACTCACAGAGTTTAACTTTCCTTTTCATAGAGCAGTTAGGAAACACTCTGTTTGTAAAGTCTGCAAGTGGATATTCAGACCTCTTTGAGGCCTTCGTTGGAAACGGGATTTCTTCATATTATGCTAGACAGAAGAATTCTCAGTAACTTCCTTGTGTTGTGTGTATTCAACTCACAGAGTTGAACGATCCTTTACACAGAGCAGACTTGAAACAGTCTTTTTGTGGAATTTGCAAGTGGAGATTTCAGCCGCTTTGAGGTCAATGGTAGAAAAGGAAATCTCTTCGTATAAAGACTAGACAGAATGATTCTCAGAAACTCCTTTGTGATGTGTGCGTTCAACTCACAGAGTTTAACCTTTCTTTTCATAGAGCAGTTAGGAAACACTCTGTTTGTAAAGTCTGCAAGTGGATATTCAGACCTCCTTGAGGCCTTCTTTGGAAACGGGATTTCTTCTTATTCTGCTAGGCAGAAGATTTCCCAGTAACTTCCTTGTGTTGTGTGTGTTCAACTCACAGAGTTGAACTTTCATTTACACAGAGCAGATTTGGAACACTCTTTTTGTGGAATTTGCAAATGGAGATTTCAAGCGCTTTGAGGCCAAAGGCAGAAAAGGAAATATCTTCGTATAAAAACTAGACAGAATCATTCTCAGAAACTGCTGCGTGATGTGTGCGTTCAACTCTCAGAGTTTAACTTTTCTTTTCATTCAGCGCTTTGGAAACACTCTGTTTGTAAAGTCTGCACGTGGAAATTTTGACCACTTAGAGGCCTTCGGTTGGAAACGGGTTTTTTTCATGTAAGGCTAGACAGAAGAATTCCCAGTAACTTCCTTGTGTTGTGTGCATTCAACTCACAGAGTTGAACGTTCCCTTAGACAGAGCAGATTTGAAACACTCTATTTGTGCAATTTGCAAGTGTAGATTTCAAGCGCTTTAAGGTCAATGGCAGAAAAGGAAATATCTTCGTTTCAAAACTAGGCAGAATCATTCCCACAAACTGCGTTGTGATGTGTTTGTTCAACTCACAGAGTTTAACCTTTCTTTTCATAGAGCAGTTAGGAAACAGTCTGTTTGTAAATTCTGTAAGTGGATATTCTGACATCTTGTGGCCTTCGTTGGAAACGGGATTACTTCATATTCTGCTAGACAGAAGAATTCTCAGTAACTTCCTTGTGTTTTGTGTATTCAACTCACAGAGTTGAACGATCATTTACACAAAGCAGACTTGAAACACACTTTTTGTGGAATTTGCAAGTGGAGATTTAAGCCGCTTTGAGGTCAATGGTAGAATAGGAAATATCTTCCTATAGAAACTAGACAGAATGATTCTCAGAAACTCCTTTGTGATGTGTGCGTTCAACTCACAGAGTTCAACCTTTCTTTTCATAGAGCAGTTGGGAAACACTCTGTTTGTAAAGTCTGCAAGTGGATATTCAGACTTCTTTGAGGTCTTCGTTGGAAGCGGGATTTCTTCATATTCTGCTAGACAGAAGAATTCTCAGTAACTTCCTTGTGTTGTGTGTATTCAACTGACAGAGTTGAACTTTCATTTAGAGAGAGTAGATTTGAAACACTGTTTTTGTGGAATTTGCAAGTGGAGATTTCAAGCGCTTTGGGGCCAAAGGCAGAAAAGGAAATATCTTCATATAAAAACTAGACAGAATCATTCTCAGAAAACTGCTGCGTGATGTGTGCGTTCAACTCTCAGAGTTTAACTTTTCTTTTCATTCAGCGGTTTGGAAACACTCTGTTTGTAAAGTCTGCACGTGGAAATTTTGACCACTTAGAGGCCTTCGTTGGAAACGGGTTTTTTTCATGTAAGGCTAGACAGAAGATTTCCCAGTAAATTCCTTGTGTTGTGTACATTCAACTCACAGAGTTGAACGTTCCCTTAGACAGAGCAGATTTGAAACACTCTTTTTGTGCAATTGGCAAGTGGAGATTTCAAGCGCTTTAAGGTCAATGGCAGAAAAGGAAATATCTTCGTTTCAAAACTAGACAGAATCATTCCCACAAACTGCGTTGTGATGTTTTCGTTCAACTCACAGAGTTTAACCTTTCCGTTCATAGAGCAGTTAGGAAACACACTGTTTGTAAAGTCTGTAAGTGGATATTCTGACATCTTGTGGCCTTCGTTGGAAACGGGATTTCTTTATATTCTGCTAGACAGAAGAATTCTCAGAAACTTCCTTGTGTTGTGTGTTTTCAACTCACAGTGTTGAACGATCCTTTACACAGAGCAGACTTGAAACACTCTTTTTGTGGGATTTGCAAGTGGAGATTTCAGCCGCTTTGAGGTCTATGGTAGAAAAGGAAATATCTTCGTATAAAAACTAGACAGAATGATTCTCAGAAACTCCTTTGTAATGTGTGCGTTCAACTCACAGAGTTTAACGTTTCTTTTCATAGAGCAGTTAGGAAACACTCTGTTTGTAAAGTCTGCAAGTGGATATTCAGACCTCTTTGAGGCCTTCGTTGGAAACGGGTTTTTTTCATATAAGGCTAGACAGAAGAATTCTCAGTAACTTCCTTGTGTTGTGTGTATTCAGCTGACAGAGTTGAACTTTCATTTAGAGAGAGCAGATTTGAAACACTGTTTTTGTGTAATTTGCAATTGGAGATTTCAAGCGCTTTGGGGCCAAAGGCAGAAAAGGAAATATCTTCGTATAAAAACTAGACAGAATCATTCTCAGAAACTGCTGCGTGATGTGTGCGTTCAACTCTCAGAGTTTAACCTTTCTTTTCATTCAGCGGTTTGGAAACACTCTGTTTGTAAAGTCTGCACGTGGATATTTTGACCACTTAGAGGCCTTCGTTGGAAACGGGTTTTTTTCATGTAAGGCTAGACAGAAGAATTCCCAGTAACTTCCTTGTGTTGTGTACATTCAACTCACAGAGTTGAACTGTTCCCTTAGACAGAGCAGATTTGAAACACTCTTTTTGTGCAATTGGCAAATGGAGATTTCAAGCGCTTTAAGGTCAATGGCAGAAAAGGAAATATCTTCGTTTCAAAACTAGACAGAATCATTCTCAGAAACTGCTCTGCGATGTGTGCGTTGAACTCTCAGAGTTTAACTTTTCTTTTCATTCAGCAGTTTGGAAACACTCTGTTTGTGAAGTCTGCACGTGGATATTTTGACCATTTAGAGGCCTTCGTTGGAAACGGGTTTTTTTCCTGTAAGGCTAGACAGAAGAATTCCCAGTAACTTCCTTGTGTTGTGTACATTCAACTCACAGAGTTGAACGTTCCCTTAGACAGAGCAGACTTGTAACACTCTTTTTGTGGAATTTGCAAGTGGAGATTTCAGCCGCTTTCAAGTCAAAGGTAGAAAAGGAAATATCTTCCTATAAAAACTAGACAGAATGATTCTCAGAAACTCCTTTGAGATGTGTGCGCTCAACTCACAGAGTTTAACCTTTCGTTTCATAGAGCAGTTAGGAAACACTCTGTTTGTAAAGTCTGCAAGTGGATATTCAGACCTCTTTGAGGCCTTCGTTGGAAACGGGTTTTTTTCAAATAAGGCTAGACAGAAGAATTCTCAGTAACTTCCTTGTGTTGTGTGTATTCAACTGACAGAGTTGAACTTTCATTTAGAGAGAGCAGATTTGAAACACTGTTTTTGTGGAATTTGCAAATGGAGATTTCAAGCGCTTTGGGGCCAAAGGCAGAAAAGGAAATATCTTCGTATAAAAACTAGACAGAATCATTCTCAGAAACTGCTCTGCGATGTGTGCGTTCAACTCTCAGAGTTTAACTTTTCTTTTCATTCAGCAGTTTGGAAACACTCTGTTTGTAAAGTCTGCACGTGGATATTTTGACCACTTAGAGGCCTTCGTTGGAAACGGGTTATTTTCCTGTAAGGCTAGACAGAAGAATTCCCAGTAACTTCCTTGTGTTGTGTGCATTCAACTCACAGAGTTGAACGTTCCCTTAGACAGAGCAGATTTGAAACACTCTATTTGTGCAATTTGCAAGTGTAGATTTCAGGCGCTTTAAGGTCAACGGCAGAAAAGGAAATATCTTCGTTTCAAAACTAGACAGAATGATTCTCAGAAACTCCTGTGTGAAGTGTGTGTTCAACTCACAGAGTTTAACCTTTCTATTCATAGAGTAGTTAGGAAACACTCTGTTTGTAAAGTCTGCAAGTGGATATTTTGACCTCTTTGAGGCCTTCGTTGGAAACGGGTTTTTTTCATGTAAGGCTAGACAGAAGAATTCTCAGTAACTTTCCTTGTGTTGTGTGTATTCAACTCACAGAGTTGAACGATCCTTTACACAGAGCAGACTTGTAACACTCTTTTTGTGGAATTTGCAAGGGGAGATTTCAGCCGCTTTGAAGTCAAAGGTAGAAAAGGAAATATCTTCCTATAAAAACTAGACAGAATGATTCTCACAAACTCCTTTGTGATGTGTGCGTTCAACTCACAGAGTTTAACCTTTCTTTTCATAGAGCAGTTAGGAAACACTCTGTTTGTAAAGTCTGCAAGTGGATATTCAGACCTCCTTGAGGCCTTCGTTGGAAACGGGATTTCTTCATATTCTGCTAGACAGAAGAATTCCCAGTAACTTCCTTGTGTTGTGTGTGTTCAACTCACAGAGTTGAACTTTGATTTACACAGAGCAGATTTGAAACACTCTTTTTGTGGAATTTGCAAGTAGAGATTTCAAGCGCTTTGAGGCCAAAGGCAGAAAAGGAAATATCTTCGTATAAAAACTAGACAGAATCATTCTCAGAAACTGCTCTGCGATGTGTGCGTTCAACTCTCAGAGTTTAACTTTTCTTTTCATTCAGCAGTTTGGAAACACTCTGTTTGTAAAGTCTGCACGTGGATATTTTGACCACTTAGAGGCCTTCGTTGGAAACGGGTTTTTTTCCTGTAAGGCTAGATAGAAGAATTCCCAGTAACTTCCTTGTGTTGTGTACATTCAACTCACAGAGTTGAACGTTCCCTTAGACAGAGCAGATTTGAAACACTCTTTTTGTGCAATTAGCAAGTGGAGATTTCAAGCGCTTTAAGGTCAATGGCAGAAAAGGAAATATCTTACTTTCAAAACTAGACAGAATGATTCTCAGAAACTCCTTTGTGATGTGTGCGTTCAACTCAAAGAGTTTAACTTTTCTTTTCACAGAGCAGTTAGGAAACACTCTGTTTGTAAAGTCTGCAAGTGGATATTCAGACCTATTTGAGGCCTTCGTTGGAAACGGGATTTCTTCATATTATGCTAGACAGAAGAATTCTCAGTAACTTCCTTGTGTTGTGTGTATTCAAATCACAGAGTTGAACGATCCTTTACACAGAGCAGACTTGAAACATTCTTTTTGTGGAATTTGCAAGTGGAGATTTCAGCCGCTTTGAGGTCAATGGTAGAATAGGAAATATCTTCCTATAGAAACTAGACAGAATGATTCTCAGAAACTCCTTTGTGATGTGTGCGTTCAACTCACAGAGTTTAACCTTTCTTTTCATAGAGCAGTTAGGAAACAATCTGTTTGTAAAGTCTGCAAGTGGATATTCAGACCTCTTTGAGGCCTTCGTTGGAAACGGGTTTTTTTCATATAAGGCTAGACAGAAGAATTCCCAGTAACTTCCTTGTGTTGTGTGTGTTCAACTCACAGAGTTGAACTTTCATTTACACAGAGCAGATTTGAAACACTCTTTTTGTGGAATTTGCAAGTGGGGATTTCAAGCGCTTTGAGGCCAAAGGCAGAAAAGGAAATATCTTCGTATAAAAACTAGACAGAATCATTCTCAGAAACCGCTCTGTGATGTGTGCGTTCAACTCTCAGAGTTTAACTTTTCTTTTCATTTAGCAGTTTGGAAACTCTCGGGTTGTAAAGTCTGCACGTGGATATTTTGAACACTTAGAGGCCTTCGTTGGAAACGGGTTTTTTTCATGTAAGGCTAGACAGAAAAATTCCCAGTAACTTCCTTGTGTTGTGTGCATTCAACTCACAGAGATGAACGTTCCCTTCGACAGAGCAGATTTGAAACACTCTATTTGTGCAATTTGCCAGTGTAGATTTCAAGCGCTTTAAGGTCAATGGCAGAAAAGGAAATATCTTCGTTTCAAAACTAGACAGAACGATTCTCAGAAACTCCTTTGTGATGTGTGCGTTCAACTCACAGAGTTTAACCTTTCTTTTCATAGAACAGTTAGGAAACACTCTGTTTGTAAAGTCTGCAAGTGGATATTCAGACCTCTATGAGGCCTTCGTTGGAAACGGGATTTCTTCATATTCTGCTAGACAGAAGAATTCTCAGTAACTTCCTTGTGTTGTGTGTATTCAACTCACAGAGTTGAACGATCCTTTACACAGAGCAGACTTGAAACACTCTTTTTGTGGAATTTGCAAGTGGAGGTTTCAGCCGCTTTGAGGTCAATAGTAGAAAAGGAAATATCTTCGTAGAAAAACTAGACAGAATGATTCTCAGAAACTCCTTTGGGATGTGTGCGTTCAACTCACAGAGTTTAACCTTTCTGTTCATAGAGCAGTTAGGAAACACTCTGTTTGTAAAGTCTGCAAGTGGATATTCAGACCTCCTTGAGGCCTTCGGTGGAAACGGGATTTCTTCATATTCTGCTAGACAGAAGAATTCCCAGTAACTTCCTTGTGTTGTGTGTGTTCAACTCACAGAGTTGAACTTTCATTTACACAGAGCAGATTTGAAACACTCTTTTTGTGGAATATGCAAGTGGAGATTTCAAGCGCTTTGAGGCCAAAGGCAGAAAAGGAAATATCTTCGTTTCAAAACTAGACAGAATCATTCTCAGAAACTGCTCTGCGATGTGTGCGTTCAACTCTCAGAGTTTAACTTTTCTTTTCATTCAGCAGTTTGGAAACACTCTGTTTGTAAAGTCTGCACGTGGATAATTTGACCACTTAGAGGCCTTCGTTGGAAACGGTTTTTTTCATGTAAGGCTAGACAGAAGAATTCTCAGTAACTTCCTTGTGTTGTGTGTATTCAACTCACAGAGTTGAACGATCCTTTACACAGAGCAGACTTGTAACACTCTTTTTGTGGAATTTACAAGTGGAGATTTCAGCCGCTTTGAAGTCAAAGGTAGAAAAGGAAATATCTTCCTATAAAAACTAGACAGAATCATTCCCACAAACTGCGTTGTGATGTGTTCGTTCAACTCACAGAGTTTAACCTTTCTTTTCATAGAGCAGTTAGGAAACAGTCTGTTTGTCAATTCTGTAAGTGGATATTCTGACATCTTGTGGCCTTCGTTGGAAACAGGATTTCTTCATATTCTGCTAGACAGAAAGAATTCTCAGTAACTTCCTTGTGTTGTGTGTATTCAACTCACAGAGTTGAACGATCCTTTACACAGAGCAGACTTGAAACACTCTTTTTGTGGAATTTGCAAGTGGAGATTTCAGCCGCTTTGAGGTCAATAGTAGAAAAGGAAATATCTTCGTAGAAAAACTAGACAGATGATTCTCAGAAACTCCTTTGTGATGTGTGCGTTCAACTCACAGAGTTTAACCTTTCTTTTCATAGAGCAGTTAGGAAACACTCTGTTTGTAAACTCTGCAAGTGGATATTCAGACCTCTTTGAGGCCTTCGTTGGAAACGGGTTTTCTTCATATTATGCCTGACAGAAGAATTCCCAGTAACTTCCTTGTGTTGTGTGTGTTCAACTCACAGAGTTGAACTCTCATTTACACAGAGCAGATTTGAAACACTCTTTTTGTGGAATTTGCAAGTGGAGATTTCAAGCGCTTTGAGGCCAAAGACAGAAAAGGAAATATCTTCGTATAAAAACTAGACAGAATCATTCTCAGAAACTGCTCTGCGATGTGTGCGTTCAACTCTCAGAGTTTAACTTTTCTTTTCATTCAGCAGTTTGGAAACACTCTGTTTGTAAAGTCTGCACGTGGATATTTTGACCACTTAGAGGCCTTCGTTGGAAACGGGTTTTTTTCCTGTAAGGCTAGTCAGAAGATTTCCCAGTAACTTCCTTGTGTTGTGTACATTCAACTCACAGAGTTGAACGTTCCCTTAGACAGAGCAGATTTGAAACACTCTTTTTGTGCAATTGGCAAATGGAGATTTCAAGCGCTTTAAGGTCAATGGCAGAAAAGGAAATATCTTCGTTTCAAAACTAGACAGATTCATTCCCACAAACTGCGTTGTGATGTGTTCGTTCAACTCACAGAGTTTAACCTTTCTGTTCATAGAGCAGTTAGGAAACACTCTGTTTGTAAAGTCTGCCAGTGGATATTCAGACCTCCTTGAGGCCTTCGTTGGAAACGGGATTTCTTCATATTCTGCTAGAAAGAAGAATTCTCAGTAACTTCCTTGTGTTGTGTGTATTCAACTCACAGAATTGAACGATCCTTTACACAGAGCAGACTTGAAACATTCTTTTTGTGGTATTTGCAAGTGGAGATTTCAGCCGCTTTGAGGTCAATGGTAGAATAGGAAATATCTTCCTATAGAAACTAGACAGAATGATTCTCAGAAACTCCTTTGTGATGTGTGCGTTCAACTCACAGAGTTTAACCTTTCTTTTCATAGAGCAGTTAGGAAACACTCTGTTTGTAAACTCTGCAAGTGGATATTCAGACCTCTTTGAGGCCTTCGTTGGAAACGGGATTTCTTCATACTGTGCTAGACAGAAGAATTCTCAGTAACTTCCTTGTGTTGTGTGTATTCAACTCACAGAGTTGAACGATCCTTTACACAGAGCAGACTTGAAACACTCTTCTTGTGGAATTTGCAAGTGGAGATTTCAGCCGCGTTGAGGTCAATGGTAGAAAAGGAAATATCTTCGTATAAAAACTAGACAGAATCATTCTCAGAAACTGCTCTGTGATGTGTGCGTTCAACTCTCAGAGTTTAACTTTTCTTTTCATTCAGCAGTTTGGAAACACTCTGTTTGTAAAGTCTGCACGTGGATATTTTGACCACTTAGAGGCCTTCGTTGGAAACGGGTTTTTTCATGTAAGGCTAGACAGAAGAATTCCCAGTAACTTCCTTGTGTTGTGTACATTCAACTCACAGAGTTGAACGTTCCCTTAGACAGAGCAGATTTGAAACACTCTTTTTGTGCAATTGGAAAGTGGAGATTTCAAGCGCTTTAAGGTCAATGGCAGAAAAGGAAATATCTCCGTTTCAAAACTAGACAGAATCATTCCCACAAGCTGCGTTGTGATGTGTTCGTTCATCTCACAGAGTTTAACGTTTCTTTTCATAGAGCAGTTAGGAAACAGTCTGTTTGCAAATTCTATAAGTGGATATTCTGACATCTTGTGGCCTTCGTTGGAAACGGGATTTCTTCATATTCTGCTAGACAGAAGAATTCTCAGTAACTTCCTTGTGTTGTGTGTATTCAACTCACACAGTTGAACGATCCTTTACACAGAGCAGACTTGAAACACTCTTTTTGTGGAATTTGCAAGTGGAGATTTCAGCCGCTTTGAGGTCAACAGTAGAAAAGGAAATATCTTCGTAGAAAAACTAGACAGAATGATTCTCAGAAACTCCTTTGTGATGTGTGCGTTCAACTCACAGAGTTTAACCTTTCTTTTCATAGATCAGTTAGGAAACACTCTGTTTGTAAAGTCTGCAAGTGAATATTCAGACATCCTTGAGGCTTTCGTTGGAAACGGGATTTCTTCATATTCTGCTAGAAAGAAGAATTCCCAGTAACTTCCTTGTGTTGTGTGTGTTCAACTCACAGAGTTGAACTTTCATTTACACAGAGCAGATTTGAAACAGTCTTTTTGTGGAATTTGCAAATGGAGATTTCAAGCGCTTTGAGGTCAAAGGCAGAAAAGGAAATATCTTCGTATAAAAACTAGACAGAATCATTCTCAGAAACTGCTGCGTGATGTGTGCGTTCAACTCTCAGAGTTTAACTTTTCTTTTCATTCAGCGGTTTGGAAACACTCTGTTTGTAAAGTCTGCACGTGGATATTTTGTCCACTTAGAGGCCTTCGTTGGAAACGGGTTTTTTTCATGTAATTCTAGACAGAAGAATTCCCAGTAACTTCCTTGTGTTGTGTGCATTCAACTCACAGAGTTGAACGTTCCCTTAGACAGAGCAGATTTGAAACACTCTATTTGTGCAATTTGCAAGTGTAGTTTTCAAGCTCTTTAAGGTCAACGGCAGAAAAGGAAATATCTTCGTTTCAAAACTAGACAGAATCATTCCCACAAACTGCGTTGTGATGTGTTCGTTCAACTCACAGAGTTTAACCTTTCTGTTCATAGAGCAGTTAGGAAACACTCTGTTTGTAAAGTCTGCAAGTGGATATTCAGACCTCTTTGTGGCCTTCGTTGGAAACGGGATTTCTTCATATTATGCTAGACAGAAGAATTCTCAGTAACTTCCTTGTGTTGTGTGTATTCAACTCACAGAGTTGAACGATCCTTTACACAGAGCAGACTTGTAACACTCTTTTTGTGGAATTTGCAAGTGGAGATTTCAGCCGCTTTGAAGTCAAAGGTAGAAAAGGAAATATCTTCCTATAAAACTAGACAGAATGATTCTCAGAAACTCCTTTGTGATGTGTGCGTTCAACTCACACAGTTTAACCTTCCTTTTCATAGAGCAGTTAGGAAACACTCTGTTTGTAAAGTCTGCAAGTGGATATTCAGACCTCTTTGAGGCCTTCGTTGGAAACGGGTTTTTTTCATATAAGGCTAGACAGAAGAATTCTCCGTAACTTCCTTGTGTTGTGTGTATTCAACTGACAGAGTTGAACTTTCATTTAGAGAGATCAGATTTGAAACACTCTATTTGTGCAATTTGCAAGTGTAGATTTCAAGCGCATTAAGGTCAATGGCAGAAAAGGAAATATCTTCGATTCAAAACTAGACAGAATCATTCTCAGAAACTGCTCTGCGATGTGTGCGTTCAACTCTCAGGGTTTAACTTTTCTTTTCATTCAGCAGTTTGGAAACACTCTGTTTGTAAAGTCTGCACGTGGATATTTTGACCACTTAGAGGCCTTCGTTGGAAACGGGTTTTCTTCCTGTAAGGCTAGACAGAAGAATTCTCAGTAACTTCCTTGTGTTGTGTACATTCAACTCACAAGAGTTGAACGTTCCCTTAGACAGAGCAGATTTGAAACACTCTTTTTGTGCAATTGGCAAGTGGTGATTTCAGCCGCTTTGAGGTCAATGGTAGAAAAGGAAATATCTTCGTATAAAAACTAGACAGAATCATTCCCAGAAACTGCGTTGTGATGTGTTCGTTCAACTCACAGAGTTTAACCTTTCTTTTCATAGAGCAGTTAGGAAACAGTCTGTTTGTCAATTCTGTAAGTGGATATTCTGACATCTTGTGGCGTTCGTTGGAAACGGGATTTCTTCATATTCTGCTAGACAGAAGAATTCTCAGTAACTTCCTTGTGTTGTGTGTATTCAACTCACAGAGTTGAACGATCCTTTACACAGAGCAGACTTGAAACACTCTTTTTTTGGAATTTGCAAGTGGAGATTTCAGCCGCTTTGAGGTCAATGGTAGAAAAGGAAACTATCTTCATATAAAGACTAGACAGAATGATTCTCAGAAACTTCTTTGTGATGTGTGCGTTCAACTCACAGAGTTTAACCTTTCTTTTCATAGAGCAGTTAGGAAACACTCTGTTTGTAAAGTCTGCAAGTGGATATTCAGACCTCTTTGAGGCCTTCGTTGGAAACGGGATTTCTTCATACTATGCTAGACAGAAGAATTCTCAGTAACTTCCTTGTGTTGTGTGTATTCAACTCGCAGAGTTGAACGATCCTTTACACAGAGCAGACTTGTAACACTCTTTTTGTGGAATTTGCAAGTGGAGATTTCAGCCGCTTTGAAGTCAAAGGTAGAAAAGGAAATATCTTCCTATAAAAACTAGACAGAAATCATTCTCAGAAACTGCTGCGTGATGTGTGCGTTCAACTCTCAGAGTTTAACTTTTCTTTTCATTCAGCGGTTTGGAAACACTCTGTTTGTAAAGTCTGCACGTGGATATTTTGACCACTTAGAGGCCTTCCTTGGAAACGGGTTTTTTTCATGTAAGGCTAGACAGAAGAATTCCCAGTAACTTCCTTGTGTTGTGTGCATTCAACTCACAGAGTTGAACGTTCCCTTAGACAGAGCAGATTTGAAACACTCTATTTGTGCAATTTGCAAGTGTAGATTTCAAGCGCTTTAAGGTCAACGGCAGAAAAGGAAATATCTTCGTTTCAAAACTAGACAGAATGATTCTCAGAAACTCCTTTGTGATCTGTGCGTTCAACTCACAGAGTTTAACTTTTCTTTTCATAGAGCAGTTAGGAAACACTCTGTTTGTAAAGTCTGCAAGTGGATATTCAGAGCTCTTTGAGGCCTTCGTTGGAAACGGGATTTCTTCATATTCTGCTAGACAGAAGAATTCTCAGTAGCTTCCTTGTGTTGTGTGTATTCAACTCACAGAGTTGAACGATCCTTTACAGAGAGCAGACTTGAAACACTCTTTTTGTGGAATTTGCAAGTGGAGATTTCAGCCGCTTTGAGGTCAATGGTAGAATAGGAAATATCTTCCTATAGAAACTGGACAGAATGATTCTCAGAAACTCCTTTGTGATGTGGGCGTTCAACTCACAGAGTTTAACCTTTCTTTTCATAGAGCAGTTAGGAAACACTCTGTTTGTAAAGTCTGCACGTGGATATTTGGACTTCTTTGAGGCCTTCGTTGGAAACGGTTTTTTTTCATGTAAGGCTAGACAGAAGAATTCTCAGTAACTTTCCTTGTGTTGTGTGTATTCAACTGACAGAGTTGAACTTTCATTTAGAGAGAGCTGATTTGAAACACTGTTTTTGTGGAATTTGCAAGTGGAGATTTCAAGCGCTTTGGGGCCAAAGGCAGAAAAGGAAATATCTTTGTATAAAAACTAGACAGAAGCATTCTCAGAAACTGCTCTGCGATGTGTGCGTTCAACTCTCAGAGTTTAACTTTTCTTTTCATTCAGCAGTTTGGAAACACTCTGTTTGTAAAGTCTGCACGTGGATAATTTGACCACTTAGAGGCCTTCGTTGGAAACGGGTTTTTTTCATGTAAGGCTAGACAGAAGAATTCCCAGTAACTTCCTTGTGTTGTGTACATTCAACTCACAGAGTTGAACGTTCCCTTAGACAGAGCAGATTTGAAACACTCTTTTTGTGCAATTGGCAAGTGGAGATTTCAAGCGCTTTAAGGTCAATGGCAGAAAAGGAAATATCTTCGTTTCAAAACTAGACAGAATCATTCCCACAAACTGCGTTGTGATGTGTTCGTTCAACTCACAGAGTTTAACCTTTCTTTTCATAGAGCAGTTAGGAAACAGTCTGTTTGTCAATTCTGTAAGTGGATATTCAGACCTCTTTGAGGCCTTCGTTGGAAACGGGATTTCTTCATACTATGCTAGACAGAGGAATTCTCAGGAACTTCCTTGTGTTGTGTGTATTCAACTCACAGAGTTGAACGATCCTTTACACAGAGCAGACTTGAAACACTCTTTTGGTGGAATTTGCAAGTGGAGATTTCAGCCGCTTTGAGTTCAATGGTAGAATAGGAAATATCTTCCTATAGAAACTACACAGAATGATTCTCAGAAACTGCTTTGTGATGTGTGCGTTCAACTCACAGAGTTCAACCTTTCTTTTCATAGAGCAGTTGGGAAACACTCTGTTTGTAAAGTCTGCAAGTGGATATTCAGACTTCTTTGAGGCCTTCGTTGGAAGCGGGATTTCTTCATGTTCTGCTAGACAGAAGAATTCCCAGTAACTTCCTTGTGTTGTGTGTGTTCAACTCACAGAGTTGAACTTTCATTTACACAGAGCAGATTTGAAACACTCTTTTTGTGGAATTTGCAGGTGGAGATTTCAAGCGCTTTGAGGCCAAAGGCCGAAAAGGAAATATCTTCGTATAAAAACTAGACAGAATCATTCTCAGAAACTGCTCTGCGATGTGTGCGTTCAACTCTCAGAGTTTAACTTTGCTTTTCATTCAGCAGTTTGGAAACACTCTGTTTGTAAAGTCTGCACGTGGATAATTTGACCACTTAGAGGCCTTCGTTGGAAACGAGTTTTTTTCATGTAAGGTTAGACAGAAGAATTCTCAGTAACTTCCTTGTGTTGTGTACATTCAACTCACAAGAGTTGAACGTTCCCTTAGACAGAGCAGATTTGAAACACTCTTTTTGTGCAATTGGCAAGTGGTGATTTCAGCCGCTTTGAGGTCAATGGTAGAAAAGGAAATATCTTCGTATAAAAACTAGACAGAATGATTCTCAGAAACTCCTTTGTGATGTGTGCGTTCAACTCACAGAGTTCAACCTTTCTTTTCATAGAGCAGTTGGGAAACATTCTGTTTGTAAAGTCTGCAAGTGGATATTCAGACTTCTTTGAGGCCTTCGTTGGAAGCGGGATTTCTTCATATTCTGCTAGACAGAAGAATTCTCAGAAACTTCCTTGTGTTGTGTGTTTTCAACTCACAGAGTTGAACGATCCTTTACACAGAGCAGACTTGAAACACTCCTTTTGTGGAATTTGCAAGTGGAGATTTCAGCCGCTTTGAGGTCAATGGTAGAATAGGAAATATCTTCCTATAGAAACTAGACAGAATGATTCTCAGAAACTCCTTTGTGATGCGTGCGTTCAACTCACAGAGTTTAACTTTTCTTTTCATAGAGCAGTTAGGAAACACTCTGTTTGTAAAGGCTGCAAGTGGATATTCAGACCCCTTTGAGGCCTTCGTTGGAAACGGGATTTCTTCATATTATGCGAGACAGAAGAATTCTCAGTAACTTCCTTGTGTTGTGTGTATTCAACTCACAGAGTTAAACGATCCTTTACACAGAGCAGACTTGAAACACTCTTTTTGTGGAATTTGCAAGTGGAGATTTCAGCCGCTTTGAGGTCAATAGTAGAAAAGGAAATATCTTCGAAGAAAAACTAGACAGAATCATTCTCAGAAACTGCTCTGCGATGTGTGCGTTCAACTCTCAGAGTTTAACTTTTCTTTTCATTCAGCAGTTTGGAAACACTCTGTTTGTAAAGTCTGCACGTGGATATTTTGACCACTTAGAGGCCTTCGTTGGAAACGGGTTTCTTTCCTGTAAGGCTAGACAGAAGAATTCCCAGTAACTTCCTTGTGTTGTGCGCATTCAACTCACAGAGTTGAACGTTCCCTTAGACAGAGCAGATTTGAAACAGCCTATTTGTGCAATTTGCAAGTGTACATTTCAAGCACTTTAAGGTCAACGGCAGAAAAGGAAATATCTTCGTTTCAAAACTAGACAGAATGATTCTCAGAAACTCCTTTGTGATGTGTGCGTTCAACTCACAGAGTTTAACCTTTCTTTTCACAGAGCAGTTAGGAAACACTCTGTTTGTAAAGTCTGCAAGTAGATATTCAGACCTCTTTGAGGCCTTCGTTGGAAAAGGGATTTCTTCATATTATGCTAGACAGAAGAATTCTCAGAAACTTCCTTGTGTTGTATGTATTCAACTCACAGAGTTGAACGATCCTTTACACACAGCAGACTTGAAACACTCTTTTTGTGGAATTTGCAAGTGGAGATTTCAGCCGCTTTGTGTTCAATGGTAGAAAAGGAAATATCTTCGTATAAAAACTAGACAGAATGATTCTCAGAAACTCCTTTGTGATGTGTGCGTTCAACTCACAGAGTTTAACCTTTCTTTTCATAGAGCAGTTGGGAAACACTCTGTTTGTAATGTCTGCAAGTGGATATTCAGACATCCTTGAGGCTTTCGTTGGAAACGGGATTTCTTCATATTCTGCTAGAAAGAAGAATTCTCAGTAACTTCCTTGTGTTGTGTGTATTCAACTGACAGAGTTGAACTTTCATTTAGAGAGAGCAGATTTGAAACACTGTTTTTGTGGAATTTGCAAGTGGAGATTTCAAGCGCTTTGGGGCCAAAGGCCGAAAAGGAAATATCTTCGTATAAAAACTAGACAGAATCATTCTCAGAAACTGCTGCGTGATGTGTGCGTTCAACTCTCAGAGTTTAACTTTTCTTTTCATTCAGCGGTTTGGAAACACTCTGTTTGTAAAGTCTGCACGTGGATATTTTGACCACTTAGAGGCCTTCGTTGGAAACGGGTTTTTTTCATGTAAGGCTAGACAGAAGAATTCCCAGTAACTTCCTTGTGTTGTGTACATTCAACTCACAGAGTTGAACGTTCCCTTAGACAGAGCAGATTTGAAACACTCTTTTTGTGCAATTGGCAAGTGGAGATTTCAAGCGCTTTAAGGTCAATGGCAGAAAAGGAAATATCTTCGTTTCAAAACTAGAGAGAATGATTCTCATGAACTCCTTTGTGATGTGTGCGTTCAACTCACAGAGTTTAACCTTTGTTTTCATAGAGCAGTTAGGAAACACTCTGTTTGTAAAGTCTGCAAGTGGATATTCAGACCTCCTTGAGGCCTTCTTTGGAAAAGGGATTTCTTCATATTCTGCTAGACAGAAGAATTCTCAGTAACTTCCTTGTGTTGTGTGTATTCAACTCACAGAGTTGAATGATCCTTTACACAGAGCAGACTTGAAACACTCTTTTTGTGGAAATTGCAAGTGGAGATTTCAGCCGCTTTGAGGTCAATGGTAGAAAAGTAAATATCTTCGTATAAAGACTAGACAGAATGATTCTCAGAAACTCCTTTGTGATGTGTGCGTTCAACTCACAGAATTTAACATTTCTTTTCATAGAGCAGTTAGGAAACACTCTGTTTGTAAAGTCTGTAAGTGGATATTCAGACCTCTTTGAGGCCTTCGTTGGAAACGGGATTTCTTCGTATTCTGCTGGACAGAAGAATTCTCAGTAACTTCCCTTGTGTTGTGTGTATTCAACTGACAGAGTTGAACTTTCATTTAGAGAGAGCAGATTTGAAACACTGTTTTTGTGGAATTTGCAAGTGGAGATTTCAAGCGCTTCGGGGCCAAAGGCAGAAAAGGAAATATCTTCGTATAAAAACTAGACAGAATCATTCTCAGAAACTGCTGCGTGATGTGTGCGTTCAACTCTCAGAGTTTAACTTTTCTTTTCATTCAGCGGTTTGGAAACACTCTGTTTGTAAAGTCTGCACGTGGATATTTTGACCACTTAGAGGCCTTCTTTGGAAACGGGTTTTTTTCATATAAGGCTAGACAGAAGATTTCCCATTAAATTCCTTGTGTTGTGTACATTCAACTCACAGAGTTGAACGTTCCCTTAGACAGAGCAGATTTGAAACACTCTTTTTGTGCAATTGGCAAGTGGAGATTTCAAGCGCTTTAAGGTCAATGGCAGAAAAGGAAATATCTTCGTTTCAAAACTAGACAGAATCATTCCCACAAACTGCGTTGTGATGTGTTCGTTCAACTCACAGAGTTTAACCTTTCCGTTCATAGAGCGGTTAGGAAACACTCTGTTTGTAAAGTCTGTAAGTGGATATTCTGACATCTTCTGGCCTTCGTTGGAAACGGGATTTCTTCATATTCTGCTAGACAGAAGAATTCTCAAGTAACTTCCTTGTGTTGTGTGTATTCAACTCACAGAGTTGAACGATCCTTTACACAGAGCAGACTTGTAACACTCTTTTTGTGGAATTTGCAAGTGGAGATTTCAGCCGCTTTGAAGTCAAAGGTAGAAAAGGAAATATCTTCCTATAAAAACTAGACAGAATGATCCTCAGAAACTCCCTTGTGATGTGTGCGTTCAACTCACAGACTTTAAACTTTCTTTTCATAGAGCAGTTAGGAAACACTCTGTTTGTAAAGTCTGCAAGTGGATATTCAGACCTCCTTGAGGCCTTCGTTGGAAACGGGATTTCTTCATATTATGCTAGACAGAAGAATTCTCAGTAACTTCCTTGTGTTGTGTGTATTCAACTGACAGAGTTGAACTTTCATTTAGAGAGAGCAGATTTGAAACACTGTTTTTGTGGAATTTGCAAGTGGAGATTTCAAGCGCTTTGGGGCCAAAGGCAGAAAAGGAAATATCTTCGTATGAAAACTAGGCAGAATCATTCTCAGAAGCTGCTGCGTGATGTGTGCGTTCAACTCTCAGAGTTTAACTTTTCTTTTCATTCAGCGGTTTGGAAACACTCTGTTTGTGAAGTCTGCACGTGGATATTTTGACCACTTAGAGGCCTTCGTTGGAAACGGGTTTTTTGCATGTAAGGCTAGACAGAAGAATTCCCAGTAACTTCCTTGTGTTGTGTGCATTCAACTCACAGAGTTGAACGTTCCCTTAGACAGAGCAGATTTGAAACACTCTATTTGTGCAATTTGCAAGTGTAGATTTCAAGCGCTTTAAGGTCAATGGCAGAAAAGGAAATATCTTCGTTTGAAAAATAGACAGAATCATTCCCACAAACTGCGTTGTGATGTGTTCGTTCAACTCACAGAGTTTAACTTTTCTTTTCATAGAGCAGTTAGGAAACACTCTGTTTGTAAAGTCTGTAAGTGGATATTCAGACCTCTTTGAGGCCTTCGTTGGAAACGGGATTTATTCATATTCTGCTAGACAGAAGAATTCTCAGTAACTGCCTTGTGTTGTGTGTATTCAACTCACAGAGTTGAACGATCCTTTACACAGAGCAGACTTGAAACACTCTTTTTGTGGAATTTGCAAGGGGAGATTTCAGCCGCTTTGAGGTCAATGGTAGAATAGGAAATATCTTCCTATAGAAACTAGACAGAATGATTCTCAGAAACTCCTTTGTGATGTGTGCGTTCAACTCACAGAGTTTAACCTTTCTTTTCATAGAGCAGTTAGGAAACACTCTGTTTGTAAAGTCTGCAAGTGGATATTCAGACCTCTTTGAGGCCTTCGTTGGAAACGGGATTTCTTCATATAAAATCTAGACAGAAGAATTCCCAGTAACTTCCTTGTGTTGTGTGTGTTCAACTCACAGAGTTGAACTTTCATTTACACAGAGCAGATTTGAAACACTCTTTTTGTGGAATTCGCAAGTGGAGATTTCAAGCGCTTTGAGGCCAAAGGCAGAAAAGGAAATATCTTCGTTTCAAAACTAGACAGAATCATTCTCAGAAACTGCTGCGTGATGTGTGCGTTCAACTCTCAGAGTTTAACTTTTCTTTTCATTCAGCGGTTTTGAAACACTCTGTTTGTAAAGTCTGCACGTGGATATTTTGACCACTTAGAGGCCTTCGTTGGAAACGGGTTTTTTTCATGTAAGGCTAGACAGAAGAATTCCCAGTAACTTCCTTGTGTTGTGTGCATTCAACTCACAGAGTTGAACGTTTCCTTAGACAGAGCAGATTTGAAACAATCTATTTGTGCAATTTGCAAGTGTAGATTTCAAGCGCTTTAAGGTCAATGGCAGAAAAGGAAATATCTTCGTTTCAAAACTAGACAGAATCATTCCCACAAACTGCGTTGTGATGTGTGCGTTCAACTCAAAGAGTTTAACCTTTCTTTTCATAGAGCAGTTAGGAAACACTCTGATTGTAAAGTCTGCAAGTGGATATTCAGACCTCCTTGAGGCCTTCGTTGGAAACGGGATTTCTTCATATTCTGCTAGACAGAAGAATTCTCAGTAACTATCTTGTGTTGTGTGTATTCAACTCACAGAGTTCAACGATCCTTTACACAGAGCAGACTTGAAACACTCTTTTTGTGGAATTTGCAAGTGGAGATTTCAGCCGCTTTGAGGTCAATGGTAGAATAGGAAATATCTTCCCATAGAAACTAGACAGAATGATTCTCAGAAACTCCTTTGTGATGTGTGCGTTCAACTCACAGAGTTCAACCTTTGTTTTCCTAGAGCAGTTGGGAAACACTCTGTTTGTAAAGTCTGCAAGTGGATATTCAGACTTCTTTGAGGCCTTCGTTGGAAGCGGGATTTCTTCATGTTCTGCTGGACAGAAGAATTCCCACTAACTTCCTTGTGTTGTGTGTGTTCAACTCACAGAGTTGAACTTTCATTTACACAGAGCAGATTTGAAACACTCTTTTTGTGGAATTTGCAAGTGGAGATTTCAAGCGCTGTGAGGCCAAAGGCAGAAAAGGAAATATCTTCGTATAAAAACTAGACAGAATCATTCTCAGAAACTGCTCTGCGATGTGTGCGTTCAACTCTCAGAGTTTAACTTTTCTTTTCATTCAGCAGTTTGGAAACACTCTGTTTGTAAAGTCTGCACGTGGATATTTTGACCACTTAGAGGCCTTCGTTGGAAACGGGTTTTTTTCCTGTAAGGCATAGACAGTAGAATTCCCAGTAACTTCCTTGTGTTGTGTACATTCAACTCACAGAGTTGAACGTTCCCTTAGACAGAGCAGATTTGAAACACTCTTTGTGCAATTGGCAAGTGGAGATTTCAAGCGCTTTAAGGTCAATGGCAGAAAAGGAAATATCTTCGTTTCAAAACTAGACAGAATCATTCCCACAAACTGCGTTGTGATGTGTTCGTTCAACTCACAGCAGTTTAACCTTTCTGTTCATAGAGCAGTTAGGAAACACTCTGTTTGTAAAGTCTGTAAGTGGATATTCTGACATCTTGTGGCCTTCGTTGGAAACGGGATTTCTTCATTTTCTGCTAGACAGAAGAATTCTCAGTAACTGCCTTGTGTTGTGTGTATTCAACTCACAGAGTTGAACGATCCTTTACACAGAGCAGACTTGAAACAATCTTTTTGTGGAATTTGCAAGTGGAGATTTCAGCCACTTTGAGGTCAATGGTAGAATAGGAAATATCTTCCTATAGAAACTAGACAGAATGATTCTCAGAAACTCCTTTGTGATGTGTGTGTTCAACTCACAGAGTTTAACCTTTCTTTTCATAGAGCAGTTAGTAAACACTCCGTTTATAAAGTCTGCAAGTGGATATTCAGACCCCTTTGAGGCCTTCGTTGGAAACGGGATTTCTTCATATTATGCTAGACAGAAGAATTCCCAGTAACTTCCTTGTGTTGTGTGTGTTCAACTCACAGAGTTGAACTTTCATTTACACAGAGCAGATTTGAAACACTCTTTTTGTGGAATTTGCAGGTGGAGATTTCAAGCGCTTTGAGGCCAAAGGCAGAAAAGGAAATATCTTCGTATAAAAACTAGACAGAAATCATTCTCAGAAACTGCTCTGCGATGTGTGCGTTCAACTCTCAGAGTTTAACTTTTCTTTTCATTCAGCAGTTTGGAAACACTCTGTTTGTAAAGTCTGCACGTGGATAATTTGACCACTTAGAGGCCTTCGTTGGAAACGGGTTTTTTTCATGTAAGGCTAGACAGAAGAATTCCCAGTAACTTCCTTGTGTTGTGTACATTCAACTCACAGAGTTGAACGTTCCCTTAGACAGAGCAGATTTGAAACACTCTTTTTGTGCAATTGGCAAGTGGAGATTTCAAGCGCTTTAAGGTCAATGGCAGAAAAGGAAATATCTTCGTTTCAAAACTAGACAGAATGATTCTGAGAAACTCCTTTGTGATATGTGCGTTCAACTCACAGAGTTTAACCTTTCTTTTCATAGAGCAGTTAGGAAACACTCTGATTGTAAAGTCTGCAAGTGGATATTCAGACCTCCTTGAGGCCTTCGTTGGAAACGGGATTTCTTCCTATTATGCTAGACAGAAGAATTCTCAGTAACTTCCTTGTGTTGTGTGTATTCAACTCACAGAGTTGAATGATCCTTTACACAGAGCAGACTTGAAACACTCTTTTTGTGGAATTTGCAAGTGGAGATTTCAGCCGCTTTGAGTTCAATGGTAGAATAGGAAATATCTTCCTATAGAAACTAGACAGAATGATTCTCAGAAACTCCTTTGTGATGTGTGCGTTCAACTCACAGAGTTTAACCTTTCTTTTCATAGAGCAGTTAGGAAACACTCTGTGTGTAAAGTTTGCAAGTGGATATTCAGACCTCTTTGAGGCCTTCGTTGGAAACGGGTTTTTTTCATATAAGGTTAGACAGAAGAATTCTCAGTAACTTCCTTGTGTTGTGTGTATTCAACTCACAGAGTTGAATGATCCTTTACACAGAACAGACTTGAAACACTCTTTTTGTGGAATTTGCAAGTGCAGATTTCAGCCGCTTTGAGGTCAAGGGTAGAAAAGGAAATATCTTCGTACAAAAACTAGACAGAATCATTCTCAGAAACTGCTGCGTGATGTGTGCGTTCAACTCTCAGAGTTTAACTTTTCTTTTCATTCAGCGGTTTGGAAACACTCTGTTTGTAAAGTCTGCACGTGGAAATTTTGACCACTTAGAGGCCTTCGTTGGAAACGGGTTTTTTTCATGTAAGGCTAGACAGAAGAATTCCCAGTAACTTCCTTGTGTTGTGTGCATTCAACTCACAGAGTTGAACGTTCCCTTAGACAGAGAAGATTTGAAACACTCTATTTGTGCAATTTGCAAGTGTAGATTTCAAGCGCTTTAAGGTCAACGGCAGAAAAGGAAATATCTTCGTTTCAAAACTAGACAGAATCATTACCACAAACTGCGTTGTGATGTGTTCGTTCAACTCACAGAGTTTAACCTTTCTCTTCATAGAGCAGTTAGGAAACACTCTGTTTGTAAAGTCTGCAAGTGGATATTCAGACCTCCTTGAGGCCTTCGTTGGAAACGGGATTTCTTCATATTATGCTAGACAGAAGAATTCCTCAGTAACTTCCTTGTGTTGTGTGTATTCAACTCACAGAGTTGAATGATCCTTTACACAGAGCAGACTTGAAACACTCTTTTTGTGGAATTTGCAAGTGGAGATTTCAGCCGCTTTGAGGTCAATGGTAGAATAGGAAATAACTTCCTATAGAAACTAGACAGAATGATTCTCAGAAACTCCTTTGTGATGTGTGTGTTCAACTCACAGAGTTCAACCTTTCTTTTCATAGAGCAGTTGGGAAACACTCTGTTTGTAAAGTCTGCAAGTGGATATTCAGACCTCCTTGAGGCCTTCGTTGGAAACGGGATTTCTTCATATTATGCTAGACAGAAGAATTCTCAGTAACTTCCTTGTGTTGTGTGTATTCAACTGACAGAGTTGAACTTTCATTTGGAGAGAGCAGATTTGAAACACTGTTTTTGTGGAATTTGCAAGTGGAGATTTCAAGCGCTTTGGGGCCAAAGGCAGAAAAGGAAATATCTTCGTATAAAAACTAGACAGAATCATTCTCAGAAAATCCTCTGTGATGTGTGCTTTCAACTCTCAGAGTTTAACTTTTCTTTTCATTCAGCAGTTTGGAAACACTCTGTTTGTAAAGTCTGCACGTGGATATTTTGACCACTTAGAGGCCTTCGTTGGAAACGGGTTTTTTTCATGTAAGGGTAGACAGAAGAATTCCCAGTAACTTCCTTGTGTTGTGGGCATTCAACTCACAGAGTTGAACGTTCCCTTAGACAGAGCAGATTTGAAACACTCTATTTGTGTAATTTGCAAGTGTAGATTTCAAGCGCTTTAAGGTCAACGGCAGAAAAGGAAATATCTTCGTTTCAAAACTAGACAGAATCATTCCCACAAACGGCGTTGTGATGTGTTCGTTCAACTCACAGAGTTTAACCTTTCTGTTCATAGAGCAGTTAGGAAACACTCTGTTTGTAAAGTCTGTAAGTGGATATTCTGACATCTTGTGGCCTTCGTTGGAAACGGGATTTCTTCATATTCTGCTAGACAGAAGAATTCCCAGTAACTTCCTTGTGTTGTGTACATTCAACTCACAGAGTTGAACGTTCCCTTAGACAGAGCAGACTTGTAACACTCTTTTTGTGGAATTTGCAAGTGGAGATTTCAGCCGCTTTGAAGTCAAAGGTAGAAAAGGAAATATCTTCCTATAAAAACTAGACAGAATGATTCTCAGAAACTCCTTTGTGATGTGTGCGTTCAACTCACAGAGTTTAACTTTTCTTTTCATAGAGCCGTTAGGAAACACTCTGTTTGTAAAGTCTGCAAGTGGATATTCAGACCTCTTTGAGGCCTTCGTTGGAAACGGGATTTCTTCATTTTATGCTAGACAGAAGAATTCTCAGTAACTTCCTTGTGTTGTGTGTATTCAGCTGACAGAGTTGAACTTTCATTTAGAGAGAGCAGATTTGAAACACTGTTTTTGTGTAATTTGCAATTGGAGATTTCAAGCGCTTTGGGGCCAAACCCAGAAAAGGAAATATCTTCGTATAAAAACTAGACAGAATCATTCTCAGAAACTGCTCTGCGATGTGTGCTTTCAACTCTCAGAGTTTAACTTTTCTTTTCATTCAGCAGTTTGGAAACACTCTGTTTGTAACGTCTGCACGTGGATATTTTGACCACTTAGAGGCCTTCGTTGGAAACGGGTTTTTTTCCTGTAAGGCTAGACAGAAGAATTCCCAGTAACTTCCTTGTGTTGTGTACATTCAACTCACAGAGTTGAACGTTCCCTTAGACAGAGCAGATTTGAAACACTCTTTTTGTGCAATTGGCAAGTGGAGAATTCAAGCGCTTTAAGGTCAATGGCAGAAAAGGAAATATCTTCGTTTCAAAACTAGACAGAATGATTCTCAGAAACTCCTTTGTGATGTGTGCGTTCAACTCACAGAGTTTAACCTTTCTTTTCATAGAGCAGTTAGGAAACACTCTGTTTGTAAAGTCTGCAAGTGGATATTCAGACCTCCTTGAGGCCTTCGTTGGAAACGGGATTTCCTCATATTATGCTAGACAGAAGAATTCCCAGTAACTTCCTTGTGTTGTGTGTATTCAACTCACAGAGTTGAACGATCCTTTACACAGAGCAGACTTGAAACACTCTTTTTGTGGAATCTGCAAGTGGAGATTTCAGCCGCTTTGAGGTCAATGGTAGAATAGGAAATATCTTCCTATAGAAACTAGATAGAATGATTCTCAGAAACTCCTTTGTGATATGTGTGTTCAACTCACAGATTTTAACCTTTCTTTTCATAGAGCAGTTAGTAAACACTCTGTTTATAAAGTCTGCAAGTGGATATTCAGACCCCTTTGAGGCCTTCGTTGGAAACGGGATTTCTTCATATTCTGCTAGACAGAAGAATTCTCAGTAACTTTCCTTGTGTTGTGTGTATTCAACTGACAGAGTTGAACTTTCATTTAGAGAGAGCAGATTTGAAACACTGTTTTTGTGGAATTTGCCAGTGGAGATTTCAAGCGCATTGGGGCCAAAGGCAGAAAAGGAAATATCTTCGTATAAAAACTAGACAGAATCATTCTCAGAAACTGCTCTGCGATGTGTGCATTCAACTCTCAGAGTTTAATTTTTCTTTTCATTCAGCAGTTTGGAAACACTCTCTTTGTAAAGTCTGCACGTGGATATTTTGACCACTTAGAGGCCTTCGTTGGAAACGGGTTTTATTCCTGTAAGGCTAGACAGAAGAATTCCCAGTAACTTCCTTGTGTTGTGTACATTCAACTCACAGAGTTGAACGTTCCCTTAGACAGAGCAGATTTGAAACACTCTTTTTGTGCAATTGGCAAGTGGAGATTTCAAGCGCTTTAAGGTCAATGGCAGAAAAGGAAATATCTTCGTTTCAAAACCAGACAGAATCATTCCCAAAAACTGCGTTGTGATGTGTGCGTTCAACTAACAGAGTTTAACCTTTCTTTTCATAGAGCAGTTAGGAAACACTCTGTTTGTAAACTCTGCAAGTGGATATTCAGACCTCTTTGAGGCCTTCGTTGGAAACGGGATTTCTTCATACTGTGCTAGACAGAAGAATTCTCAGTAACTTCCTTGTGTTGTGTGTATTCAACTCACAGAGTTGAACGATCCTTTACACAGAGCAGACTTGTAACACTCTTTTTGTGGAATTTGCAAGTGGAGATTTCAGCCGCTTTGAAGTCAAAGGTAGAAAAGGAAATAACTTCCTATAAAAACTAGACAGAATGATTCTCAGAAACTCCTTTGTGATGTGTGCGTTCAACTCACAGAGTTTAACCTTTCTTTTCATAGAGCAGTTAGGAAACACTCTGTTTGTAAAGTCTGCAAGTGGATATTCAGACCTCCTTGAGGCTTTCGTTGGAAACGGGATTTCTTCATATTATGCTAGAAAGAAGAATTCTCAGTAACTTCCTTGTGTTGTGCGTATTCAACTGACAGAGTTGAACTTTCATTTAGAGAGAGCAGATTTGAAACACTCTTTTTGTGGAATTTGCAAGTGGAGATTTCAAGCGCTTTGGGGCCAAAGGCAGAAAAGGAAATATCTTCGTATAAAAACTAGACAGAATCATTCTCAGAAACTGCTGCGTGATGTGTGCGTTCAACTCTCAGAGTTTAACCTTTCTTTTCATTCAGCGGTTTGGAAACACTCTGTTTCTAAAGTCTGCACGTGGATATTTTGACCACTTAGAGGCCTTCGTTGGAAACGGGTTTTTTTCATGTAAGGCTAGACAGAAGAATTCCCAGTAACTTCCTTGTGTTGTGTGCATTCAACTCACAGAGTTGAACGTTCCCTTAGACAGAGCAGATTTGAAACACTCTATTTGTGCAATTTGCAAGTGTAGATTTCAAGCGCTTTAAGGTCAACGGCAGAAAAGGAAATATCTTCGTTTCAAAACTAGACAGAATGATTCTCAGAAACTCCTTTGTGATGTGTGCCTTCAAGTCACAGAGTTTAACCTTTCTTTTCATACAGCAGTTAGGAAACACTCTGTTTGTAAAGTCTGCAAGTGGATTTTCAGACCTCTTTGTGGCCTTCGTTGGAAACGGGATTTCTTCATATTCTGCTAGACAGAAGAATTCTCAGTAACTTCCTTGTGTTGTGTGTATTCAACTCACAGAGTTGAACGATCCCTTACACAGAGCAGACTTGAAACACTCTTGTTGTGGAATTTGCAAGTGGAGATTTCAGCCGCTTTGAGGTCAATGGTAGAAAAGGGAATATCTTCGTATAGAAACTAGACAGAATGATTCTCAGAAACTTCTTTGTGATGTGTGCGTTCAACTCACAGAGTTTAACCTTTCTTTTCATAGAGCAGTTAGGAAACACTCCGTTTGTAAACTCTGCAAGTGGATATTCAGACCTCTTTGAGGCCTTCATTGGAAACGGGATTTCTCCATACTATGCTAGACAGAAGAATTCTCAGTAACTTCCTTGTGTTGTGTGTATTCAGCTGACAGAGTTGAACTTTCATTTAGAGAGAGCAGATTTGAAACACTGTTTTTGTGTAATTTGCAATTGGAGATTTCAAGTGCTTTGGGGCCAAACGCAGAAAAGGAAATATCTTCGTATAAAAACTAGACAGAATCATTCTCAGAAACTGCTCTGCGATGTGTGCGTTCAACTCTCAGAGTTTAACTTTTCTTTTCATTCAGCAGTTTGGAAACACTCTGTTTTTAAAGTCTGCACGTGGATAATTTGACCACTTAGAGGCCTTCGTTGGAAACGGGTTTTTTTCATGTAAGGCTAGACAGAAGAATTCCCAGTAACTTCCTTGGGTTGTGTACATTCAACTCACAGAGTTGAACGTTTCCTTAGACAGAGCAGATTTGAAACACTCTTTTTGTGCAATTGGCAAGTGGTGATTTCAGCCGCTTTGAGGTCAATGGTAGAAAAGGAAATATCTTCGTATAAAAACTAGACAGAATGATTCTCAGAAACTCCTTTGTGATGTGTGCGTTCAACTCACAGAGTTTAACTTTTCTTTTCATAGAGCAGTTAGGAAACACTCTGTTTGTAAAGTCTGCAAGTGGATATTCAGACCTCCTTGAGGCCTTCGTTGGAAATGGGATTTCTTCATATTCTGCTAGACAGAAGAATTCTCACTAACTTCCTTGTGTTGTGTGTATTCAACTCACAGAGTAGAACGATCCTTTACACAGAGCAGACTTGAAACACTCTTTTTGTGGAATTTGCAAGTGGAGATTTCAGCCGCTTTGAGGTCAATGGTAGAAAAGGAAATATCTTCGTATAAAGACTAGACAGAATGATTCTCAGAAACTCCTTTGTGATGTGTGCGTTCAACTCACAGAGATTAACTTTTCTTTTCATAGAGCAGTTAGGAAACACTCTGTTTGTAAAGTCTGCAAGTGGATATTCAGACCTCTTTGTGGCCTTCGTTGGAAACGGGATTTCTTCATATTATGCTAGACAGAAGAATTCTCAGTAACTTCCTTGTGTTGTGTGTATTCAACTGACAGAGTTGAACTTTCATTTAGAGAGAGCAGATTTGAAACACTGTTTTTGTGGAATTTGCAAGTGGAGATTTCAAGCGCTTTGGGGTCAAAGGCAGAAAAGGAAATATCTTCGTATAAAAACTAGACAGAATCATTCTCAGAAACTGCTCTGCGATGTGTGCGTTCAACTCTCAGAGTTTAACTTTTCTTTTCATTCAGCAGTTTGGAAACACTCTGTTTGTAAAGTCTGCACGTGGATAATTTGACCACATAGAGGCCTTCGTTGGAAACGGGTTTTTTTCATGTAAGGCTAAACAGAAGCATTCCCAGTAACTTCCTTGTGTTGTGTGCATTCAACTCACAGAGATGAACGTTCCCTTAGACAGAGCAGATTTGAAACGCTCTATTTGTGCAATTTGCAAGTGTAGATTTCAAGCGCTTTAAGGTCAATGGCAGAAAAGGTAATATCTTCGTTTCAAAACTAGACAGAATGATTCTCAGAAACTTCTTTGTGATGTGTGCGTTCAACTCACAGAGTTTAACCTTTCTTTTCATAGAGCAGTTAGGAAACACTCTGTTTGTAAACTCTGCAAGTGGATATTCAGACCTCTTTGAGGCCTTCGTTGGAAACGGGATTTCTCCATACTTTGCTAGACAGAAGAATTCTCAGTAACTTCCTTGTGTTGTGTGTATTCAACTCACAGAGTTGAACGATCCTTTACACAGAGCGGACTTGAAACACTCGTTTTGTGGAATTTGCAAGTGGAGATTTCAGCCGCTTTGAGGTCAATGGTAGAAAAGGAAATATCTTCGTATAAAAACTAGACAGAATGATTCTCAGAAACTCCTTTGTGATGTGTGCTGTTCAACTCACAGAGTTTAACCTTTCTGTTCATAGAGCAGTTAGGAAACACTCTGTTTGTAAAGTCTGCAAGTGGATATTCAGACCTCCTTGAGGCCTTCGTTGGAAACGGGATTTCTTCATATTCTGCTAGACAGAAGAATTCCCAGTAACTTCCTTGTGTTGTGTGTGTTCAACTCACAGAGTTGAACTTTCATTTACACAGAGCAGATTTGAAACACTCTTTTTGTGGCATTTGCAAGTGGAGATTTCAAGGGCTTTGAGGCCAAAGGCAGAAAAGGAAATATCTTCGTTTCAAAACTAGACAGAATCATTCTCAGAAACTCCTTTGTGATGTGTGCGTTCAACTCACAGAGTTTAACCTTTCTTTTCATAGAGCAGTTAGGAAACACTCTGTTTGTAAAGTCTGCAAGTGGATATTCAGACCTCCTTGAGGCCTTCGTTGGAAACGGGATTTCTTCATATTCTGCTAGACAGAAGAATTCCCAGGAACTTCCTTGTGTTGTGTACATTCAACTCACAGAGTTGAACGTTCCCTTAGACAGAGCAGATTTGAAACACTCTTTTTGTGCAATTGGCAAGTGGTGATTTCAGCCGCTTTGAGGTCAATGGTAGAAAAGGGAATATCTTCGTATAAAAACTAGACAGAATCAATCCCACAAACTGCGTTGTGATGTGTTCGTTCAACTCACAGAGTTTAACCTTTTTGTTCATAGAGCAGTTAGGAAACACTCTGTTTGTAAAGTCTGTAAGTGGATATTCTGACATTTTGTGGCCTTGGTTGGAAATGGGATTTCTTCATATTCTCCTAGACAGAAGAATTCTCAGTAACTTCCTTGTGTTGTGTGTATTCAACTCACAGAGTTGAAAGATCCTTTACACAGAGCAGACTTGAAACACTCTTTTTGTGGAATTTGAAAGTGGAGATTTCAGCCGCTTTGAGGTCAATGGTAGAAAAGGAAATATCTTCGTATAGAAACTAGACAGAATGATTCTCAGAAACTCCTTTGTGATGTGTGCGTTCAACTCACAGAGTTTAACTTTTCTTTTCATAGAGCAGTTAGGAAACACTCTGTTTGTAAAGTCTGCAAGTGGATATTGAGACCTCTTTGAGGCCTTCGTTGGAAACGGGATTTCTTCATATTCTGCTAGACAGAAGAATTCCCAGTAACTTCCTTGTGTTGTGTGTGTTCAACTCACAGAGTTGAACTTTCATTTACACAGAGCAGATTTGAAACACTCTTTTTGTGGAATTTGCAAGTGGAGATTTCAAGGGCTTTGAGGCCAAAGGCAGAAAAGGAAATATCTTCGTTTCAAAACTAGACAGAATCATTCTCAGAAACTGCTCTGTGATGTGTGCGTACAACTCTCAGAGTTTAACTTTTCTTTTCATTCAGCAGTTTGGAAACACTCTGCAAAGTCTGCACGTAGATATTTTGACCACTTAGAGGCCTTCGTTGGAAACGGGTTTTTTTCATGTAAGGCTAGACAGAAGAATTCCCAGTAACTTCCTTGTGTTGTGTGCATTCAACTCACAGAGATGAACGTTCCCTTAGACAGAGCAGATTTGAAACACTCTATTTGTGTAATTTGCAAGTGTAGATTTCAAGCGCTTTAAGGTCAATGGCAGAAAAGGAAATATCTCCGTTTCAAAACTAGACAGAATGATTCTCAGAAACTCCTTTGTGATGTGTGTGTTCAACTCACAGAGTTTAACATTTCTTTTCATAGAGCAGTTAGGAAACGCTCTGTTTGTAAAGTCTGCAAGTGGATATTCAGACCTCGTTGAGACCTTCGTTGGAAACGGGATTTCTTCATATTCTGCTAGACAGAAGAATTCTCAGTAACTTCCTTGTGTTGTGTTTATTCAACTCACAGAGTTGAACGATCCTTTACACAGAGCAGACTTGAAACACTCTTTTTGTGGAATTTGCAAGTGGAGATTTCAGCCGCTTTGTGGTCAATGGTAGAAAAGGAAATATCTTCGTATAAAGACTAGACAGAATGATTCTCAAAACTCCTTTGTGATGTGTGCGTTCAACTCACAGAGTTTAACCTTTCTTTTCATAGAGCAGTTAGGAAACACTCTGTTTGTAAAGTCTGCAAGTGGATATTCAGACCTCTTTGAGGCCTTCGTTGGAAACGGGATTTCTTCATATTCTGCTAGACAGAAGAATTCCCAGTAACTTCCTTGTGTTGTGTGTGTTCAACTCACAGAGTTGAACTTTCATATACACAGAGCAGATTTGAAACACTCTTTTTGTGGAATTTGCAAGTGGAGATTTCAAGCGCTTTGAGGCCAAAGGCAGAAAAGGAAATATCTTCGTATAAAAACTAGACAGAATCATTCTCAGAAACTGCTCTGCGATGTGTGCGTTCAACTCTCAGAGTTTAACTTTTCTTTTCATTCAGCAGTTTGAAAACACTCTGTTTGTAAAGTCTGCACGTGGATATTTTGACCACTTAGAGGCCTTCGTTGGAAACGGGTTTTTTTGCCTGTAAGGCTAGACAGAAGAATTCCCAGTAACTTCCTTGTGTTGTGTGCATTCAACTCACAGAGTTGAACGTTCCCTTAGACAGAGCAGATTTGAAACACTCTATTTGTGCAATTTGCAAGTGTAGATTTCAAGCGCTTTAAGGTCAACGGCAGAAAAGGAAATATCTTCGTTTCAAAACTAGACAGAATGATTCTCAGAAACTCCTTTGTGATGTGTGCGTTCAACTCACAGAGTTTAACCTTTCTGTTCATAGAGCAGTTAGGAAACACTCTGTTTGTAAAGTCTGTAAGTGGATATTCTGACATCTTGTGGCCTTCGTTGGAAACGGGATTTCTTCATATTCTGCTAGACAGAAGAATTCTCAGAATCTTCCTTCTGTTGTGTGTATTCAACTCAGAGAGTTGAATGATCCTTTACACAGAGCACACTTGAAACACTCTTTTTGTGGAATTTGCAAGTGGAGATTTCAGCCGCTTTGAGGTCCATGGTAGAAAAGGAAATATCTTCGTATAAAAACTAGACAGAATGATTCTGAGAAACTCCTTTGTGATGTGTGCGTTCAACTCACAGAGTTTAACCTTTCTTTTCATAGAGCAGTTTGGAAACACTCCGTTTGTAAACTCTGCAAGTGGATATTCAGACCTCCTTGAGGCCTTCCTTGGAAACGGGATTTCTTCATATTATGCTAGACAGAAGAATTCCCAGTAACTTCCTTGTGTTGTGTGTGTTGAACTCACAGAGTTGAACTTTCATTTAGACAGAGCAGATTTGAAACACTCTTTTTGTGGAATTTGCAAATGGAGAATTCATGCACTTTGAGGCCAAAGGCAGAAAAGGAAATATCTTCGTATAAAAACTAGACAGAATCATTCTCAGAAACTGCTCTGCGATGTGTGCGTACAAATCTCAGAGTTTAACTTTTCTTTTCATTCAGCAGTTTGGAAACACTCTGTTTGTAAAGTCTGCACGTGGATAATTTGACAACTTAGAGACCTTCGTTGGAAACGGGTTTTTTTCATGTAAGGCTAGACAGAAGAATTCCCAGTAACTTCCTTGTGTTGTGTACATTCAACTCACAGAGTTGAACGTTCCCTTAGACAGAGCAGATTTGAAACACTCTTTTTGTGCAATTGGCAAGTGGAGATTTCAAGCGCTTTGAGGTCAATGACAGAAAAGGAAATATCTTCGTTTCAAAACTAGACAGAAATCATTCCCACAAACTGCGTTGTGATGTGTTCGTTCATCTCACAGAGTTTAACCTTTCTTTTCATAGAGCAGTTAGGAAACAGTCTGTTTGAAAATTCTGTAAGTGGATATTCTGACATCTTGTGGCCTTCGTTGGAAACGGGATTTCTTCATATTCTGCTAGACAGAGCAATTCTCAGTAAACTTCCTTGTGTTGTGTGTTTTCAACTCACAGAGTTCAACGATCCTTTACACAGAGCAGACTTGAAACACTCTTTTTGTGGAATTTGCAAGTGGAGATTTCAGCCGCTTTGAGGTCAATGGTAGAATAGGAAATATCTTCCTATAGAAACTAGACAGAATGATTCTCAGAAACTCCTTTGTGATGTGTGCGTTCAACTCACAGAGTTTAACCTTTCTTTTCATAGAGCAGTTAGGAAACACTCTGATTGTAAAGTCTGCAAGTGGATATTCAGAACTCCTTGAGGCCTTCGTTGGAAACGGAGATTTCTTCATATTATGCTAGACAGAAGAATTCTCAGTAACTTCCTTGTGTTGTGTGTATTCAACTCACAGAGTTGAACGATCCTTTACAGAGAGCAGACTTGAAACACTCTTTTTGTGGAATTTGCAAGTGGAGACTTCAGCCGCTTTGAGGTCAATGGTAGAAAAGGAAACTATCTACGTATAAAGACTAGACAGAATCATTCTCAGAAACTGCTCTGCGATGTGTGTGTTCAACTCACAGAGTTTCACCTTTCTTTTCATAGAGCAGATAGGAAACACTCTGTTTGTAAAGTCTGCAAGTCGATATTCAGACCTCTTTGAGGCCTTCGTTGGAAACGGGTTTTTTTCATATAAGGCTAGACAGAAGAATTCCCAGTAACTTCCTTGTGTTGTGTGCATTCAACTCACAGAGTTGAACGTTCCCTTAGACAGAGCAGATTTGAAACACTCTATTTGTGCAATTTGCAAGTGTAGATTTCAAGCGCTTTAAGGTCAATGGCAGAAAAGGAAATTTCTTCGTTTTAAAACTAGACAGAATCATTCCCAGAAACTGCGTTGTGATGTGTTCGTTCAACTCACAGAGTTTAACCTTTCTGTTCATAGAGCAGTTAGGAAACACTCTGTTTGTAAAGTCTGTAAGTGGATATTCTGACGTCTTGTGGCCTTCGTTGGAAACGGGATTTCTTCATATTCTGCTAGACAGAAGAATTCTCAGAAACTTCGTTGTGTTGTGTGTTTTCAACTCACAGAGTTGAACGATCCTTTACACAGAGCAGACTTGAAACACTCTTTTTGTGGAATTTGCAAGTGGAGATTTCAGCCGCTTTGAGGTCAATGGTAGAAAAGGAAATATCTTCGTATAAAAACTAGACAGAATGATTCTCAGAAACTTCATTGTGATGTGTGCGTTCAACTCACAGAGTTTAACCTTTCTTTTCATAGAGCAGTTAGGAAACACTCTGTTTGTAAACTCTGCAAGTGGATATTCAGACCTCTTTGAGGCCTTCGTTGGAAACGGGATTTCTCCATACTGTGCTAGACAGAAGAATTCTCAGTAACTTCCTTGTGTTGTGTGTATTCAACTGACAGAGTTGAACTTTCATTTCGAGAGAGAGCAGATTTGAAACACTGTTTTTGTGGAATTTGCAAGTGGAGATTTCAAGCGCTTTGGGGCCAAAGGCAGAAAAGGAAATATCTTCGTATAAAAACTAGACAGAATCATTCTCAGGAACTACTGCGTGATGTGTGGGTTCAACTCTCAGAGTTTAACTTTTCTTTTCATTCAGCGGTTTGGAAACACTCTGTTTGTAAAGTCTGCACGTGGAAATTTTGACCACTTAGAGGCCTTCGTTGGAAACGGGTTTTTTTCATGTAAGGCTAGACAGAAGAATTCCCAGTAACTTCCTTGTGTTGTGTGCATTCAACTCACAGAGTTGAACGTTCCCTTAGACAGAGCAGATTTGAAACACTCTATTTGTGCAATTTGCAAGTGTAGTTTTCAAGCTCTTTAAGGTCAACGGCAGAAAAGGAAATATCTTCGTTTCAAAACTAGACAGAATGATTCTCATAAACTCCTTTGTGATGTGTGCATTCAACTCACAGAGTTTCACCTTTCTTTTCATAGAGCAGTTAGGAAACACTCTGTTTGTAAAGTCTGCAAGTGGATATTCAGACCTCCTTGAGGCCTTCGTTGGTAACGGGATTTCTTCATATTCTGCTAGACAGAAGAATTCTCAGTAACTTCCTTGTGTTGTCTGTATTCAACTCACAGAGTTGAACGATCCTTTACACAGAGCAGACTTGAAACACTCTTTTTGTGGAATTTGCAAGTGGAGATTTCAGCCGCTTTGAGGTCAATGGTAGAAAAGGAAACTATCTTCGTATAAAGACTAGACAGAATGATTCTCAGAAACTTCTTTGTGATGTGTGCGTTCAACTCACAGAGTTTAACCTTTCTTTTCATAGAGCAGTTAGGAAACACTCTGTTTGTAAACTATGCAAGTGGATATTCAGACCTCTTTGAGGCCTTCGTTGGAAACGGGATTTCTTCATACTATGCTAGACAGAAGAATTCCCAGTAACTTCCTTGTGTTGTGTGTGTTCAACTCACAGAGGTGAACGGTCCTTTACACAGAGCAGATTTGAGACACTCTTTTTGTGGAATTTGCTAATGGAGATTTCAAGCGCTTTGAGGCCAAAGGCAGAAAAGGAAATATCTTCGTATAAAAACTAGACAGAATCATTCTCAGAAACTGCTGCGTGATGTGGGCGTTCAACTCTCAGAGTTTAACTTTTCTTTTCATTCAGCGGTTTGGAAACACTCTGTTTGTAAAGTCTGCACGTGGATATTTTGACCACTTAGAGGCCTTCGTTGGAAACGGGTTTTTTTCATGTAAGGCTAGACAGAAGAATTCCCAGTAACTTCCTTGTGTTGTGTGCATTCAACTCACAGAGTTGAACGTTCCCTTAGACAGAGCAGATTTGAAACACTCTATTTGTGCAATTTGCAAGTGTAGATTTCAAGCGCTTTAAGGTCAACGGCAGAAAAGGAAATATCTTCGTTTCAAAACTAGACAGAATCATTCCTACAAACTGCGTTGTGATGTGTTCGTTCAACTCACAGAGTTTAACCTTTCTGTTCATAGAGCAGTTAGGAAACACTCTGTTTGTAAAGTCTGCAAGTGGATATTCAGACCTCCTTGAGGCCTTCGTTGGAAACGGGATTTCTTCATATTCTGCTAGACAGAAGAATTCTCAGTAACTTCCTTGTGTTGTGTGTATTCAACTCACAGAGTTGAACGATCCTTTACACAGAACAGACTTGAAACACTCTTTTTGTGGAATTTGCAAGCGCAGATTTCAGCCGCTTTGAGGTCAATGGTAGAACAGGAAATATCTTCCTATAGAAACTAGACAGAATGATTCTCATAAACTCCTTTGTGATGTGTGCATTCAACTCACAGAGTTTCACCTTTCTTTTCATAGAGCAGTTAGGAAACACTCTGTTTGTAAAGTCTGCAAGTGGATATTCAGACCTCCTTGAGGCCTTCGTTGGAAACGGGATTTCTTCATATTCTGCTAGACAGAAGAATTCTCAGTAACTTCCTTGTGTTGTGTGTATTCAACTCACAGAGTTGAACGATCCTTTACAAAGAGCAGACTTGAAAAACTCTTTTTGTGGAATTTGCAAGTGGAGATTTCAGCCGCTTTGAGGTCAATGGTAGAAAAGGAAACTATCTTCGTATAAAGACTAGACAGAATCATTCTCAGAAACTGCTCTGCGATGTGTTCGTTCAACTCTCAGAGTTTAACTTTTCTTTTCATTCAGCAGTTTGGAAACACTCTGTTTGTAAAGTCTGCACGTGGATATTTTGACCACTTAGAGGCCTTCGTTGGAAACGGGTTTTTTTCCTGTAAGGCTAGACAGAAGAATTCCCAGCAACTTCCTTGTGTTGTGTGCATTCAACTCACAGAGTTGAACGTTCCCTTAGACAGAGCAGATTTGAAACACTCTATTTGTGCAATTTGCAAGTGTAGATTTCAAGCGCTTTAAGGTCAATGGCAGAAAAGGAAATATCGTCGTTTCAAAACTAGACAGATAATCATTCCCACAAACTGCGTTGTGATGTGTTCGTTCAACTCACAGGGTTTAACCTTTCTGTTCATAGAGCAGTTAGGAAACACTCTGTTTGTAAAGTCTGTAAGTGGATATTCTGACATCTTGTGGCCTTCGTTGGAAACGGGATTTCTTCATATTCTGCTAGACAGAAGAATTCTCAGTAACTTCCTTGTGTTGTGTGTATTCAACTCACCAGAGTTGAATGATCCTTTACACAGAACAGTCTTGAAACACTCTTTTTGTGGAATTTGCAAGTGGAGATTTCAGCCGCTTTGAGGTCAATGGTAGAATAGGAAATATCTTCCTATAGAAACTAGACAGAATGATTCTCAGAAACTCCTTTGTGATGTGTGCGTTCAACTCACAGAGTTTAACCTTTCTTTTCATAGCGCAGTTGGGAAACACTCTGTTTGTAAAGTCTGCAAGTGGATATTCAGACATCCTTGAGGCTTTCGTTGGAAACGGGATTTCTTCATATTCTGCTATAAAGAAGAATTCTCAGTAACTTCCTTGTGTTTTGTGTATTCAACTGACAGAGTTGAACTTTCATTTAGAGAGAGCAGATTTGAAACACTGTTTTTGTGGAATTTGCAAGTGGAGATTTCAAGCGCTTTGGGACCAAAGGCAGAAAAGGAAATATCTTCGTATAAAAACTAGACAGAATCATTCTCAGAAACTGCTGCGTGATGTGTGCGTTCAACTCTCAGAGTTTAACTTTTCTTTTCATTCAGCGGTTTGGAAACACTCTGTTTGTAAAGTCTGCACGTGGATATTTTGACCACTTAGAGGCCTTCGTTGGAAACGGGTTTTTTTCATGTAAGGCTAGACAGAAGAATTCCCAGTAACTTCCTTGTGTTGTGTGCATTCAACTCACAGAGTTGAACGTTCCCTTAGACAGAGCAGATTTGAAACACTCTATTTGTGCAATTTGCAAGTGTAGATTTCAAGCGCATTAAGGTCAATGGCAGAAAAGGAAATATCTTCGTTTCAAAATTAGACAGAATGATTCTGAGAAACTCCTTTGTGATGTGTGCGTTCAACTCACAGAGTTCAACCTTTCTTTTCATAGAGCAGTTGGGAAACACTCTGTTTGTAAAGTGTGCAAGTGGATATTCAGACCTCCTTGAGGCCTTCGTTGGAAACGGGATTTCTTCATATTATGCTAGACAGAAGAATTCTCAGTAACTTCCTTGTGTTGTGTGAATTCAACTCACAAAGTTGAACGATCCTTTACACAGAGCAGACTTGAAACACTCTTTTTGTGGAATTTGCAGGTGTAGATTTCAGCCGCTTTTTATTCAATGGTAGAATAGGAAATATCTTCCTATAGAAACTAGACAGAATGATTCTCAGAAACTCCTTTGTGATGTGTGCGTTCAACTCACAGAGTTTAACCTTTCTTTTCATAGAGCAGTTAGGAAACACTCTGTTTGTAAAGTCTGCAAGAGGATATTCAGACCTCTTTGAGGCCTTCGTTGGAAACGGGTTTTTTTCATATAAGGCTAGACAGAAGAATTCCCAGTAACTTCCTTGTGTTGTGTGTGTTCAACTCACAGAGTTGAACTTTCATTTACACAGAGCAGATTTGAAACACTCTTTTTGTGGAATTTGCAAGCGGAGATTTCAAGCGCTTTGAGGCCAAAGGCAGAAAAGGAAATATCTCCGTTTCAAAACTAGACAGAATCATTCTCAGAAACTGCTCTGCGATGTGTGCATTCAACTCTCAGAGTTTAATTTTTCTTTTCATTCAGCAGTTTGGAAACATTCTCTTTGTAAAGTCTGCACGTGGATATTTTGACCACTTAGAGGCCTTCGTTGGAAACGGGTTTTATTCTTGTAAGGCTAGACAGAAGAATTCCCAGTAACTTCCTTGTGTTGTGTACATTCAACTCACAGAGTTGAACGTTCCCTTAGACAGAGCAGATTTGAAACACTCTTTTTGTGCAATTGGCAAATGGAGATTTCAAGCGCTTTAAGGTCAATGGCAGAAAAGGAAATATCTTCGTTTCAAAACTAGACAGAATGATTCTCAGAAACTCCTTTGAGATGTGTGTGTTCAACTCACAGAGTTTAACCTTTCTTTTCATAGAGCAGTTAGGAAACACTCTGTTTGTAAACTCTGCAAGTGGATATTCAGACCTCTTTGAGGCCTTCGTTGGAAACCGGATTTCTTCATACTGTGCTAGACAGAAGAATTCTCAGAATCTTCCTTGTGTTGTGTGTATTCAACTCACAGAGTTGAACGATCCTTTACACAGAGCAGACTTGAAACACTCTTTTTGTGGAATTTGCAAGTGGAGATTTCAGCCGCTTTGAGGTCCACGGTAGAAAAGGAAATATCTTCGTATAACAACTAGACAGAATGATTCTCAGAAACTTCTTTGTGATGTGTGCGTTCAACTCACAGAGTTTAACCTTTCTTTTCATAGAGCAGTTACGAAACACTCTGTTTGTAAACTCTGCAAGTGGATATTCAGACCTCTTTGAGGCCTTCGTTGGAAACGGGATTTCTTCATACTATGCTAGACAGAAGAATTCTCAGTAACTTCCTTGTGTTGTGTGTATTCAACTGACAGAGTTGAACTTTCATTTAGAGAGAGCAGACTTGAAACACTGTTTTTGTGGAATTTGCAAGTGGAGATTTCAAGCGCTTTGGGGCCAAAGGCAGAAAAGGAAATATCTTCGTATAAAAACTAGACAGAATCATTCTCAGAAACTGCTCTGCGATGTGTGCGTTCAACTCTCAGAGTTTAACTTTTCTTTTCATTCAGAAGTTTGGAAACACTCTGTTTGTAAAGTCTGCACGTGGATAACTTGACCACTTAGAGGCCTTCGTTGGAAACGGGTTTTTTTCATGTAAGGCTAGACAGAAGAATTCTCAGTAACTTCCTTGTGTTGTGTGTATTCAACTCACATAGTTGAACGATCCTTTACACAGAACAGACTTGTAACACTCTTTTTGTGGAATTTGCAAGTGGAGATTTCAGCCACTTTGAAGTCAAAGGTAGAAAAGGAAATAACTTCCTATAAAAACTAGACAGAATGATTCTCAGTAAACTCCTTTGTGATGTGTGCGTTCAACACACAGAGTTTAACTTTTCTTTTCATAGAGCAGTTAGGAAACACTCTGTTTGTAAAGTCTGCAAGTGGATATTCAGACCTCTTTGAGGCCTTCGTTGGAAACGGGATTTCTTCATATTCTGCTAGACAGAATAATTCTCAGTAACTTCCTTTTGTTGTGTGTATTCAACTCACAGAGTTGAACGATCCTTTACAGAGAGCAGACTTGAAACACTCTTTTTGTGGAATTTGCAAGTGGAGATTTCAGCCGCTTTGAGGTCAATGGTAGAATAGGAAATATCTTCCTATAGAAACTAGACAGAATGATTCTCAGAAACTCCTTTGTGATGTGTGCGTTCAACTCACAGAGTTTAACCTTTCTTTTCATAGAGCAGTTGGGAAACACTCTGTTTGTAAAGTCTGCAAGTGGATATTCAGACATCCTTGAGGCTTTCGTTGGAAAAGGGATTTCTTCATATTCTGCTAGAAAGAAGAATTCTCAGTAACTTCCTTGTGTTGTCTGTATTCAACTCACAGAGTTGAACGATCCTTTACACAGAGCAGACTTGAAACACTCTTTTTGTGGAATTTGCAAGTGGAGATTTCAGCCGCTTTGAGGTCAATGGTAGAATAGGAAATATCTTGCTATAGAAACTATACAGAATCATTCTCAGAAACTGCTGCGTGATGTGTGCGTTCAACTCTCAGAGTTTAACTTTTCTTTTCATTCAGCGGTTTGGAAACACTCTGTTTGTAAAGTCTGCACGTGGAAATTTTGACCACTTAGAGGCCTTCGTTGGAAACGGGTTTTTTTCATGTAAGGCTAGACAGAAGAATTCCCAGTAACTTCCTTGTGTTGTGTGCATTCAACTCACAGAGTTGAACGTTCCCTTAGACAGAGCAGATTTGAAACACTCTATTTGTGCAATTTGCAAGTGTAGATTTCAAGCGCTTTAAGGTCAATGGCAGAAAAGGAAATATCTTCGTTTCAAAACTAGACAGAATCATTCCCACAAACTGCGTTGTGATGTGTTCGTTCAACTCATAGAGTTTAACCTTTCTGTTCATAGAGCAGTTAGGAAACACTCTGTTTGTAAAGTCTGTAAGTGGATATTCTGACATCTTGTGGCCTTCGTTGGAAACGGGATTTCTTCATATTCTGCTAGACAGAAGAATTCTCAGTAACTTCCTTGTGTTGTGTGTATTCAACTCACAGAGTTCAACGATCCTTTACACAGAGCAGACTCGAAACACTCTTTTTGTGGAATTTGCAATTGGAGATTTCAGCCGCTTTGAGGTCAATGGTAGAAAAGGAAATATCTTCGTATAAAAACTAGACAGAATGATTCTCAGAAACTCCTTTGTGATGTGTGCGTTCAACTCACAGAGTTTAACCTTTCTTTTCATAGAGCAGTTAGGAAACACTCTGTTTGTAAAGTCTGCACGTGGATATTTGGACTTCTTTGAGGCCTTCGTTGGCAACGGGGTTTTTTCATGTAAGGCTAGACAGAAGAATTCTCAGTAACTTCCTTGTGTTGTGTGTATTCAACTGACAGAGCTGAACTTTCATTTAGAGAGAGCACATTTGAAACACTGTTTTTGTGGAATTTGCAAGTGGAGATTTCAAGCGCTTTGGGGCCAAAGGCAGAAAAGGAAATATCTTCGTATAAAAACTAGACAGAATCATTCTCAGAAACTGCTCTGCGATGTGTGCATTCAACTCTCAGAGTTTAATTTTTCTTTTCATTCAGCAGTTTGGAAACACTCTCTTTGTAAAGTCTGCACGTGGATATTTTGACCACTTAGAGGCCTTCGTTGGAAACGGGTTTTATTCCTGTAAGGCTAGACAGAAGAATTCCCAGTAACTTCCTTGTGTTGTGTACATTCAACTCACAGAGTTGAACGTTCCCTTAGACAGAGCAGATTTGAAACACTCTTTTTGTGCAATTGGCAAATGGAGATTTCAAGCGCTTTAAGGTCAATGGCAGAAAAGGAAATATCTTCGTTTCAAAACTAGACAGAATCATTCCCACAAACTGCGTTGTGATGTGTTCGTTCAACTCACAGAGTTTAACCTTTCTTTTCATAGAGCAGTTAGGAAACAGTCTGTTTGTCAATTCTGTAAGTGGATATTCTGACATCTTGTGGCCTTCGTTGGAAACGGGATTTCTTCACATTCTGCTAGACAGAAGAATTATCAGTAACTTCCTTGTGTTGTGTGTATTCAACTCACAGAGTTGAACGATCCTTTACACAGAGCAGACTTGAAACACTCTTTTTGTGGAATTTGCAAGTGGAGATTTCAGCCGCTTTGAGGTCAATAGTAGAAAAGGAAATATCTTCGTAGAAAAACTAGACAGAATGATTCTCAGAAACTCCTTTGTGATGTGTGCGTTCAACTCACAGAGTTTAACCTTTCTTTTCATAGAGTAGTTAGGAAACACTCTGTTTGTAAAGTCTGCAAGTGGATATTCAGACATCCTTGAGGCTTTCGTTGGAAACGGGATTTCTTCATATTCTGCTAGAAAGAATAATTCTCAGTAACTTCCTTGTGTTGTGTGTATTCAACTCACAGAGTTGAATGATCCTTTACACAGAGCAGACTTGAAACACTCTTTTTGTGGAATTTGCTTGTGGAGATTTCAGCCGCTTTGAGGTCAATGGTAGAATAGGAAATATCTTCTTATAGAAACTAGACAGAATCATTCTCAGAAACTGCTCTGCGATGTGTGCGTTCAACTCTCAGAGTTTAACTTTTCTTTTCATTCAGCAGTTTGGAAACACTCTGTTTGTAAAGTCTGCACGTGGATAACTTGACCACTTAGAGGCCTTCGTTGGAAACGGGTTTTTTTCATGTAAGGCTAGACAGAAGAATTCCCAGTAACTTCCTTGTGTTGTGTGCATTCAACTCACAGAGTTGAACGTTCCCTTAGACAGAGCAGATTTGAAACACTCTATTTGTGCAATTTGCAAGTGTAGATTTCAAGCGCTTTAAGGTCAATGGCAGAAAAGGAAATGTCTTCGTTTCAAAACTAGACAGAATCATTCCCACAAACTGCGTTGTGATGTGTTCGTTCAACTCACAGAGTTTAACCTTTCTGTTCATAGAGCAGTTAGGAAACACTCTGTTTGTAAAGTCTGTAAGTGGATATTCTGACATCTTGTGGCCTTGGTTGGAAACGGGATTTCTTCATATTCTGCTAGACAGAAGAATTCTCAGTAACTTCCTTGTGTTGTGTGTATTCAACTCACAGAGTTGAACGATGGTTTACACAGAGCAGATTTGAAACACTCTTTTTGTGGAATTTGCAAGTGGAGATTTCAGCCTCTTTGAGGTCAATGGTAGAAAAGGAAATATCTTCGTATAAAAACTAGACAGAATGATTCTCAGAAACTCCTTTGTGATGTGTGCGTTCAAATCACAGAGTTTAACTTTTCTTTTCATAGAGCAGTTAGGAAACACTCTGTTTGTAAAGTCTGCAAGTGGATATTCAGACCTCTTTGAGGCCTTCGTTGGAAACGGGATTTTTTCATATTATGCTAGACAGAAGAATTCTCAGTAACTGCCTTGTGTTGTGTTTATTCAACTCACAGAGTTGAACGATCCTTTACACAGAGCAGACTTGAAATACTCTTTTTGTGGAATTTGCAAGTGGAGATTTCAGCCGCTTTGAGGTCAATGGTAGAATAGGAAATATCTTCCTATAGAAACTAGACAGAATGATTCTCAGAAACTCATTTGTGATGTGTGCGTTCAACTCACGGAGTTTAACCTTTCTTTTCATAGAGCAGTTAGGAAACACTCTGTTTGTAAAGTCTGCAAGTGGATATTCAGACCTCTTTGAGGTCTTCGTTGGAAACGGGATTTCTTCATATTCTGCTAGACAGAAGAATTCCCAGTAACTTCCCTTGTGTTGTGTACATTCAACTCACAGAGTTGAACGTTCCCTTAGACAGAGCAGATTTGAAACACTCTTTTTGGGCAATTGGCAAGTGGAGATTACAAGCGCTTTAAGGTCAATGGCAGAAAAGGAAATATCTTCGTTTCAAAACTAGACAGAATCATTCCCACAAACTGCGTTGTGATGTGTTCGTTCAACTCACAGAGTTTAACCTTTCGGTTCATAGAGCAGTTAGGAAACACTCTGTTTGTAAAGTCTGTAAGTGGATATTCTGACATCTTGTGGCCTTCGTTGGAAACGGGATTTCTTCATATTCTGCTAGACAGAAGAATTCTCAGTAACTTCCTTGTGTTGTGTGTATTCAACTCACAGAGTTGAACGATCCTTTACACAGAGCAGACTTGAAACACTCTTTTTGTGGAATTTGCAAGTGGAGATTTCAGCCGCTTTGAGGTCAATGGTAGAATAGGAAATATCTTCCAATAGAAACTAGACAGAATGATTCTCAGAAACTCCTTTGTGATGTGTGCGTTCAACTCACAGAGTTTAACCTTTCTTTTCATAGAGCAGTTAGGAAACACTCTGTTTGTAAAGTCTGCAAGTGGATATTCAGACCTCTTTGAGTCCTTCGTTGGAAACGGGATTTCTTCATATTCTGCTAGACAGAAGAATTCCCAGTAACTTCCTTGTGTTGTGTGTGTTCAACTCACAGAGTTGAACTTTCATTTACACAGAGCAGATTTGAAACACTCTTTTTGTGGAATTTGCAAGTGGAGATTTCAAGCGCTGTGAGGCCAAAGGCAGAAAAGGAAATATCTTCGTATAAAAACTAGACAGAATCATTCTCAGAAACTGCTCTGCGATGTGTGCGTTCAACTCTCAGAGTTTAACTTTTCTTTTCATTCAGCAGTTTGAAAACACTCTGTTTGTAAAGTCTGCACGTGGATAATTTGACCACTTAGAGGCCTTCGTTGGAAACGGGTTTTTTTCATGTAAGGCTAGACAGAAGAATTCCCAGTAACTTCCTTGTGTTGTGTACATTCAACTCACAGAGTTGAACGTTCCCTTAGACAGAGCAGATTTGAAATACTCTTTTTGTGCAATTGGCAAGTGGAGATTTCAAGCGCTTTAAGGTCAATGGCAGAAAAGGAAATATCTTCGTTTCAAAACTAGACAGAATCATTCCCACAAACTGCGTTGTGATGTGTTCGTTCAACTCACAGAGTTTAACCTTTCTTTTCATAGAGCAGTTAGGAAACAGTCTGTTTTTCAATTCTGTAAGTGGATATTCTGACATCTAGTGGCCTTCGTTGGAAACGGGATTTCTTCATACTGTGCTAGACAGAAGAATTCTCAGTAACTTCCTTGTGTTGTGTGTATTTAACTCACAGAGTTGAACGATCCTTTACACAGAGCAGACTTGAAACACTCTTTTGGTGGAATTTGCAAGTGGATATTTCAGCCGCTTTGAGGTCAATGGTAGAATAGGAAATATCTTCCTATAGAAACTAGACAGAATGATTCTCAGAAACTCCTTTCTGATGTGTGCATTCAACTCACAGAGTTTAACCTTTCTTTTCATAGAGCAGTTAGGAAACACTCTGTTTGTAAAGTCTGCAAGTGGATATTCAGACCTCTTTGAGGCCTTCGTTGGAAACGGGATTTCTTCATATTCTGCTAGAGAGAAGAATTCCCAGTAACTTCCTTGTGTTGTGTGTGTTCAACTCACAGAGTTTGAACTTTCATTTACACAGAGCAGATTTGAAACACTCTTTTTGTGGAATTTGCAAGTGGAGATTTCAAGCGCTTTGAGGCCAAAGGCAGAAAAGGAAATATCTTCGTTTGAAAACTAGACAGAATCATTCTCAGAAACTGCTCTGCGATGTGTGCCTTCAACTCTCAGAGTTTAACTTTTCTTTTCATTCAGCAGTTTGGAAACACTCTGTTTGTAAAGTCTGCACGTGGATATTTTGACCACTTAGAGGCCTTCGTTGGAAATGGGTTTTTTTCCTGTAAGGCTAGACAGAAGAATTCCCAGTAACTTCCTTGTGTTGTGTGCATTCAACTCACAGAGTTGAACGTTCCCTTAGACAGAGCAGATTTGAAACACTCTATTTGTGCAATTTGCAAGTGTAGATTTCAAGCGCTTTAAGGTCAATGGCAGAAAAGGAAATATCTTCGTTTCAAAACTAGACAGAATCATTCCCACAAACTGCGTTGAGATGTGTTCGTTCAACTCACAGAGTTTAACCTTTCCGTTCATAGAGCAGTTAGGAAACACACTGTTTGTAAAGTCTGTAAGTGGATATTCTGACATCTTGTGGCCTTCGTTGGAAACGGGATTTCTTCATATTCTGCTAGACAGAATAATTCTCAGTAACTTCCTTGTGTTGTGTGTATTCAACTCACAGAGTTGAACGATCCTTTACAGAGAGCAGACTTGAAACACTCTTTTTGTGGAATTTGCAAGTGGAGATTTCGGCCGCTTTGAGGTCAATGGTAGAATAGGAAATATCTTCCTATAGAAACTAGACATAATGATTCTCAGAAACTCCTTTGTGATGTGTGCGTTCAACTCACAGAGTTTAACCTTTCTTTTCCTAGAGCAGTTAGTAAACACTCTGTTTATAAAGTCTGCAAGTGGATATTCAGACCCCTTTGAGGCCTTCGTTGGAAACGGGATTTCTTCATATTATGCTAGACAGAAGAATTCTCAGTAACTTCCTTGTGTTGTGTGTATTCAACTGACAGAGTTGAACTTTCATTTAGAGAGAGCAGATTTGAAACACTGTTTTTGTGGAATTTGCAAGAGGAGATTTCAAGCGCTTTGGGGCTAAAGGCAGAAAAGGAAATATCTTCGTATAAAAACTAGACAGAATCATTCTCAGAAACTGCTGCGTGATGTGTGCGTTCAACTCTCAGAGTTTAACTTTTCTTTTCATTCAGCAGTTTGGAAACACTCTGTTTGTAAAGTCTGCACGTGGAAATTTTGACCACTTAGAGGCCTTCGTTGGAAACGGGTTTTTTTCATGTAAGGCTAGACAGAAGAATTCCCAGTAACTTCCTTGTGTTGTGTGCATTCAACTCACAGAGTTGAACGTTCCCTTAGACAGAGCAGATTTGGAACACTCTATTTGTGCAATTTGCAAGTGTAGATTTCAAGCGCTTTAAGGTCAACGGCAGAAAAGGAAATATCTTCGTTTCAAAACTAGACAGAATCATTCCCACAAACTGCGTTGTGATGTGTTCGTTCAACTCACAGAGTTTAACCTTTCTGTTCATAGAGCAGTTAGGAAACACTCTGTTTGTAAAGTCTGTAAGTGGATATTCTGACATCTTGTGGCCTTCGTTGGAAACTGGATTTCTCCATATTCTACTAGACAGAATAATTCTACAGTAACTTCCTTGTGTTGTGTGTATTCAACTCACAGAGTTGAAGGATCCTTTACAGAGAGCAGGCTTGAAACACTCTTTTTGTCGAATTTGCAAGTGGAGATTTCAGCCGCTTTGAGGTCAATGGTAGAATAGGAAATATCTTCTTATAGAAACTAGACAGAATGATTCTCATAAACTCCTTTGTGATGTGTGCGTTCAACTCACAGAGTTTAACCTTTCTGTTCATAGAGCAGTTAGGAAACACTCTGTTTGTAAAGTCTGCAAGTGGATATTCAGACCTCCTTGAGGCCTTCGTTGGAAACGGGATTTCTTCATATTCTGCTAGACAGAAGAATTCTCAGTAACTTCCTTGTGTTGTGTGTATTCAACTCACAGAGTTGAATGATCCTTTACACAGAGCAGACTTGAAACACTCTTTTTGTGGAATTTGCAAGTGGAGATTTCAGCCGCTTTGAGGACAATGGTAGAAAAGTAAATATCTTCGTATAAAGACTAGACAGAATCATTCTCAGAAACTGCTGCGTGATGTGTGCGTTCAACTCTCAGAGTTTAACTTTTCTTTTCATTCAGCGGTTTGGAAACACTCTGTTTGTAAAGTCTGCACGTGGATATTTTGACCACTTAGAGGCCTTCGTTGGAAACGGGTTTTTTTCATGTAAGGCTGGACAGAAGAATTCCCAGTAACTTCCTTGTGTTGTGTGCATTCAACTCACAGAGTTGAACGTTCCCTTAGACAGAGCAGATTTGAAACACTCTATTTGTGCAACTTGCAAGTGTAGATTTCAAGCCCTTTAAGGTCAACGGCAGAAAAGGAAATATCTTCGTTTCAAAACTAGACAGAATCATTCCCACAAACTGCGTTGTGATGTGTTCGTTCAACTCACAGAGTTTAACCTTTCTGTTCATAGAGCAGTTAGGAAACACTCTCTTTGTAAAGTCTGTAAGTGGATATTCTGATATCTTGTGGCCTTCGTTGGAAACGGGATTTCTTCATATTCTGCTAGACAGAAGAATTCTCAGTAACTTCCTTGTGTTGTGTGTATACATCTCACAGAGTTGAACGATCCTTTACACAGAGCAGACTTGAAACACTCTTTTTGTGGAATTTGCAAGTGGAGATTTCAGCCGCTTTGAGGTCCATGGTAGAAAAGGAAATATCTTCGTATAAAAACTAGACAGAATGATTCTCAGAAACTCCTTTGTGATGTGTGCGTTCAACTCACAGAGTTTAACCTTTCTTTTCATAGAGCAGTTAGGAAACACTCTGTTTGTAAAGTCTGCAAGTGAATATTCAGACATCCTTGAGGTTTTCGTTGGAAACGGGATTTCTTCATATTCTGCTAGAAAGAAGAATTCTCAGTAACTTCCTTGTGTTGTGTGTATTCAACTCACAGAGTTGAATGATCCTTTACACAGAACAGTCTTGAAACACTCTTTTTGTGGAAATTGCAAGTGGAGATTTCAGCCGCTTTGAGGTCAATGGTAGAATAGGAAATATCTTCCTATAGAAACTAGACAGAATCATTCTCAGAAACTGCTCTGCGATGTGTGCGTTCAACTCTCTGAGTTTAACTTTGCTTTTCATTCAGCAGTTTGGAAACACTCTGTTTGTAAAGTCTGCACGTGGATAATTTGACCACTTAGAGGTCTTCGTTGGAAACGGGATTTTTTCATGTAAGGCTAGACAGAAGAATTCCCAGTAACTTCCTTGTGTTGTGTACATTCAACTCACAGAGTTGAACGGTTCCCTTAGACAGAGCAGATTTGAAACACTCTTTTTGTGCAATTGGCAAATGGATATTTCAAGCGCTTTAAGGTCAATGGCAGAAAAGGAAATATCTTCGTTTCAAAACTGGACAGAATCATTCCCACAAACTGCGTTGTGATGTGTTCGTTCAACTCACAGAGTTTAACCTTTCTTTTCATAGAGCAGTTAGGAAACACTCTGTTTGTAAATTCTGTAAGTGGATATTCTGACATCTTGTGGCCTTCGTTTGAAACGGGATTTCTTCATATTCTGCTAGACAGAATAATTCTCAGTAACTTCCTTGTGTTGTGTTTATTCAACTCACAGAGTTGAATGATCCTTTACACAGAGCAGACTTGAAACACTCTTTTTGTGGAATTTGCAAGTGGAGATTTCAGCCGCTTTGAGGTCAATGGTAGAAAAGTAAATATCTTCCTATAAAGACTAGACAGAATGATTCTCAGAAACTCCTTTGTGATGTGTGCGTTCAACTCACAGAGTTTAACCTTTCTGTTCATAGAGCCGTTAGGAAACACTCTGTTTGTAAAGTCTGCAAGTGGATATTCAGATCTCTTTGAGGCCTTCGTTGGAAACGGGATTTCTTCATATTATGCTAGACAGAAGAATTCCCAGTAACTTCCATGTGTTGTGTGTGTTCAACTCACAGAGTTGAACTTTCATTTACACAGAGCAGATTTGAAACACTCTTTTTGTGGAATTTGCAAATGGAGGTTTCAAGCGCTTTGAGGCCAGAGGCAGAAAAGGAAATATCTTCGTATAAAAACTAGACAGAATCATTCTCAGAAACTGCTCTGCGATGTGTGCGTTCAACTCTCAGAGTTTAACTTTTCTTTTCATTCAGCAGTTTGGAAACACTCTGTTTGTAAAGTCTGCATGTGGATAATTTGACCACTTAGAGGTCTTTGTTGGAAACGGGTTTTTTTCATGTAAGGCTAGACAGAAGAATTCTCAGTAACTTCCTTGTGTTGTGTGTATTCAACTCACAGAGTTGAACGTTCCTTTACACAGAGCAGACTTGTAACACTCTTTTTGTGGAATTTGCAAGTGGAGATTTCAGCCGCTTTGAAGTCAAAGGTAGAAAAGGAAATATCTTCCTATAAACACTAGACAGAATCATTGGCACAAACTGCGTTGTGATGTGTTCGTTCAACTCACAGAGTTTAACCTTTCTTTTCATAGAGCAGTTAGGAAACAGTCTGTTTGTAAATTCTGTAAGTGGATATTCTGACATCTTGTGACCTTCGTTGGAAACGGGATTTCTTCATATTCTGCTAGACAGAAGAATTCTCAGTAACTTCCTTGTGTTGTGTGTATTCAACTCACAGAATTGAACGATCCTTTACACAGAGCAGACTTGAAACATTCTTTTTGTGGAATTTGCAAGTGGAGATTTCAGCCGCTTTGAGGTCAATCGTAGAATAGGAAATATCTTCCTATAGAAACTAGACAGAATGATTCTCAGAAACTCCTTTGTGATGTGTGCGTTCAACTCACAGAGTTTAACCTTTCTTTTCATAGAGCAGTTAGGAAACACTCTGTTTGTTAAGTCTGCAAGTGGATATTCAGTCCTCTTTGAGGCCATCGTTGGAAACGGGATTTCTTCATATTATGCTAGACAGAAGAATTCTCAGTAACTTCCTTGTGTTGTGTGTATTCAACTCACAGAGTTGAACGATCCTTTACACAGAGCAGACTTGAAACACTCTTTTTGTGGAATTTGCAAGTGGAGATTTCAGCCGCTTTGAGGTCAATGGTTGAATAGGAAATATCTTCCAATAGAAACTAGACAGAATGATTCTCAGAAACTCCTTTGTGATGTGTGCGCTCAACTCACAGAGTTTAACTTTTCTTTTCATAGAGCAGTTAGGAAACACTCTGTTTATAAAGTCTGCAAGTGGATATTCAGACCTCTTTGAGGCCTTCGTTGGAAACGGGAGTTCTTCATATTCTGCTAGACAGAAGAATTCTCAGAAACTCCCTTGTGTTGTGTGTATTCAACTGACAGAGTTGAACTTTCATTTAGACAGAGCAGATTTGAAACACTCTTTATGTGGAATTGGCCAGTGGAGATTTGAAGCGCTTTGAGACCAAAGGCAGAAAAGGAAATATCTTCGTTTCAAAACTAGACAGAATCATTCCCACAAACTGCGTTGTGATGTGTTCGTTCAACACACAGGGTTTAACCTTTCTTTTCATAGAGCAGTTAGGAAACACTCTGTTTGTAAAGTCTGTAAGTGGATATTCTGACATCATGTGGCCTTCGTTGGAAACGGGATTTCTTCATATTCTGCTAGACAGAAGAATTCTCAGTAACTTCCTTGTGTAGTGTGTATTCAACTCACAGAGTTGAACGATCCTTTACACAGAGCAGACTTGTAACACTCTTTTTGTGGAATTTGCAAGTGGAGATTTCAGCCACTTTGAAGTCAAAGGTAGAAAAGGAAATAACTTCCTATAAAAACTAGACAGAATGATTCTCAGAAACTCCTTTGTGATGTGTGCGTTCAACTCACAGAGTTTAACCTTTCTTTTCATAGAGCAGTTAGGAAACACTCTGTTTGTAAAGTCTGCAAGTGGATATTCAGACCTCTTTGAGGCCTTCGTTGGAAACGGGTTTTTTTCATATAAGGCTAGATAGAAGAATTCTCAGTAACTTCCTTGTGTTGTGTGTATTCAACTGACAGAGTTGAACTTTCATTTAGAGAGAGCAGATTTGAAACACTGTTTTTGTGGAATTTGCAAGTGGAGATTTCAAGCGCTTTGGGGCCAAAGGCAGAAAACGAAATGTCTTCGTATAAAAACTAGACAGAATCATTCTCAGAAACCGCTCTGTGATGTGTGCGTTCAACTCTCAGAGTTTAACTTTTCTTTTCATTCAGCAGTTTGGAAACACTCTGTTTGTAAAGTCTGCACGTGGATATTTTGACCACTTAGAGGCCTTCGTTGGAAACGGGTTTTTTTTCATGTAAGGCTAGACAGAAGAATTCCCAGTAACTTCCTTGTGTTGTGTACATTCAACTCACAGAGTTGAACGTTCCCTTAGACAGAGCAGATTTGAAACACTCTTTTTGTGCAATTGGCAAGTGGAGATTTCAAGCGCTTTGAGGTCAATGGCAGAAAAGGAAATATCTTCGTTTCAAAACTAGACAGAATGATTCTCATAAACTCCTCTGTGATGTGTGCGTTGAACTCACAGAGTTTAACTTTTCTTTTCATAGAGCAGTTAGGAAACACTCTGTTTGTAAAGTCTGCAAGTGGATATTCAGACGTCTTTGAGGCCTTCGTTGGAAACGGGATTTCTTCATATTATGCTAGACAGAATAATTCTCAGTAACTTCCTTGTGTTGTGTGTATTCAACTCACAGAGTTGAACGATCCTTTACAGAGAGCAGACTTGAAACACTCTTTTTGTGGAATTTCCAATTGGAGATTTCAGCCGCTTTGAGGTCAATCGTAGAATAGGAAATATCTTCCTATAGAAATTAGATAGAATGATTCTCAGAAACTCCTTTGTGATGTGTGCGTTCAACTCACAGAGTTTAACCTTTCTTTTCATAGAGCAGTTAGGAAACACTCTCTAAAGTCTGCAAGTGGATATTCAGACCTCCTTGAGGTCTTCGTTGGAAACGGGATTTCTTCATATTCTGCTAGACAGAAGAATTCCCAGTAACTTCCTTGTGTTGTGTGTGTTCAACTCACAGAGTTGAACTTTCATTTACACAGAGCAGATTGGAAACACTCTTTTTGTGGAATTTGCAAGTGGAGATTTCAAGCGCTTTGAGGCCAAAGGCAGAAAAGGAAATATCTTCGTATAAAAACTAGTCAGAATCATTCTCAGAAACTGCTCTGTGATGTGTGCGTTCAACTCTCAGAGTTTAACTTTTCTTTTCATTCAGCAGTTTGGAAACACTCTGTTTGTAAAGTCTGCACGTGGATATTTTGACCACTTAGAGGCCTTCGTTGGAAACGGGTTTTTTTTCATGTAAGGCTAGACGGTAGCATTCCCAGTAACTTCCTTGTGTTGTGTGCATTCAACTCACAGAGATGAACGTTCCCTTAGACAGAGCAGATTTGAAACGCTCTATTTGTGCAATTTGCAAGTGTAGATTTCAAGCACTTTAAGGTCAATGGCAGAAAAGGAAATATCTTCGTTTCAAAACTAGACAGAATGATTCTCAGAAAATCTTTTGTGATGTGTGCGTTCAACTCACAGAGTTTAACTTTTCTTTTCATAGAGCAGTTAGGAAACACTCTGTTTGTAAAGTCTGCAAGTGGATATTCAGACCTGTTTGAGGCCTTCGTTGGAAACGGGATTTCTTCATATTCTGCTAGACAGAAGAATTCTCAGTAACTTCCTTGTGTTGTGTGTATTCAACTCACAGAGTTGAAGGATCCTTTACAGCGAGCAGGCTTGAAACACTCTTTTTGTCGAATTTGCAAGTGGAGATTTCAGCCGCTTTGAGGTCAATGGTAGAATAGGAAATATCTTCTTATAGAAACTAGACAAAATGATTCTCAGAAACTCCTTTGTGATGTGTGCGTTCAACTCACAGAGTTTAACCTTTCTTTTCATAGAGCAGGTAGGAAACACTCTGTTTGTAAAGTCTGCAAGTGGATATTCAGACCTCCTTGAGGCCTTCGTTGGAAACGGGATTCCTTCATATTCTGCTATACAGAAACAATTCCCAGTAACTTCCTTGTGTTGTGTGTGTTCAACTCACAGAGTTGAACTTTCATTTACACAGAGCAGATTTGAAACACTCTTTTTGTGGAATTTGCAAGTGGAGATTTCAAGCGCTTTGAGGCCAAAGGCAGAAAAGGAAATATCTTCGTATAAAAACTAGACAGAATCATTCTCAGAAACTGCTCTGCGATGTGTGCGTTCAACTCTCAGAGTTTAACTTTTCTTTTCATTCAGCAGTGTGGAAACACTCTGTTTGTAAAGTCTGCACGTGGATATTTTGACCACTTAGAGGCCTTCATTGGAAACGGGTTTTTTTCCTGTAAGGCTAGACAGAAGAATTCTCAGTAACTTCCTTGTGTTGTGTGTATTCAACTCACAGAGTTGAACGATCCTTTACACAGAGCAGACTTGTAACACTCTTTTTGTGGAATTTGCAAGTGGAGATTTCAGCCGCTTTGAAGTCAAAGGTAGAAAAGGAAATATCTCCCTATAAAAACTAGACAGAATGATTCTCAGAAACTTCTTTGTGATGTGTGCGCTCAACTCACAGAGTTTAACCTTTCTTTTCATAGAGCAGTTAGGAAACACTCTGTTTGTAAAGTCTGCAAGTGGATATTCAGACCTCTTTGAGGCCTTCGTAGGAAACGGGATTTCTTCATATTATGCTAGACAGAAGAATTCTCAGTAACTTCCTTGTGTTGTGTGTATTCAACTCACAGAGTTGAACGATCCTTTACACAGAGCAGACTTGAAACACTCTTTTTCTGGAATTTGCAAGTGGAGATTTCAGCCGCTTTGAGGTCAATGGTAGAATAGGAAATATCTTCCCATAGAAACTAGACAGAGTGATTCTCAGAAACTCCTTTGTGATGTCTGCGTTCAACTCACAGAGTTTAACCTTTCTTTTCGTAGAGCAGTTAGGAAACACTCTGTTTGTAAAGTCTGCAAGTGGATATTCAGACCTCCTTGAGGCCTTCGTTGGAAACGGGATTTCTTCATATTCTGCTATACAGAAGAATTCTCAGAATCTTCCTTGTGTTGTTTGTATTCAACTCACAGAGTTGAACTTTCATTTACACAGAGCAGATTTGAAACACTCTTTTTGTGGAATTTGCAAATGGAGATTTCAAGCGCTTTGAGGCCAAAGGCAGAAAAGGAAATATCTTCGTATAAAAACTAGACAGAATCATTCTCAGAAACTGCTGCGTGATGTGTGCGTTCAACTCTCAGAGTTTAACTTCTCTTTTCATTCAGCGGTTTGGAAACACTCTGTTTGTAAAGTCTGCACGTGGAAATTTTGACCACTTAGAGGCCTTCGTTGGAAACGGGTTTTTTTCATTTAAGGCTAGACAGAAGAATTCCCAGTAACTTCCTTGTGTTGTGTGCATTCAACTCACAGACTTGAACGTTCCCTTAGACAGAGCAGATTTGAAACACTCTATTTGTGCAATTTGCAAGTGTAGATTTCAAGCGCTTTCAGGTCAATGGCAGAAAAGGAAATATCTTCGTTTCAAAACTAGACAGAATCATTCCCACAAACAGCGTTGTGATGTGTTCATTCAACTCACAGAGTTTAACCTTTCTTTTCATAGAGCAGTTAGGAAACAGTCTGTTTGTAAATTCTGTAAGTGGATATTCTGACATCTTGTGGCCTTCGTTGGAAACGGGATTTCTTCATATTCTGCTAGACAGAAGAATTCTCAGTAACTTCCTTGTGTTGTGTGAATTCAACTCACAGAGTTGAACGATCCTTTACACAGAGCAGACTTGAAACACTCTTTTTGTGGAATTTGCAAGTGGAGATTTCAGCCGCTTTGAGGTCAATGGTAGAAAAGGAAACTATCTTCATATAAAGACTAGACAGAATGATTCTCAGAAACTCCTTTGTGATGTGTGCGTTCAACTCACAGAATTTAACCTTTCTTTTCATAGAGCAGTTAGGAAACACTCTGTTTGTAAAGTCTGCAAGTGGATATTCAGACCTCTTTGAGGCCTTCGTTGGAAACGGGTTTTTTTCATATAAGGCTAGACAGAATCATTCTCAGAAACTGCTCTGCGATGTGTGCGTTCAACTCTCAGAGTTTAACTTTTCTTTTCATTCAGCAGTTTGGAAACACTCTGTTTGTAAAGTCTGCACGTGGATAATTTGACCACTTAGAGGCCTTCGTTGGAAACGGGTTGTTTTCATGTAAGGCTAGACAGAAGAATTCCCAGTAACTTACCTTGTGTTGTGTACATTCAACTCACAGAGTTGAACGTTCCCTTAGACAGAGCAGATTTGAAACACTTTTTTTGTGCAATTGGCAAATGGAGATTTCAAGCGCTTTAAGGTCAATGGCAGAAAAGGAAATATCTTCGTTTCAAAACTAGACAGAATCATTCCCACAAACTGCGTTGTGATGTGTTCGTTCAACTCACAGAGTTTAACCTTTCTGTTCATAGAGCAGTTAGGAAACACTCTGTTTGTAAAGTCTGCAAGTGGATATTCTGACATCTTGTGGCCTTCGTTGGAAACGGGATTTCTTCATCTTCTGCTAGACAGAAGAATTCTCAGTAACTTCCTTGTGTTGTGTGTATTCAACTCACAGAGTTGAACGATCCTTTACACAGAGCGCACTTGAAACACTCGTTTTGTGGAATTTGCAAGTGGAGATTTCAGCCGTGTTGAGGTAAATGGTAGAAAAGGAAATATCTTCGTATAAAAACTAGACAGAATGATTCTCAGAAACTCCTTTGTGATGTGTGCGTTCAACTCACAGAGTTTAACCTTTCTTTTCATAGAGCAGTTAGGAAACACTCTGTTTGTAAAGTCTGCAAGTGGATATTCAGACCTCCTTGAGGCCTTCGTTGGAAACGGGATTTCTTCATATTCTGCTATACAGAAGAATTCTCAGAAACTTCCTTGTGTTGTGTGTATTCAACTCACAGAGTTGAACGATCGTTTACACACAGCAGACTTGAGACACTCTTTTTGTGGAAATTGTAAGTGGAGATTTCAGCCGCTTTGAGGTCAATGGTAGAAAAGGAAATATCTTCATATAAAAACTAGACAGAATCATTCTCAGAAACTGCTGTGTGATGTGTGCGTTCAACTCTCAGAGTTTAACTTTTCTTTTCATTCAGCGGTTTGGAAACACTCTGTTTGTAAAGTCTGCACGTGGATATTTTGACCACTTAGAGGCCTTCGTTGGAAACGGGTTTTTTTCATGTAAGGCTAGACAGAAGAATTCCCAGTAACTTCCTTGTGTTGTGTGCATTCAACTCACAGAGTTGAACGTTCCCTTAGACAGAGCAGATTTGAAACACTCTATTTGTGAATTTGCAAGTGTAGATTTCAAGCGCTTTAAGGTCAAAGGCAGAAAAGGAAATATCTTCGTTTCAAAACTAGACAGAATTATTCCCACAAACTGCGTTGTGATGTGTTCGTTCAACTCACAGAGTTTAACCTTTCTGTTCATAGAGCAGTTAGGAAACACTCTGTTTGTAAAGTCTATAAGTGGATATTCTGACATCTTGTGGCCTTCGTTGGAAACGCGATTTCTTCATATTCTGTTAGACAGAAGAATTCTCAGAATCTTCCTTGTGTTGTGTGTATTCAACTCACACAGTTGAACGATGGTTTACACAGAGCAGATTTGAAACACTATTTTTGTGGAATTTGCAAGTGGAGATTTCAGCCGCTTTGAGGTCAATGGTAGAAAAGGAAATATCTTCGTATAAAAACTAGAGAGAATGATTCTCAGAAACTCCTTTGTGATGTGTGTGTTCAACTCACAGAGTTTAACCTTTCTTTTCATAGAGCAGTTAGTAAACACTCTGTTTATAAAGTCTGCAAGTGGATATTCAGACCCCTTTGAGGCCTTCGTTGGAAATGGGATTGCTTCATATTATGCTAGACAGAAGAATTCTCAGTAACTTCCTTGTGTTGTGTGTATTCAACTGACAGAGTTGAACTTTCATTTGGAGAGAGCAGATTTGAAACACTGTTTTTGTGGAATTTGCAAGTGGAAATTTCAAGCGCTTTGGGGTCAAAGGCAGAAAAGGAAATATCTTCGTATAAAAACTAGACAGAATCATTCTCAGAAACTGCTGCGTGATGTGTGCGTTCAACTCTCAGAGTTTAACTTTTCTTTTCATTCAGCGGTTTGGAAACACTCTGTTTGTAAAGTCTGCACGTGGATATTTTGACCACTTAGAGGCCTTCGTTGGAAACGGGTTTTTTTTCATGTAAGGCTAGACAGAAGAATTCCCAGTAACTTCCTTGTGTTGTGTGCATTCAACTCACAGAGTTGAACGTTCCCTTAGACAGAGCAGATTTGAAACACTCTAGTTGTGCAATTTGCAAGTGTAGATTTCAAGCGCTTTAAGGTCAATGGCAGAAAAGGAAATATCTTCGTTTCAAAACTAGACAGAATCATTCCCACAAACTGCGTTGTGATGTGTTCGTTCAACTCACAGAGTTTAACCTTTCCGTTCATAGAGCAGTTAGGAAACACTCTGTTTGTAAAGTCTGTAAGTGGATATTCTGACATCTTGTGGCCTTCGTTGGAAACGGGATTTCTTCATATTCTGCTAGACAGAAGAATTCTCAGTAACTTCCTTGTGTTGTGTGTATTCAGCTCACAGAGTTGAACGATCCTTTACACCGAGCAGACTTGAAACACTCTTTTTGTGGAATTTGCAAGTGGTGATTTCAGCCGCTTTGAGGTCAATGGTAGAAAAGGAAACTATTTTCGTATAAAGACTAGACAGAATGATTCTCAGAAACTCCTTTGTGATGTGTGCGTTCAACTCACAGAAGTTTAACCTTTCTTTTCATAGAGCAGTTATGAAACACTCTGTTTGTAAAGTCTGCAAGTGGATATTCAGACCTCTTTGAGGCCTTCGTTGGAAACGGGTTTTTTTCATATAAGGCTAGACAGAAGAATTCTCAGTAACTTCCTTGTGTTGTGTGTATTCAACTGACAGAGTTGAACTTTCATTTAGAGAGAGCAGATTTGAAACACTGTTTTTGTGGAATTTGCAAGTGGAGATTTCAAGCGATTTGGGGCCAAAGGCAGAAAAGGAAATATCTTCGTATAAAAACTAGACAGAATCATTCTCAGAAACTGCTGCGTGATGTGTGCGTTCAACTCTCAGAGTTTAACTTTTCTTTTCATTCAGCGGTTTGGAAACACTCTGTTTGTAAAGACTGCACGTGGATATTTTGACCACTTAGAGGCCTTCGTTGGAAACGGGATTTTTTCATGTAAGGCTAGACAGAAGAATTCCCAGTAACTTCCTTGTGTTGTGTGCATTCAACTCACAGAGTTGAACGTTCCCTTAGACAGAGCAGATTTGAAACACTCTATTTGTCCAATTTGCAAGTGTAGATTTCAAGCGCTTTAAGGTCAACGGCAGAAAAGGAAATATCTTCGTTTCAAAACTAGACAGAATCATTCCCACAAACTGCGTTGTGATGTGTTCGTTCAACCCACAGAGTTTAACCTTTCTGTTCATAGAGCAGTTAGGAAACACACTGTTTGTAAAGTATGAAAGTGGATATTCTGACATCTTGTGGCCTTCGTTGGAAACGGGATTTCTTCATATTCTGCTAGACAGAAGAATTCTCAGTAACTTCCTTGTGTTGTGTGTATTCAACTCACAGAATTGAACGATCCTTTACACAGAGCAGACTTGAAACACTCTTTTTGTGGAATTTGCAAGTGGAGATTTCAGCCGCTTTGAGGTCAATGGTAGAAAAGGAAATATCTTCGTATAGAAACAAGACAGAATGATTCTCAGAAACTTCATTGTGATGTGTGCGTTCAACTCACAGAGTTTAACCTTTCTTTTCATAGAGCAGTTAGGAAACACTCTGTTTGTAAACTCTGCAAGTCGATATTCACACCTCTTTGAGGCCTTCGTTGGAAACGGGATTTCTTCATACTGTGCTAGACAGAAGAATTCCCAGTAACTTCCTTGTGTTGTGTGTGTTCAACTCACAGAGTTGAACTTTCATTTACCCAGAGCAGATTTGAAACACTTTTTTTGTGGAATTTGCAAGTGGAGATTTCAAGCGCTTTGAGGCCAAAGGCAGAAAAGGAAATATCTTCGTTTCAAAACTAGACAGAATCATTCTCAGAAACTGCTGCGTGATGTGTGCGTTCAACTCTCAGAGATTAACTTTTCTTTTCATTCAGCGGTTTGGAAACACTCTGTTTGTAAAGTCTGCACGTGGATATTTTGACCACTTAGAGGCCTTCGTTGGAAACGGGTTTTTTTCATGTAAGGCTAGACAGAAGAATTCCCAGTAACTTCCTTGTGTTGTGTGCATTCAACTCACAGAGCTGAACGTTCCCTTAGACAGAGCAGATTTGAAACACTCTATTTGTGCAATTTGCAAGTGTAGATTTCAAGCGCTTTAAGGTCAACGGCAGAAAAGGAAATATCTTCGTTTCAAAACCAGACAGAATCATTCCCACAAACTGCGTTGTGATGTGTGCGTTCAACTCACAGAGTTCAACTTTTCTTTTCATAGAGCAGTTAGGAAACACTCTGTTTGTAAAGTCTGCAAGTGGATATTCAGACCTATTTGAGGCCTTCGTTGGAAACGGGATTTCTTCATATTCTGCTAGACAGAATAATTCTCAGTAACTTCCTTGTGTTGTGTGTATTCAACTCACAGAGTTGAATGATCCTTTACAGAGAGCAGACTTGAAACATTCTTTTTGTGGAATTTGCAAGTGGAGATTTCAGCCGCTTTGAGGTCAATGGTAGAAAAGGAAATATCTTCGTATAAAGACTAGACAGAATGATTCTCAGAAACTCCTTTGTGATGTGTGCGTTCAACTCACAGAGTTTAACTTTTCTTTTCATAGAGCAGTTAGGAAACACTCTGTTTGTAAAGTCTGCAAGTGGATATTCAGACCTCTTTGAGGCCTTCGTTGGAAATGGGATTTCTTCGTATTCTGCTAGACAGAAGAATTCTCAGTAACTTCCTTGTGTTGTGTGTATTCAACTGACAGAGTTGAACTTTCATTTAGAGAGAGCAGATTTGAAACACTGTTTTTGTGGAATTTGCAAGTGGAGATTTCAAGCGCTTTTGGGCCAAAGGCCGAAAAGGAAATATCTTCGTATAAAAACTAGACAGAATCATTCTCAGAAACTGTGGCGTGATGTGTGCGTTCAACTCTCAGAGTTTAACTTTTCTTTTCATTCAGCGGTTTGGAAACACTCTATTTGTAAAGTCTGCCCGTGGATATTTTGACCACTTAGAGGCCTTCGTTGGAAACGGGTTTTTTTCATGTAAGGCTAGACAGAAGAATTCCCAGTAACTTCCTTGTGTTGTGTGCATTCAACTTGCAGAGTTGAACGTTCCCTTAGACAGAGCAGATTTGAAACACTCTATTTGTGCAATTTGCAAGTGTAGATTTCAAGCGCTTTAAGGTCAATGGCAGAAAAGGAAATATCTTCGTTTCAAAACTAGACAGAAATCATTCCCACAAACTGCGTTGTGATGTGTTCGTTCAACTCACAGGAGTTTAACCTTTCTTTTCATAGAGCAGTTAGGAAACAGTCTGTTTGTCAATTCTGTAAGTGGATATTCTGACATCTTGTGGCCTTCGTTGGAAACGGGATTTCTTCATATTTGGCTAGACAGAAATAATTCTCAGTAACTTCCTTGTGTTGTGTGTATTCAACTCACAGAGTTGAAGGATCCTTTACAGAGAGCAGGCTTGAAACACTCTTTTTGTCGAATTTGCAAGTGGAGATTTCAGCCGCTTTGAGGTCAATGGTAGAATAGGAAATATCTTCTTATAGAAACTAGACAGAATGATTCTCAGAAACTCCTTTGAGATGTGTGTGTTCAACTCACAGTTTAACCTTTCTTTTCATAGAGCAGTTAGGAATCACTCTGTTTGTAAAGTCTGCAAGTGGATATTCAGACCTCTTTGAGGCCTTCGTTGGAAACGGGTTTTTTTCATATAAGGCTAGACAGAAGAATTCTCAGTAACTTCCTTGTGTTGTGTGTATTCAACTGACAGGGTTGAACTTTCATTTAGAGAGAGCAGATTTGAAACACTGTTTTTGTGGAATTTGCAAGTGGAGATTTCAAGCGCTTTGGGGCCAAAGGCAGAAAAGGAAATATCTTCGTATAAAAACTAGACAGAATCATTCTCAGAAACTGCTGCGTGATGTGTGCGTTCAACTCTCAGAGTTTAACTTTTCTTTTCATTCAGCGGTTTGGAAACACTCTGTTTGTAAAGTCTGCACGTGGAAATTTTGACCACTTAGAGGCCTTCGTTGGAAACGGGTTTTTTTCATGTAAGGCTAGACAGAAGAATTCCCAGTAACTTCCTTGTGTTGTGTGCATTCAACTCACAGAGTTGAACGTTCCCTTAGACAGAGCAGATTTGAAACACTCTATTTGTGCAATTTGCAAGTGTAGATTTCAAGCGCTTTAAGGTCAATGACAGAAAAGGAAATATCTTCGTTTCAAAACTAGACAGAATCATTCCCACAAACTGCGTTGTGATGTGTTCGTTCAACTCACAGAGTTTTACCTTTCTGTTCATAGAGCAGTTAGGAAACACTCTGTTTGTAAAGTCTGCAAGTGGATATTCAGACCTCCTTGAGACCTTCGTTGGAAACGGGATTTCTTCATATTCTGCTAGACAGAAGAATTCTCAGTAACTTCCTTGTGTTGTGAGTATTCAACTCACAGAGTTGAACGATCCTTTACACAGAGCAGACTTGAAACACTCTTTTTGTGGAATTTGCAAGAGGAGATTTCAGCCGCTTTGAGGTCAATGGTAGAAAAGGAAATATCTTCGTATAAAGACTAGACAGAATGATTCTCAGAAACTCCTTTGTGATGTGTGCGTTCAACTCACAGAGTTCAACCTTTCTTTTCATAGAGCAGTTGGGAAACACTCTGTTTGTAATGTCTGCAAGTGGATATTCAGACTTCCTTGAGGCCTTCGTTGGAAGCGGGATTTCTTCAAATTCTGCTAGACAGAATAATTCTCAGTAACTTCCTTGTGTTGTGTGTATTCAACTCACAGATTTGAACGATCCTTTACACAGAGCAGACTTGAAACATTCTTTTTGTGGAATTTGCAAGTGGAGATTTCAGCCGCTTTGAGGTCAATGGTAGAATAGGAAATATCTTCCTATAGAAACTAGACAGAATCATTCTCGGAAACTGCTCTGTGATGTGTGCGTTCAAGTCTCAGAGTTTAACTTTTCTTTTCATTCAGCAGTTTGGAAACACTCTGTTTGTAAAGTCTGCACGTGGATATTTTGACCACTTAAAGGCCTTCGTTGGAAACGTGTTTTTTTCCTGTAAGGCTAGACAGAAGAATTCCCAGTAACTTCCTTGTGTTGTGTACATTCAACTCACAGAGTTGAACGTTCCCTTAGACAGAGCAGATTTGAAACACTCTTTTTGTGCAATTGGCAAGTGGTGATTTCAGCCGCTTTGTGGTCAATGGTATAAAAGGAAATATCTTCGTATAAAAACTAGACAGAATCATTCTCAGAAACTGCTCTGCGATGTGTGCGTTCAACTCTCAGAGTTTAACTTTTCTTTTCATTCAGCAGTTTGGAAACACTCTGTTTCTAAAGTCTGCACGTGGATAACTTGACCACTTAGAGGCCTTCTTTGGAAACGGGTTTTTTTCCTGTAAGGCTAGACAGAAGAATTCCCAGTAACTTCCTTGTGTTGTGTACATTCAACTCACAGAGTTGAACCGTTCCCTTAGACAGAGCAGATTTGAAACACTCTTTTTGTGCAATTGGCAAGTGCTGATTTCAGCCGCTTTGAAGTCAATGGTAGAAAAGGAAATATCTTCGTATAAAAACTAGACAGAATGATTCTCAGAAACTTCATTGTGATGTGTGCCGTTCAACTCACAGAGTTTAACCTTTCTTTTCATAGAGCAGTTAGGAAACACTCTGTTTGTAAACTCTGCAAGTGGATATTCAGACCTCTTTGAGGCCTTCGTTGGAAACGGGATTTCTTCATACTGTGCTAGACAGAAGAATTCTCAGTAACTTCATTGTGTTGTGTGTATTCAACTCACAGATTTCAACGATCCTTTACACAGAGCAGACTTGAAATACTCTTTTTATGGAATTTGCAAGTGGAGATTTCAGCCGCTTTGAGGTCAATGTAGAATAGGAAATATCTTCCTATAGAAATTAGACAGAATCATTCTCAGAAACTGCTGCGTGATGTGTGCGTTCAACTCTCAGAGTTTAACTTTTCTTTTCATTCAGCGGTTTGGAAACACTCTGTTTGTAAAGTCTGCACGTGGATATTTTGACCACTTAGAAGCCTTCGTTGGAAACGGGTTTTTTTCATGTAAGGCTAGACAGAAGAATTCCCAGTAACTTCCTTGGGTTGTGTACATTCAACTCACAGAGTTGAACGTTCCCTTAGACAGAGCAGATTTGAAACACTCTTTTTGTGCAATTGGCAAGTGGAGATTTCAAGCGCTTTAAGGTCAATGGCAGAAAAGGAAATATCTTCGTTTCAAAACTAGACAGAATCATTCCCACAAACTGTGTTGTGATGTGTTCGTTCAACTCACAGAGTTTAACCTTTCTTTTCATAGAGCAGTTAGGAAACACTCTGTTGGTAAATTCTGTAAGTGGATATTCTGACATCTTGTGGCCTTCGTTGGAAACGGGATTTCTTCATATTCTGCTACACAGAAGAATTCTCAGTAACTTCCTTGTGTTGTGTGTATTCAACTCACAGAGTTGAACGATCCTTTACACAGAGCAGACTTGAAACACTCTTTTTGTGGAATTTGCAAGTGGAGATTTCAGCCGTTTTGAGGTCAATGGTAGAAAAGGAAATATCTTCGTATAAAGACTAGACAGAATGATTCTAAGAAAATCTTTTGTGATGTGTGCGTTCAACTCACAGAGTTTAACTTTTCTTCTCATAGAGCAGTTAGGAAACACTCTGTTTGTAAAGTGTGCAAGTGGATATTCAGACCTCTTTGAGGCCTTCGTTGGAAACGGGATTTCTTCATATTATGCTAGACAGAAGAATTCCCAGTAACTTCCTTGTGTTGTGTGTGTTCAACTCACAGAGTTGAACTTTCATTTACACAGAGCAGATTTGAAACACTCTTTTTGTGGAATTTGCAAATGGAGATTTCAAGCGCTTTGAGGCCAAAGGCAGAAAAGGAAATATCTTCGTTTCAAAACTAGACAGAATCATTCTCAGAAACTGCTCTGCGATGTGTTCGTTCAACTCTCAGAGTTTAACTTTTCTTTTCATTCAGCAGTTTGGAAACACTCTGTTTGTAAAGTCTGCACGTGCATAATTTGACCACTTAGAGGCCTTCGTTGGAAACGGGTTTTTTTTCATGTAAGGCTAGACAGAAGAATTCCCAGTAACTTCCTTGCGTTGTGTACATTCAACTCACAGAGTTGAACGTTCCCTTAGACAGAGCAGATTTGAAACACTCTTTTTGTGCAATTGGCAAGTGGAGATTTCAAGCGCTTTAAGGTCAATGGCAGAAAAGGAAATATCTTCGTTTCAAAACTAGACAGAATCATTCCCAAAAACTGCGTTGTGATGTGTTCGTTCATCTCACAGAGTTTAACCTTTCTTTTCATAGAGCAGTTAGGAAACAGTCTGTTTGTAAATTCTGTAAGTGGATATTCTGACATCTTGTGGCCTTCGTTGGAAACGGGATTTCTTCATATTCTGCTAGACAGAAGAATTCTCAGTAACTTCCTTGTGTTGTGTGTATTCAACTCATAGAGGTGAACGATCCTTTACACAGAACAGACTTGAAACACTCTTTTTGTGGAATTTGCAAGTGGAGATTTCAGCCGCTTTGAGTTCAATGGTTGAATAGGAAATATCTTCCTATAGAAACTAGACAGAATGATTCTCAGAATCTCCTTTGTGATGTGTGCGTTCAACTCACAGAGTTTAACCTTTCTTTTCATAGAGCATTTAGGAAACACTCTGTTTGTAAAGTCTGCAAGTGGATATTCAGACCTCCTTGAGGCCTTCGTTGGAAACGGGATTTCTTCATATTATGCTAGACAGAAGAATTCTCAGTAACTTCCTTTTGTTGTGTGTATTCAACTGACAGAGTTGAACCTTCCCTTAGACAGAGCAGATTTGAAACACTCTTTTTGTGGAGTTTGCAAGTGGAGATTTAAAGCGCTTTGAGGCCAAAGGCAGAAAAGGAAATATCTTCGTATAAAAACTAGACAGAATCATTCTCAGAAACTGCTGCGTGATGTGTGCGTTCAACTCTCAGAGTTTAACTTTTCTTTTCATTCAGCGGTTTGGAAACACTCTGTGTGTAAAGTCTGCACGTGGATATTTTGACCACTTAGAGGCCTTCGTTGGAAACGGGTTTTTTTCATGTAAGGCTAGACAGAAGAATTCCCAGTAACTTCCTTGTGTTGTGTGCATTCAACTCACAGAGTTGAACGTTCCCTTAGACAGAGCAGATTTGAAACACTCTATTTGTGCAATTTGCAAGTGTAGATTTCAAGCGCTTTAAGGTCAACGGCAGAAAAGGAAATATCTTCGTTTCAAAACTAGACAGAATGATTCTCAGAAACTCCTTTGTGATGTGTGCGTTCAACTCACAGAGTTTAACCTTTCTTTTCGTAGAGCAGGTAGGAAACACTCTGTTTGTAAAGTCTGCAAGTGGATATTCAGACCTCTTTGAGGCCTTCGTTGGAAATGGGATTTCTTCATATTCTGCTAGACAGAATAATTCTCAGTAACTTCCTTGTGTTGTGTGTATTCAACTCACAGATTTGAACGATCCTTTACAGAGAGCAGACTTGAAACACTCTTTTTGTCGAATTTGCAAGTGGAGATTTCAGCCGCTTTGAGGTCAATAGTAGAAAAGGAAATATCTTCGTAGAAAAACTAGACAGAATGATTCTCAGAAACTGCTTTGTGATGTGTGCGTTCAACTCACAGAGTTTAACCTTTCTTTTCATAGAGCAGTTGGGAAACACTCTGTTGGTAAAGTCTGCATGTGGATATTCAGACATCCTTGAGGCTTTCGTTGGAAACGGGATTTCTTCATATTCTGCTAGAAAGAAGAATTCTCAGTAACTTCCTTGTGTTGTGTGTGTTCAACTCACAGAGTTGAACTTTCATTTACACAGAGCAGATTGGAAACACTCTTTTTGTGGAATTTGCAAGTGGAGATTTCAAGCGCTTTGAGGCCAAAGGCAGAAAAGGAAATATCTTCGTATAAAAACTAGACAGAGTCATTCTCAGAAACTGCTCTGTGATGTGTGCGTTCAACTGTCATAGTTTAACTTTTCTTTTCATTCAGCAGTTTGGAAACACTCTGTTTGTAAAGTTTGCACGTGGACATTGTGACCACTTAGAGGCCTTTGTTGGAAACGGGTTTTTTTCATGAAAGGCTAGACAGAAGAATTCCCAGTAACTTCCTTGTGTTCTGTGCACTCAACTCACAGAGATGAACGTTCCCTTAGACAGAGCAGATTTGAAACACTCTATTTGTGCAATTTGCAAGTGTAGATTTCAAGCGCTTTAAGGTCAATGGCAGAAAAGGAAATATTTTCGTTTCAAAACTAGACAGAATGATTCTCACAAACTCCTTTGTGATGTGTGCGTTCAACTCACAGAGTTTAACCTTTCTTTTCATAGAGCAGTTAGGAAACACTCTGTTTGTAAAGTCTGCAAGTGGATATTCAGACCTCTTTGAGGCCTTCGTTGGAAACGGGATTTCTTCATATTCTGCTAGACAGAAGAATTCTCAGTAACTTCCTTGTGTTGTGTTTATTCAACTCACAGAGTTGAATGATCCTTTACACAGAGCAGACTTGAAACACTCTTTTTGTGGAATTTGCAAGTGGAGATTTCAGCCGCTTTGAGGTCAATGGTAGAAAAGGAAATATCTTCGTATAAAGACTAGACAGAATGATTCTCAGAAACTCCTTTGTGATGTGTGCGTTCAACTCACAGAGTTTAACCTTTCTTTTCATAGAGCAGTTAAAAACACTCTGTTTGTAAAGTCTGCAAGTGGATATTCAGACCTCTTTGAGGCCTTCATTGGAAACGGGTTTTTTTCATATAAGGCTAGACAGAAGAATTCCCAGTAACTTCCTTGTGTTGTGTGTGTTCAACTCACAGAGTTGAACTTTCATTTACACAGAGCAGATTTGAAACACTCTTTTTGTGGAATTTGCAAATGGAGATTTCAAGCGCTTTGAGGCCAAAGGCAGAAAAGGAAATGTCTTCGTTTCAAAACTAGACAGAATCATTCTCAGAAACTGCTCTGCGATGTGTGCGTTCAACTCTCAGAGTTTAACTTTTCTTTTCATTCAGCAGTTTGGAAACACTCTGTTTGTAAAGTCTGCACGTGGATAACTTGACCAGTTAGAGGCCTTCGTTGGAAACGGGTTTTTTTCCTGTAAGGCTAGACAGAAGAATTCCCAGTAACTTCCTTGTGTTGTGTGCATTCAACTCACAGAGTTGAACGTTCCCTTAGACAGAGCAGATTTGAAACACTCTATTTGTGCAATTTGCAAGTGTAGTTTTCAAGCTCTTTAAGGTCAACGGCAGAAAAGGAAATATCTTCGTTTCAAAACTAGACAGAATCATTCCCACAAACTGCGTTGTGATGTGTTCGTTCAACTAACAGAGTTTAACCTTTCTTTTCATAGAGCAGTTAGGAAACAGTCTGTTTGTCAATTCTGTAAGTGGATATTCTGACATCTTGTGGCCTTCGTTGGAAACGGGATTTCTTCATATTCTACTAGACAGAAGAATTCCCAGTAACTTCCTTGTGTTGTGTGTGTTCAACTCACAGAGTTGAACTTTCATTTACACAGAGCAGATTTGAAACACTCTTTTTGTGGAATTTGCAAATGGAGATTTCAGCCGCGTTGAGGCCAATGGTAGAAAAGGAAATATCTTCGTTTCAAAACTAGACAGAATGATTCTCAGAAACTCCTTTGTGATGTGTGCGTTCAACTCACACAGTTTAACCTTTCTTTTCATAGAGCAGTTAGGAAACACTCTGTTTGTAAAGTCTGCAAGTGGATATTCAGACCTCCTTGAGGCCTTCGTTGGAAACGGGATTTCTTCATATTCTGCTAGAAAGAAAAATTCTCAGAATCTTCCTTGTGTTGTGTGTATTCAACTCACAGAGTTGAACGATCCTTTACACAGAGCAGATTTGAAACACTCTTTTTGTGGAATTTGCAAGTGGAGATTTCAAGCGCTTTGAGGCTAAAGGCAGAAAAGGAAATATCTTCGTATAACAACTAGACAGAATCATTCTCAGAAACTGCTCTGCGATGTGTGCGTTCAACTCTCAGAGTTTAACTTTTCTTTTCATTCAGCAGTTTGGAAACACTCTGTTTGTAAAGTCTGCACGTGGATATTTTGACCATTTAGAGGCCTTCGTTGGAAACGGGTTTTTTTCTTGTAAGGCTAGACAGAAGAATTCCCAGGAACTTCCTTGTGTTGTGTACATTCAACTCACAGAGTTGAACGTTCCCTTAGACAGAGCAGATTTGAAACACTCTTTTTGTGCAATTGGCAAGTGGTGATTTCAGCAGCTTTGAGGTCAATGGTAGAAAAAGAAATATCTTCGTATAAAAACTAGACAGAATCATTCCCACAAACTGCGTTGTGAGGTGTTCGTTCAACTCACAGAGTTTAACCTTTCTTTTCATAGAGCAGTTAGGAAACAGTCTGTTTGTAAATTCTGTAAGTGGATATTCTGACATCTTGTGGCCTTCGTTGGAAACGGGATTTCTTCATATTCTGCTAGACAGAAGAATTCTCAGAAACTTTCCTTGTGTTGTGTGTATTCAACTCACAGAGTTGAACGATCGTTTACACAGAGCAGACTTGAGACACTCTTTTTGTGGAATTTGTAAGTGGAGATTTCAGCCGCTTTGAGGTCAATGGTAGAAAAGGAAATATCTTCATATATAAACCAGACAGAATGATTCTCAGAAACTCCTTTGTGATGTGTGTGTTCAACTCACAGAGTTTAACCTTTCTTTTCATAGAACAGTTAGTAAACACTCTGTTTTTAAAGTCTGCAAGTGGATATTCAGACCCCTTTGAGGCCTTCGTTGGAAACGGGATTTCTTCATATTCTGCTAGACAGAAGAATTCCCAGTAACTTCCTTGTGTTGTGTGTGTTCAACTCACAGAGTTGAACTTTCATTTACACAGAGCAGATTTGAAACACTCTTTTTGTGGAATTTGCAAATGGAGATTTCAAGCGCTTGGAGGCCAAAGGCAGAAAAGGAAATATCTTCGTATAAAAACTAGACAGAATCATTCTCAGAAACTGCTCTGCGATGTGTGCGTTCAACTCTCAGAGTTTAACTTTTCTTTTCATTCAGCAGTTTGGAAACACTCTGTTTGTAAAGTCTGCACGTGGATAATTTGACCACTTACAGGCCTTCGTTGGAAACGGGTTTTTTTCATGTAAGGCTAGACAGAAGAATTCCCAGTAACTTCCTTGTGTTGTGTACATTCAACTCACAGAGTTGAACGTTCCCTTAAACAGAGCAGATTTGAAACACTCTTTTTGTGCAATTGGCAAGTGGAGATTTCAAGCGCTTTGAGGTCAATGGCAGAAAAGGAAATATCTTCGTTTCAAAACTAGACAGAATGATTCTCAGAAACTCCTTTGTGATGTGTGCGTTCAACTCACAGAGTTTAACCTTTCTTTTCATAGAGCAGTTAGGAAACACTCTGTTTGTAAAGTCGGCAAGTGGATATTCAGTCCTCATTGAGGCCTTCGTTGGAAACGGGATTTCTTCATATTCTGCTAGACAGAAGAATTCTCAGTAACTTCCTTGTGTTGTGTGTATTCAACTCACAGAGTTGAACGATCCTTTACACAGAGCAGACTTGAAACACACTTTTTGTGGATTTTGCAAGTGGAGATTTCAGCCTCTTTGAGATCAATGGTAGAATAGGAAATATCTTCCTATAGAAACTAGACAGAATGATTGTCAGAAACTCCTTTGTGATGTGTGCGTTCAACTCACAGAGTTTAACCATTCCTTTCATAGAGCAGTTAGGAAACACTCTGTTTGTAAAGTCTGCAAGTGGATATTCAGACATCTTTGAGGCCTTCGTTGGAAACGGGATTTCTTCATATTCTGCTAGACAGAAGAATTCTCAGTAACTTCCTTGTGTTGTGTGTATTCAACTGACAGAGTTGAACTTTCATTTAGAGAGAGCAGATTTGAAACACTGTTTTTGTGGAATTTGCAAGTGGTGACTTCAAGCGCTTTGGGGCCAAACGCAGAAAAGGAAATATCTTCGTATAAAAACTAGACAGAATCATTCTCAGAAACTGCTCTGCGATGTGTGCGTTCAAGTCTCAGAGTTTAACTTTTCTTTTCATTCAGCAGTTTGGAAACACTCTGTTTGTAAAGTCTGCACGTGGATATTTTGACCACTTAGAGGCCTTCGTTGGAAACGGGTTTTTTTCCTGTAAGGCTAGACAGAAGAATTCGCAGTAACTTCCTTGTGTTGTGTACATTCAACTCACAGAGTTGAACGTTCCCTTAGACAGAGCAGATTTGAAACACTCTTTTTGTGCAATTGGCAAGTGGAGATTTCAAGCGCTTTAAGGTCAATGGCAGAAAAGGAAATATCTTCGTTTCAAAACTAGACAGAATGATTCCCAGAAAATCCTTTGTGATGTGTGCGTTCAACTCACAGAGTTTAACTTTTCTTTTCATAGAACAGTTAGGAAACACTCTGTTTGTAAAGTCTGCAAGTGGATATTCAGACCTCTTTGAGGCCTTCGTTGGAAACGGGATTTCTTCATATTATGCTATAAAGAAGAATTCTCAGTAACTTTCCTTGTGTTGTGTGTATTCAACTCACAGAGTTGAACGATCCTTTACAGAGAGCAGACTTGAAACACTCTTTTTGTGGAATTTGCAAGTGGAGATTTCAGCCGCTTTGAGGTCAATGGTAGAATAGGAAATATCTTCCAATAGAAACTAGACAGAATGATTCTCAGAAACTTCTTTGTGATGTGTGCGTTCAACTCACACAGTTTAACCTTTCTTTTCATAGAGCAGTTAGGAAACACTCTGTTTGTAAAGTCTGCAAGTGGATATTCACACCTCCTTGAGGCCTTCGTTGGAAACGGGATTTCTTCATATTATGCTAGACAGAAGAATTCCCAGTAACTTCCTTGTGTTGTGTGTGTTCAACTCACAGAGTTGAACTTTCATTTACACAGAGCAGATTTGAAACACTCTTTTTGTGGAATTTCAAGTGGAGATTTCAAGCGCTTTGAGGCCAAAGGCAGAAAAGGAAATATCTTCGTATAAAAACTAGACAGAATGATTCTCAGAAACTCCTTTGTGATGTGTGCGTTCAACTCACAGAGTTTAACCTTTCTTTTCATTCACCAGTTTGGAAACACTCTGTTTGTAAAGTCTGCACGTGGATATTTTGACCACTTAGAGGCCTTCGTTGGAAACGGGTTTTTTTCCTGTAAGGCTAGACAGAAGAATTCCCAGTAACTTCCTTGTGTTGTGTGCAATCAAATCACAGAGTTGAACGTTCCCTTAGACAGAGTAGATTTGAAACACTCTATTTGTGCAATTTGCAAGTGTAGATTTCAAGCGCTTTAAGGTCAAAGGCAGAAAAGGAAATATCTTCGTTTCAAAACTAGACAGAATCATTCCCACAAACTGCGTTGTGATGTGTTCGTTCAACTCACAGCAGTTTAACCTTTCTTTTCATAGAGCAGTTAGGAAACAGTCTGTTTGTAAATTCTGTAAGTGGATATTCTGACATCTTGTGGCCTTCGTTGGAAAAGGGATTTCTTCATATTCTGCTAGACAGAATAATTCTCAGTAACTTCCTTGTGTTGTGTGCATTCAACTCACAGAGTTGAACGATCCTTTACAGAGAGCAGACTTGAAACACTCTTTTTGTGGAATTTGCAAGTGGAGATTTCAGCCGCTTTGAGGTCAATGGTAGAATAGGAAATATCTTCCTACAGAAACTAGACAGAATGATTCTCATAAACTCCTTTGTGATGTGTGCGTTCAACTCACAGAGTTTAACCTTTCTTTTCATAGAGCAGTTAGGAAACACTCTGTTTGTAAAGTCTGCAAGTGGATATTCAGACCTCTTTGAGGCCTTCGTTGGAAACGGGATTTCTTCATATTCTGCTAGACAGAAGAATTCTCAGTAACTTCCTTGTGTTGTGTGTATTCAACTCACAGAGTTGAACGATCCTTTACACAGAGCATACTTGAAACACTCTTTTTGTGGAATTTGCAAGTGGAGATTTCAGCCGCTTTGAGGTCAATTGTAGAAAAGGAAATATCTTCGTAGAAAAACTAGACAGAATCATTCTCAGAAAGTGCTCTGCGATGTGTGCGTTCAACTCTCAGAGTTTAACTTTGCTTTTCATTCAGCAGTTTGGAAACACTCTGTTTGTAAAGTCTGCACGTGGATAATTTGACCACTTAGAGGCCTTCGTTGGAAACGGGTTTTTTTCATGTAAGGCTAGACAGAAGAATTCCCAGTAACTTCCTTGTGTTGTGTGCATTCAACTCACAGAGTTGAACGTTCCCTAGACGGAGCAGATTTGAAACACTCTATTTGTGCAATTTGCAAGTGTAGATTTCAAGCGCTTTAAGGTCAATGGCAGAAAAGGAAATATCTTCGTTTCAAAACTAGACAGAATCATTCCCACAAACTGCGTTGTGATGTGTTCGTTCATCTCACAGAGTTTAACCTTTCTTTTCGTAGAGCAGTTAGGAAACAGTCTGTTTGTAAATTCTGTAAGTGGATATTCTGACATCTTGTGGCCTTCGTTGGAAACGGGATTTCTTCATATTGCTGCTAGACAGAAGAATTCTCAGTAACTTCCTTGTGTTGTCTGTATTCAACTCACAGAGTTGAACGATCCTTTACACAGAGCAGACTTGAAACACACTTTTTGTGGAATTTGCAAGTGGAGATTTCAGCCGCTTTGAGGTCAATGGTAGAATAGGAAATATCTTCCTATAGAAACTAGACAGAATGATTCTCAGAAACTCCTTTGTGATGTGTACGTTCAACTCACAGAGTTTAACCTTTCTTTTCATAGAGCAGTTAGGAAACACTCTGTTTGTAAAGTCTGCAAGTGGATATTCCGACATCCTTGAGGCTTTCGTTGGAAACGGGATTTCTTCATATTCTGCTAGAAAGAAGAATTCCCAGTAACTTCCTTGTGTTGTGTGTGTTCAACTCACAGAGTTGAACTTTCATTTACACACAGCAGATTTGAAACACTCTTTTTGTGGAATTTGCAAATGGAGATTTCAAGCGCTTTGAGGCCAAAGGCAGAAAAGGAAATATCTTCGTATAAAAACTAGACAGAATCATTCTCAGAAACTGCTCTGCGATGTGTGCGTTCAACTCTCAGAGTTTAACTTTGCTTTTCATTCAGCAGTTTGGAAACACTCTGTTTGTAAAGTCTGCACGTGGATAATTTGACCACTTAGAGGCCTTCGTTGGAAACGGGTTTTTTTCATGTAAGGCTAGACAGAAGAATTCCCAGCAACTTCCTTGTGTTGTGTGCATTCAACTCACAGAGTTGAACGTTCCCTTAGACAGAGCAGATTTGAAACACTCTATTTGTGCAATTTGCAAGTGTAGATTTCAAGCCCTTTAAGGTCAATGGCAGAAAAGGAAATATCTTCGTTTCAAAACTAGACAGAATCATTCTCAGAAACTGCTCTGCGATGTGTGCGTTCAACTCTCCGAGTTTAACTTTTCTTTTCATTCAGCAGTTTGGAAACACTCTGTTTGTAAAGTCTGCACGTGGATAATTTGACCACTTAGAGGCCTTCGTTGGAAACGGTTTTTTTTCATGTAAGGCTAGACAGAAGAATTCTCAGTAACTTCCTTGTGTTGTGTGTATTCAACTCACAGAGTTGAACGATCCTTTACACAGACCAGACTTGTAACACTCTTTTTGTGGAATTTGCAAGTGGAGATTTCAGCCGCTTTGAAGTCAAAGGTAGAAAAGGAAATATCTTCGTATAAAAACTAGACAGAATGATTCTCAGAAACTCCTTTGTGATGTGTGTGTTCAACTCACAGAGTTTAACCTTTCTTTTCATAGAGCAGTTAGTAAACACTCTGTTTGTACAGTCTGAAAGTGGATATTCAGACCCCTTTGAGGCCTTCGTTGGAAAAGGGATTTCTTCATATTATGCTAGACAGAAGAATTCCCAGTAACTTCCTTGTGTTGTGTGTGTTCAACTCACAGAGTTGAACTTTCATTTACACAGAGCAGATTTGAAACACTCTTTTTGTGGAATTTGCAAGTGGAGATTTCAAGCGCTTTGAGGCCAAAGGCAGAAAAGGAAATATCTTCGTTTGAAAACTAGACAGAAATGATTCTCAGAAACTCCTTTGTGATGTGTGCGTTCAACTCACAGAGTTTAACCTTTCTTTTCATGGAGCTGTTAGGAAACACTCTGTTTGTAAAGTCTGCAAGTGGATATTCAGACCTCTTTGAGGCCTTCGTTGGAAACGGGTTTTTTTCATATAAGGCTAGACAGAAGAATTCCCAGTAACTTCCTTGTGTTGTGTACATTCAACTCACAGAGTTGAACGTTCCCTTAGACAGAGCAGATTTGAAATACTCTTTTTGTGCAATTGGCAAGTGGAGATTTCAAGCGCTTTAAGGTCAATGGCAGAAAAGGAAATATCTTCGTTTCAAAACTAGACAGAATCATTCCCACAAACTGCGTTGTGATGTGTTCGTTCAACTCACAGAGTTTAACCTTTCTTTTCATAGAGCAGTTAGGAAACACTCTGTTTGTAAATTCTGTAAGTTGATATTCTGACATCTTGTGGCCTTCGTTGGAAACTGGATTTCTTCATATTCTGCTAGACAGAAGAATTCTCAGAATCTTTCCTTGTGTTGTGTGTATTCAACTCACAGAGTTGAACGATGGTTTACACAGAGCAGATTTGAAACACTCTTTTTGTGGAATTTGCAAGTGGAGATTTCAGCCGCTTTGAGGTCAATGGTAGAAAAGGAAATATCTTCGTATAAAAACTAGACAGAATGATTCTCAGAAACTCCTTTGTGATGTGTGCGTTCACCTCACAGAGTTTAACCTTTCTTTTCATAGAGCAGTTAGGAAACACTCTGTTTGTAAAGTCTGCAAGTGGATATTCAGACCTCTTTGAGGCCTTCGTTGGAAACGGGATTTCTTCATATTATGCTAGACAGAAGAATTCCCAGTAACTTCCCTTGTGTTGTGTGTATTCAACTCACAGAGTTGAACTTTCATTTACACAGAGCAGATTTGAAACACTCTTTTTGTGGAATTTGCAAATGGAGATTTCAAGCGCTTTGAGGCCAAAGGCAGAAAAGGAAATATCTTCGGTATAAAAACTAGACAGAATCATTCTCAGAAACTGCTCTGTGATGTGTGCGTTCAACTCTCAGAGTTTAACTTTTCTTTTCATTCAGCAGTTTGGAAACACTCTGTTTGTAAAGTCTGCACGTGGATAATTTGACCACTTAGAGGCCTTCATTGGAAACGGGTTTTTTTCATGTAAGGCTAGACAGAAGAATTCCCAGTAACTTCCTTGTGTTGTGTACATTCAACTCACAGAGTTGAACGTTCCCTTAGACAGAGCAGATTTGAAACACTCTTTTTGTGCAATTGGCAAGTGGAGATTTCAAGCGCTTTAAGGTCAATGGCAGAAAAGGAAATATCTTCGTTTCAAAACTAGACAGAATGATTCTCAGAAACTCCTTTGTGATGTGTGCGTTCAACTCACAGAGTTTAAACTTTCTTTTCATAGAGGAGTTAGGAAACACTCTGTTTGTAAAGTCTGCAAGCGGATATTCAGACCTCTTTGAAGCCTTCGTTGGAAACGGGATTTCTTCATATTCTGCTAGACAGAAGAATTCTCAGTAACTTCCTTGTGTTGTGTGTATTCAACTCACAGAGATGAACGATCCTTTACACAGAGCAGACTTGAAACACTCCTTTTGTGGAATTTGCAAGTGGAGATTTCAGCCGCTTTGAGGTCAATGGTAGAAAAGGAAACTATCTTCGTATAAAGACTAGACAGAATGATTCTCAGAAACTCCTTTGTGATGTGTGTGTTCAACTCACAGAGTTTAACCTTTCTTTTCATAGAGCAGTTAGGAAACACTCTGTTTGTAAAGTCTGTAAGTGGATATTCAGACCTCTTTGAGGCCTTCGTTGGAAACGGGTTTTTTTCATATAAGGCTAGACAGAAGAATTCCCAGTAACTTCCTTGTGTTGTGTGTGTTCAACTCACAGAGTTGAACTTTCATTTACACAGAGCAGATTTGAAACACTCTTTTTGTGGAATTTGCAAATGGAGATTTCAAGCGCTTTGAGGCCAAAGGCAGAAAAGGAAATATCTTCGTATAAAAACTTGACAGAATCATTCTAAGAAACTGCTCTGTGATGTGTGTGTTCAACTCTCAGAGTTTAACTTTTCTTTTCCTTCAGCAGTTTGGAAACACTCTGTTTGTAAAGTCTGCACGTGGATAATTTGACCACTTAGAGGCCTTCGTTGGAAACGGGTTTTTTTCATGTAAGGCTAGACAGAAGAATTCCCAGTAACTTCCTTGTGTTGTGTACATTCAACTCACAGAGTTGAACGTTCCCTTAAACAGAGCAGATTTGAAACACTCTTTTTGTGCAATTGGCAAATGGAGATTTCAAGGGCTTTAAGGTCAATGGCAGAAAAGGAAATATCTTCGTTTCAAAACTAGACAGAACGATTCTCAGAAACTCCTTTGTGATGTGTGCGTTCAACTCACAGAGTTTAACCTTTCTTTTCATAGAGCAGTTAGGAAACACTCTGTTTGTAAAGTCTGCAAGTGGATATTCAGACCTCTTTGAGGCCTTCGTTGGAAACGGGATTTCTTCATTTTCTGCTAGACAGAAGAATTCTCAGTAACTTCCTTGTGTTGTGTGTATTCAACTCACAGAGTTGAACGATCCTTTACACAGAGCAGACTTGAAACACTCTTTTTGTGGAATTTGCAAGTGGAGATTTCAGCCGCTTTGTGGTCAACGGTAGAAAAGGAAATATCTTCGTATAAAGACTAGACAGAATGATTCTCAGAAACTCCTTTGTGATGTGTGTGTTCAACTCACAGAGTTTAACCTTTCTTTTCATAGAGCAGTTAGTAAACACTCTGTTTATAAAGTCTGCAAGTGGATATTCAGACCCCTTTGAGGCCTTCGTTGGAAACGGGATTTCTTCATCTTATGCTAGACAGAAGAATTCTCAGTAACTTCCTTGTGTTGTGTGTATTCAACTGACAGAGTTGAACTTTCATTTAGACAGAGCAGATTTGAAACACTCTTTTTGTGGAATTTGCAAGTGGAGATTTCAAGCGCTTTGAGGCCAAAGGCAGAAAAGGAAATATCTTTGTATAAAAACTAGATAGAATCATTCTCAGAAACTGCTCTGCGATGTGTGCGTTCAACTCTCAGAGTTTAACTTTTCTTTTCATTCAGCAGTTTGGAAACACTCTGTTTATAAAGTCTGCACGTGGATATTTTGACCACTTAGAGGCCTTCGTTGGAAACGGGTTTTTTTCCTGTAAGGCTAGACAGAATAATTCCCAGTAACTTCCTTGTGTTGTGTACATTCAACTCACAGAGTTGAACGTACCCTTAGACAGAGCAGATTTGAAACACTCTTTTTGTGCAATTGGCAAGTGGAGATTTCAAGCGCTTTAAGGTCAATGGCAGAAAAGGAAATTTCTTCGTTTCAAAACTAAACAGAATCATTCCCACAAACTGCGTTGTGATGTGTTCGTTCAACTCACAGAGTTTAACCTTTCTTTTCATAGAGCAGTTAGGAAACAGTCTGTTTGTAAATTCTGTAAGTGGATATTCTGACATCTTGTGGCCTTCGTTGGAAACGGGATTTCTTCATATTCTGCTAGACAGAAGAATTCTCAGTAACTTCCTTGTGTTGTGTGTATTCAACTCACAGAGTTGAACGATCCTTTACACAGAGCAGACTTAAAACACTCTTTTTGTGGAATTTGCAAGTGGAGATTTCAGCCGCTTTGAGGTCAATAGTAGAAAAGGAAATATCTTCGTAGAAAAACTAGACAGAATGATTCTCAGAATCTCCTTTGTGATGTGTGCGTTCAACTCACAGAGTTTAACCTTTCTTTTCATAGAGCAGTTAGGAAACACTCTGTTTGTAAAGTCTGCAAGTGGATATTCAGACCTCTTTGTGGCCTTCGTTGGAAACGGGTTTTTTTCATATAAGGCTAGACAGAAGAATTTTCAGTAACTTCCTTGTGTTGTGTGTATTCAACTCACAGAGTTGAACGATCCTTTACAGAGAGCAGACTTGAAACACTCTTTTTGTGGAATTTGCAAGTGGAGATTTCAGCCGCTTTGAGGTCAATGGTGGAATAGGAAATATCTTCCTATAGAAACTAGACAGAATCATTCTCAGAATCTGCAGCGTGATGTCTGCGTTCAACTCTCAGAGTTTAACTTTTCTTTTCATTCAGCGGTTTGGAAACACTCTGTTTGTAAAGTCTGCACGTGGATATTTTGACCACTTAGAGGCCTTCGTTGGAAACGGGTTTTTTTCATGTAAGGCTAGACAGAAGAATTCCCAGTAACTTCCTTGTGTTGTGTACATTCAACTCACAGAGTTGAACGTTCCCTTAGACAGAGCAGATTTGAAACACTCTTTTTGTGCAATTGGCAAATGGAGATTTCAAGCGCTTTAAGGTCAATGGCAGAAAAGGAAATATCTTCGTTTCAAAACTAGACAGAATCATTCCCACAAACTGCGTTGTGATGTGTTCGTTCATCTCACAGAGTTTAACCTTTCTTTTCATAGAGCAGTTAGGAAACAGTCTGTTTGAAAATTCTGTAAGTGGATATTCTGACATCTTGTGGCCTTCGTTGGAAACGGGATTTCTTCATATTCTGCTAGACAGAAGAATACTGAGTAACTTCCGCGTGTTGTGTGTATTCAACTCACAGAGTTGAACGATCCTTTACACAGAGCAGACTTGAAACACTCTTTTTGTGGAATTTGCAAGTGGAGATTTCAGCCGCTTTGAGGTCAATGGTAGAAAAGGAAATATCTTCATATAAAAACTAGACAGAATGATTCTCAGAAACTCCTTTGTGATGTGTGCGTTCAACTCACAGAGTTTAACTTTTCTTTTCAAAGAGCAGTTAGGAAACACTCTCTTTGTAAAGTCTGCAAGTGGATATTCAGACCTCTTTGAGGCCTTCGTTGGAAACGGGATTTCTTCATATTCTGCTAGACAGAAGAATTCCCAGTAACTTCCTTGTGTTGTGTGTGTTCAACTCACAGAGTGGAACTTTCATTTACACAGAGCAGATTTGAAACACTCTTTTTGTGGAATTTGCAAGTGGAGATTTCAAGCGCTTTGAGGCCAAAGGCAGAAAAGGAAATATCTTCGTTTCAAAACTAGACAGAATCATTCTCAGAAACTGCTGCGTGATGTGTGCGATCAACTCTCAGAGTTTAACTTTTCTTTTCATTCAGCGGTTTGGAAACACTCTGTTTGTAAAGTCTGCACGTGGATATTTTGACCACTTAGAGGCCTTCGTTGGAAACGGGTTTTATTCATGTAAGGCTAGACAGAAGAATTCCCAGTAACTTCCTTGTGTTGTGTGCATTCAACTCACAGAGTTGAACGTTCCCTTAGACAGAGCAGATTTGAAACACTCTATTTGTGCAATTTGCAAGTGTAGATTTCAAGCGCTTTAAGGTCAATGGCAGAAAAGGAAATTTCTTCGTTTCAAAACTAGACAGAATCATTCCCACAAACTGCGTTGTGAAGTGCTCGTTCAACTCACAGATTTTAACCTTTCTGTTCATAGAGCAGTTAGGAAACACTCTGTTTGTAAAGTCTGCAAGTGGATATTCTGACATCTTGCGGCCTTCGTTGGAAACGGAATTTCTTCATATTCTGCTAGACAGAAGAATTCTCAGTAACTTCCTTGTGTTGTGTGTATTCAACTCACAGAGTTGAACGATCCTTTACACAGAGCAGACTTGTAACACTCTTTTTGTGGAATTTGCAAGTGGAGATTTCAGCCGATTTGAAGTCAAAGGTAGAAAAGGAAATATCTTCCTATAAAAACTAGACAGAATGATTCTCAGAAACTCCTTTGTGATGTGTGCGTTCAACTCACAGAGTTCAACCTTTCTTTTCATAGAGCAGTTGGGAAACACTCTGTTTGTAAAGTCTGCAAGTGGATATTCAGACTTCTTTGAGGCCTTCGTTGGAAGCGGGATTTCTTCATGTTCTAGACAGAAGAATTCTCAGTAACTTCCTTGTGTTGTGTGTATTCAACTGACAGAGTTGAAATTTCATTTAGAGGGAGCAGATTTGAAACACTGTTTTTGTGGAATTTGCAAGTGGAGATTTCAAACGCTTTGGGGCCAAAGGCAGAAAAGGAAACATCTTCGTATAAAAACTAGACAGAATCATTCTCAGAAACTGCTCTGCGATGTGTGCGTTAAACTCTCAGAGTTTAACTTTTCTTTTCATTCAGCAGTTTGGAAACACTCTGTTTGTAAAGTCTGCACGTGGATATTTTGACCACTTAGAGGCCTTCGTTGGAAACGGGTTTTTTTCCTGTAAGGCTAGACAGTAGAATTCCCAGTAACTTCCCTGTGTTGTGTGCATTCAACTCACAGAGTTGAACGTTCCCTTAGACAGAGCAGATTTGAAACACTCTATTTGTGCAATTTGCAAGTGTAGATTTCAAGCGCTTTAAGGTCAATGGCAGAAAAGGAAATATCTTCCTTTCAAAACTAGACAGAATCATTCCCACAAACTGCGTTGTGATGTGTTCATTCAACTCACAGAGTTTAACCTTTCTTTTCATAGAGCAGTTAGGAAACAGTCTGTTTGTCAATTCTGTAAGTGGATATTCTGACATCTTGTGGCCTTCGTTGGAAACGGGATTTCTTCATATTCTGCTAGACAGAAGAATTCTCAGTAACTTCCTTGTGTTGTGTGTATTCAACTCACAGAGTTGAACGATCCTTTACACAGAGCAGACTTGAAACACTCTTTTTGTGGAATTTGCAAGTGGAGATTTCAGCCGCTTTGAGGTCAATGGTAGAAAAGGAAACTATCTTCATATAGAGACTAGACAGAATGATTCTCAGAAAATCTTTTGTGATGTGTGCGTTCAACTCACAGAGTTTAACTTTTCTTCTCATAGAGCAGTTAGGAACCACTCTGTTTGTAAAGTCTGCAAGTGGATATTCAGACCTCTTTGAGGCCTTCGTTGGAAACTTGATTTCTTCATATTATGCTAGACAGAAGAATTCCCAGTAACTTCCTTGTGTTGTGTGTGTTCAACTCACAGAGTTGAACTTTCATTTACACAGAGCAGATTTGAAACTCTCTTTTTGTGGAATTTGCAAGTGGAGATTTCAAGCGCTTTGAGGCCAAAGGCAGAAAAGGAAATATCTTCGTTTCAAAACCAGACAGAATCATTCTCAGAAGCTGCTGCGTGATGTGTGCGTTCAACTCTCAGAGTTTAACTTTTCTTTTCATTCAGCGGTTTGGAAACACTCTGTTTGTGAAGTCTGCACGTGGATATTTTGACCACTTAGAGGCCTTCGTTGGAAACGGTTTTTTTGCATGTAAGGCTAGACAGAAGAGTTCCCAGTAACTTCCTTGTGTTGTGTACATTCAACTCACAGAGTTGAACGTTCCCTTAGACAGAGCAGATTTGAAACACTCTTTTTGTGCAATTGGCAAGTGGAGATTTCAAGCGCTTTAAGGTCAATGGCAGAAAAGGAAATATCTTCGTTTCAAAACTAGAGAGAATCATTCCCACAAACTGCGTTGTGATGTGTTTGTTCAACTCACAGAGTTTAACCTTTCTTTTCATAGAGCAGTTAGGAAACAGTCTGTTTGTCAATTCTGTAAGTGGATATTCTGACATCTTGTGGCCTTAGTTGGAAACGGGATTTCTTCATATTCTGCTAGACAGAAGAATTCTCAGTAACTTTCCTTGTGTTGTGTGTATTCAACTCACAGAGTTGAACGATCCTTTACACAGAGCAGACTTGAAACACTCTTTTTGGGGAATTTGCAAGTGGAGATTTCAGCCGCTTTGAGGTCAATGGTAGAAAAGGAAACTATCTTCATATAAAGACTAGACAGAATGATTCTCATAAACTCCTTTGTGATGTGTGCGTTCATCTCACAGAGTTTAACTTTTATTTTCATAGAGCAGTTAGGAAACACTCTGTTTGTAAAGTCTGCAAGTGGATATTCAGACCTCCTTGAGGCCTTCGTTGGAAACGGGATTTCTTCATATTCTGCTAGACAGAAGAATTCTCAGTAACTTCCTTGTGTTGTGTGTATTCAACTCACAGAGTTGAACGATCCTTTACACAGAGCAGACTTGAAACACTCTTTTTGTGGAATTTGCAAGTGGAGATTTCAGCCGCTTTGAGGTCAATGGTAGAAAAGGAATTATCTTCGTATAAAGACTAGACAGAATGATTCTCAGAATCTCCTTTGTGATGTGTGCGTTCAACTCACAGAGTTTAACCTTTCTTTTCATAGAGCAGTTAGGAAACACTCTGTTTGTAAAGTCTGCAAGTGGATATTCAGACCTCTTTGATGCCTTCGTTGGAAACGGGTTTTTTTCATATAAGGCTAGACAGAAGAATTCCCAGTAACTTCCTTGTGTTGTGTGCATTCAACTCACAGAGTTGAACGTTCCCTTAGACAGAGCAGATTTGAAACACTCTATTTGTGCAATTTGCAAGTGTAGATTTCAAGCGCTTTAAGGTCAACGGCAGAAAAGGAAATATCTTCGTTTCAAAACTAGACAGAATGATTCTCAGAAACTCCTTTGTGATGTGTGCGTTCAACTCACAGAGTTCAACCTTTCTTTTCATAGAGCAGTTAGGAAACACTTTGTTTGTAAAGTCTGCAAGTGGATATTCAGACTTCTTTGAGGCCTTCGTTGGAAGCGGGATTTCTTCATGTTCTGCTAGACAGAAGAATTCCTCAGTAACTTCCCTTGTGTTGTGTGTATTCAACTCGCAGAGTTGAACGATCCTTTACACAGAGCAGACTTGAAACACTCTTTTTGTGGAATTTGCAAGTGGAGATTTCAGCCGCTTTGAGGTCAATAGTAGAAAAGGAAATATCTTCGTAGAAAAACTAGACAGAATGATTCTCATAAACTCCTTTGTGATGTGTGCGTTCAACTCACAGAGTTTAACTTTTGTTTTCATAGAGCAGTTAGGAAACACTCTGTTTGTAAAGTCTGCAAGTGGATATTCAGACCTCTTTGAGGCCTTCGGTGGAAACGGGATTTCTTCATATTCTGCTAGACAGAAGAATTCCCAGTAACTTCCTTGTGTTGTGTGTTTTTTAACTCACAGAGTTGAACTTTCATTTACACAGAGCAGATTTGAAACACTCTTTTTGTGGAATTTGCAAGTGGAGATTTCAAGCGCTTTGAGGCCAAAGGCAGAAAAGGAAATATCTTCGTATAAAAACTAGACAGAATCATTCTCAGAAACTGCTGCGTGATGTGTGCGTTCAACTCTCAGAGTTTAACTTTTCTTTTCATTCAGCGGTTTGGAAACACTCTGTTTGTAAAGTCTGCACGTGGATATTTTGACCACTTAGAGGCCTTCGTTGGAAACGGGTTTTTTTCATGTAAGGCTAGACAGAATAATTCTCAGTAACTTGCTTTTGTTGTGTGTATTCAACTCACAGAGTTGAACGATCCTTTACAGAGAGCAGACTTGAAACACTCTTTTTGTGGAATTTGCAAGTGGAGATTTCAGCCGCTTTGAGGTCAATGGTAGAATAGGAAATATCTTCCTATAGAAACTAGACAGAATGATTCTCATAAACTACTTTGTGATGTGTGCGTTCAACACACAGAGTTTAAACTTTCTGTTCATAGAGCAGTTAGGAAACACTCTGTTTGTAAAGTCTGTAAGTGGATATTCTGACATCTTGTGGCCTTCGTTGGAAACGGGATTTCTTCATATTCTGCTAGACAGAAGAATTCTCAGTGACTTCCTTGTGTTGTGTGTATTCAACTCACAGAGTTGAACGATCCTTTACACAGAGCAGTCTTGAAACACTCTTTTTGTGGAATTTGCAAGTGGAGATTTCTGCCGCTTTGAGGTCAATGGTAGAATAGGAAATATCTTCCTATAGAAACTAGACAGAATGATTCTCAGAAACTCCTTTGTGATGTGTGCGTTCAGCTCACAGAGTTCAACCTTTCTTTTCATAGAGCAGTTGGGAAACACTCTGTTTGTAAAGTCTGCAAGTGGATATTCAGACTTCTTTGAGGCCTTCGTTGGAAGCGGGATTTCTTCATGTTCTGCTAGACAGAAGAATTCCCAGTAACTTCCTTGTGTTGTGTGTGTTCAACTCACAGAGCTGAACTTTCATTTACACAGAGCAGATTTGAAACACTCTTTTTGTGGAATTTGCAAATGGAGATTTCAAGCGCTTTGAGGCCAAAGGCAGAAAAGGAAATATCTTCGTATAAAAACTAGACAGAATCATTCTCAGAAACTGCTCTCCGATGTGTGCATTCAGCTCTCAGAGTTTAACTTTTCTTTTCATTCACCAGTTTGGAAACACTCTGTTTGTAAAGTCTGCACGTGGATATTTTGACCACTTAGAGGCCTTCGTTGGAAGCGGGCTTTTGTCATGTAAGGTTAGACAGAATATTTCCCAGTAACTTCCTTGTGTTGTGTACATTCAACTCACAGAGTTCAACGTTCCCTTAGACAGAGCAGATTTGAAACACTCTTTTTGTGAAATTGGCAAGTGGAGATTTCAAGCGCTTAATGTCAATGGCAGAAAAGGAAATATCTTCGTTTCAAAACCAGACAGAATCATTCCCACAAACTGCGTTGTGATGTGTTCGTTCAACTCACAGAGTTTAACCTTTCTTTTCATAGAGCAGTTAGGAAAAACTCTGTTTGTAAATTCTGTAAGTGGATATTCTGACATCTTGTGGCCTTCTTTGGAAACGAGATTTCTTCATATTCTGCTAGACAGAAGAATTCTCAGTAACTTCCTTGAGTTGTGTGTATTCAACTCACAGAGTTGAACGATCCTTTACACAGAGCAGACTTGAAACACTCTTTTTGTGGAATTTGCAACTGGAGATTTCAGCCGCGTTGAGGTCAATGGTAGAAAAGGAAATATCTTCGTATAAAAACTAGACAGAATGATTCTCAGAAAGTCCTTTGTGATGTGTGCGTTCAACTCACAGAGTTTACCCTTTCTGTTCATAGAGCAGTTAGGAAACACTCTGTTTGTAAATTCTGCAAGTGGATATTCAGACCTACTTGAGGTCTTCGGTGGAAACGGGATTTCTTCATATTCTGCTAGACAGAAGAGATTCCCAGTAACTTCATTGTGTTGTGTGTGTTCAACTCACAGAGTTGAACTTTCATTTACACAGAGCAGATTTGAAACACTCTTTTTGTGGAATTTGCAAATGGAGATTTCAAGCGCTTTGAGGCCAAAGGCAGAAAAGGAAATATCTTCGTATAAAAACTAGACAGAATCATTCTCAGAAACTGCTGCGTGATGTGTGCGTTCAACTCTCAGAGTTTAACTTTTCTTTTCATTCAGCGGTTTGGAAACACTCTGTTTGTAAAGTCTGCACGTGGATATTTTGACCACTTAGAGGCCTTCGTTGGAAACGGGATTTTTTCATGTAAGGCTAGACAGAAGAATTCCCAGTAACTTCCTTGTGTTGTGTGCATTCAACTCACAGAGTTGAACGTTCCCTTAGACAGAGCAGATTTGAAACACTCTATTTGTGCAATTTGCAATTGTAGATTTCAAGCGTTTTAAGGTCAATGGCAGAAAAGGAAATATCTTCGTTTCAAAACTAGACAGAATGATTCTCAGAAACTTCTTTGTGATGTTTGCGTTCAACTCACAGAGTTTAACCTTTCTTTTCATAGAGCAGTTAGGAAACACTCTGTTTGTAAACTCTGCAAGTGGATATTCAGACCTCTTTGAGGCCTTCGTTGGAAACGGGATTTCTTCATACTATGCTAGACAGAAGAATTCTCAGTAACTTCCTTGGGTTGTGTGTATTCAACTCACAGAGTTGAACGATCCTTTACACAGAGCAGACTTGAAACACTCTTTTTGTGGAATTTGCAAGTGGAGATTTCAGCCGCTTTGAGGTCAATGGTAGAAAAGGAAATATCTTCGTATAAAGACTAGACAGAGTGATTCTCAGAAACTCCTTTGTGATGTGTGTGTTCAACTCACAGAGTTTAACCTTTCTTTTCAAGAGCAGTTAGTAAACACTCTGTTTATAAAGTCTGCAAGTGGATATTCCGACCCCTTTGAGTCCTTCGTTGGAAACGGGATTTCTTCATATTATGCTAGACAGAAGAATTCCCAGTAACTTCCTTGTGTTGTGTGTGTTCAACTCACAGAGTTGAACTTTCATTTGCACAGAGCAGATTTGAAACACTCTTTTTGTGGAATTTGCAAGTGGAGATTTCAAGCGCTTTGAGGCCAAAGGCAGAAAAGGAAATATCTCCGTTTCAAAACTAGACAGAATCATTCTCAGAAACTGCTGCTTGATGTGTGCGTTCAACTCTCAGAGTTTAACTTTTCTTTTCATTCAGCGGTTTGGAAACACTCTGTTTGTAAAGTCTGCACGTGGACATTTTGACCACTTAGAGGCCTTCGTTGGAAACGGGTTTTTTTCATGTAAGGCTAGACAGAAGAATTCCCAGTAACTTCCTTGTGTTGTATGCATTCAACTCACAGAGTTGAACGTTCCCTTAGACAGAGCAGATTTGAAACAATCTATTTGTGCAATTTGCAAGTGTAGATTTCAAGCGCTTTAAGGTCAATGGCAGAAAAGGAAATATCTTCGTTTCAAAACTAGACAGAATCATTCCCACAAACTGCGTTGTGATGTGTTCGTTCAACTCACAGAGTTTAACCTTTCTGTTCATAGAGCAGTTAGGAAACACTCTGTAAAGTCTGTAAGTGGATATTCTGACATCTTGTGGCCTTCGTTGTAAACGGGATTTCTTCATATTCTGCTAGACAGAAGAATTCTCAGTAACTTCCTTGTGTTGTGTTTATTCAACTCACAGAGTTGAATGATCCTTTACACAGAGTAGACTTGAAACACTCTTTTTGTGGAATTTGCAAGTGGAGATTTCAGCCGCTTTGAGGTCAATGGTAGAAAAGTAAATATCTTCCTATAAAGACTAGACAGAATGATTCTCAGAAACTCCTTTGTGATGTGTGCGTTCAACTCACAGAGTTTAACCTTTCTGTTCATAGAGCCGTTAGGAAACACTCTGTTTGTAAAGTCTGCAAGTGGATATTCAGACCTCTTTGAGGCCTTCGTTGGAAACGGGATTTCTTCATATTATGCTAGACAGAAGAATTCTCAGTAACTTCCTTGTGTTGTGTGTATTCAACTGACAGAGTTGAACTTTCATTTAGAGAGAGCAGATTTGAAACACTGTTTTTGTGGGATTTGCAAGTGGAGATTTCAAGCGCTTTGGGGCCAAAGGCAGAAAAGGAAATATCTTCGTATAAAAACTAGACAGAATCATTCTCAGAAACTGCTGCGTGATGTGTGCGTTCAACTCTCAGAGTTTAACTTTTCTTTTCATTCAGCGGTTTGGAAACACTCTGTTTGTAAAGTCTGCACGTGGAAATTTTGACCACTTAGAGGCCTTCGTTGGAAACGGGTTTTTTTCATGTAAGGCTAGACAGAAGAATTCCCAGTAACTTCCTTGTGTTGTGTGCATTCAACTTACAGAGTTGAACGTTCCCTTAGACAGAGCAGATTTGAAACACTCTATTTGTGCAATTTGCAATTGTAGATTTCAAGCGCTTTAAGGTCAAGGGCAGAAAAGGAAATATCTTCGTTTCAAAACTAGACAGAATCATTCCCACAAACTGCGTTGTGATGTGTTCGTTCAACTCACAGAGTATAACCTTTCTGTTCATAGAGCAGTTAGGAAACACTCTGTTTGTAAAGTCTGTAAGTGGATATTCTGACATCTTGTGGCCTTCGTTGGAAACGGGATTTATTCATATTCTGCTAGACAGAAGAATTCTCAGTAACTTCCTTGTGTTGTGTGTATTCAACTCACAGAGTTGAACGATCCTTTACACAGAGCAGTCTTGAAACACTCTTTTTGTGGAATTTGCAAGTGGAGATTTCTGCTGCTTTGAGGTCAATGGTAGAATAGGAAATATCTTCCTATAGAAACTAGACAGAATGATTCTCAGAAACTCCTTTGTGATGTGGGCGTTCAACTCACAGAGTTTAACCTTTCTTTTCATAGAGCAGTTAGGAAACACTCTGTTTGTAAAGTCTACACGTGGATATTTGGACTTCTTTGAGGCCTTCGTTGGAAACGGGTTTTTTTCATGTAAGGCTAGACGGAAAGAATTCTCAGTAACTTCCTTGTGTTGTGTGTATTCAACTGACAGAGTTGAACTTTCATTTAGAGAGAGCAGATTTGAAACACTGTTTTTGTGGAATTTGCAAGTGGAGATTTCAAGCGCTTTGGGGCCAAAGGCAGAAAAGGAAATATCTTCGTATAAAAACTAGACAGATCATTCTCAGAAACTGCTGTGTGATGTGTGCGTTCAACTCTCAGAGTTTAACTTTTCTTTTCATTCAGCGGTTTGGAAACACTCTGTTTGTAAAGTCTGCACGTGGATATTTTGACCACTTAGAGGCCTTCGTTGGAAACGGGTTTTTTTCATGTAAGGCTAGACAGAAGAATTCCCAGTAACTTCCTTGTGTTGTGTACATTCAACTCACAGAGTTGAACGTTCCCTTAGACAGAGCAGATTTGAAACACTCTTTTTGTGCAATTGACAAGTGGAGATTTCAAGCGCTTTAAGGTCAATGGCAGAAAAGGAAATATCTTCGTTTCAAAACTAGACAGAATCATTCCCACAAACTGCGTTGTGATGTGTTCGTTCAACTCACAGAGTTTAACCTTTCTTTTCATAGAGCAGTTAGGAAACAGTCTCTTTGAAAATTCTGTAAGTGGATATTCTGACATCTTGTGGCCTTCGTTGGAAACGGGATTTCTTCATATTCTGCTAGACAGAAGAATTCTCAGAAACTTCCTTGTGTTGTGTGTTTTCAACTCACAGAGTTGAACGATCCTTTACACAGAGCAGACTTGAAACACTCCTTTTGTGGAATTTGCAAGTGGAGATTTCAGCCGCTTTGAAGTCAATGGTAGAATAGGAAATATCTTCCTATAGAAAGTAGACAGAATGATTCTCAGAAACTCCTTTGTGATGTATGCGTTCAACTCACAGAGTTTAACCTTTCTTTTCATAGAGCAGTTAGGAAACACTCTGTTTGTAAAGTCTGCAAGTGGATATTCAGACCTCCTTGAGGCCTTCGTTGGAAACGGGTTTTTTTCATGTAAGGCTAGACAGAAGAATTCCCAGTAACTTCCTTGTGTTGTGTGTGTTCAACTCACAGAGTTGAACTTTCATTTACACAGAGCAGATTTGAAACACTCTTTTTGTGGAATTTGCAAATGGAGATTTCAAGCGCTTTGTGGCCAAAGGCAGAAAAGGAAATATCTTCGTATAAAAACTAGACAGAATCATTCTCAGAAACTGCTGCGTGATGTGTGCGTTCAACTCTCAGAGTTTAACTTTTCTTTTCATTCAGCGGTTTGGAAAAACTCTGTTTGTATAGACTGCACGTGGATATTTTGACCACTTAGAGGCCTTCGTTGGAAACGGGTTTTTTTTCATGTAAGGCTAGACAGAAGAATTCCCAGTAACTTCCTTGTGTTGTGTGCATTCAACTCACAGAGTTGAACGTTCCCTTAGACAGAGCAGATTTGAAACACTCTATTTGTGCAATTTGCAAGTGTAGATTTCAGGCGCTTTAAGGTCAACGGCAGAAAAGGAAATATCTTCGTTTCAAAACTAGACAGAATGATTCTCAGAAACTCCTTTGTGATGTGTGCGTTCAACTCACAGAGTTTAACCTTTCTGTTCAAAGAGCTGTTAGGAAACACTCTGTTTGTAAAGTCTGCAAGTGGATATTCAGACCTCCTTCAGGCCTTCGTTGGAAACGGGATTTCTTCATATTCTGCTAGACAGAAGAATTCTCAGTAACTTCCTTGTGTTGTGTGTTTTCAACTCACAGAGTTGAACGATCCTTTACACAGAGCAGACTTGAAACACTCTTTTTGTGGAATTTGCAAGTGGAGATTTCAGCCGCTTTGAGCTCAATGGTAGAATAGGAAATATCTTCCTATAGAAACTAGACAGAATGATTCTCAGAAACTCCTTTGTGATGTGTGCGTTCAACTCACAGAGTTTAACCTTTCTTTTCATAGAGCAGTTAGGAAACACTCTGTTTGTAAAGTCTGCAAGTAGATATTCAGACATCTTTGAGGCCTTCGTTGGAAACGGGATTTCTTCATGTTCTGCTAGACAGAAGAATTCTCAGAAACTTCCTTGTGTTGTGTGTTTTCAACTCACAGAGTTGAACGATGCTTTACACAGAGTAGACTTGAAACACTCTTTTTGTGTAATTTGCAAGTGGAGATTTCAGCCGCTTTGAGGTCAATGGTAGAAAAGGAAATATCTTCGAATAAAAACTAGACAGAATCATTCTCAGAAACTGCTGCGTGATGTGTGCGTTCAACTCTCAGAGTTTAACTTTTCTTTTCATTCAGCGGTTTGGAAACACTCTGTTTGTAAAGTCTGCACGTGGATATTTTGACCACTTAGAGGCCTTCGTTGGAAACGGGTTTTTTCATGTAAGGCTAGACAGAAGAATTCCCAGTAACTTCCTTGTGTTGTGTGCATTCAACTCACAGAGTTGAACAGTTCCCTTAGACAGAGCAGATTTGAAACACTCTATTTGTGCAATTTGCAAGTGTAGATTTCAAGCGCTTTAAGGTCAATGGCAGAAAAGGAAATATCTTCGTTTCAAAACTTGACAGAATGATTCTCAGAAACTCCTTTGTGATGTGTGCGTTCAACTCACAGAGTTTAACCTTTCTTTTCATAGAGCAGTTAGGAAGCACTCTGTTAGTAAAGTCTGCAAGTGGATATTCAGACCTCCTTGAGGCCTTCGTTGGAAAGGGGATTTCTTCATATTATGCTAGACAGAAGAATTCTCAGTAACTTCCTTGTGTTGTGTGTATTCAACTCACAGAGTTGAACGATCCTTTACACAGAGCAGACTTGAAACACTCTTTTTGTGAAATTTGCAAGTGGAGATTTCAGCCGCTTTGAGGTCAATGGTAGAATAGGAAATATCTTCCTATAGAAACTAGACAGAATGATTCTCAGAAACTCCTTTGTGATGTGTGCGTTCAACTCACAGAGTTTAACCTTTCTTTTCATAGAGCAGTTAGGAAACACTCTGTTGGTAAAGTCTGCAAGTGGATATTCAGACCTCTTTGAGGCCTTCTTTGGAAACGGGATTTCTTCATATTCTGCTAGACAGAAGAATTCCCAGTAACTTCCTTGTGTTGTGTGTGTTCAACTCACAGAGTTGAACTTTCATTTACACAGAGCAGATTTGAAACACTCTTTTTGTATAATTTGCAAATGGAGATTTCAAGCGCTTTGAGGCCAAAGGCAGAAAAGGAAATATGCTTACTTATAAAAACTAGACAGAATCATTCTCAGAAACTGCTCTGCGATGTGTGCGTTCAACTCTCAGAGTTTAACTTTTCTTTTCATTCAGCAGTTTGGAAACACTCTGTTTGTAAAGTCTGCACGTGGATAACTTGACCACTTAGAGGCCTTCGTTGGAAACGGGATTTTTTCATGTAAGGCTAGACAGAAGAATTCTCAGTAACTTCCTTGTGTTGTGTGTATTCAACTCACAGAATTGAACGATCCTTTACACAGAGCAGACTTGTAACACTCTTTTTGTGGAATTTGCAAGTGGAGATTTCAGCCGCTTTGAAGTCAAAGGTAGAAAAGTAAATATCTTCCTATAAAAACTAGACAGAATGATTCTCAGAAAATCCTTTGTGATGTGTGCGTTCAACTCACAGAGTTTAACATTTCTTTTCATAGAGCAGTTAGGAAACACTCTGTTTGTAAAGTCTGCAAGTGGATATTCAGACCTCTTTGAGGCCTTCTTTGGAAACGGGATTTCTTCATATTCTGCTAGACAGAAGAATTCTCAGTAACTTCCTTGTGTTGTGTGTATTCAACTCACAGAGTGGAACGATCCTTTACACAGAGCAGACTTGAAACACTCTTTTTGTGGAATTTGCAAGTGGAGATTTCAGCCGCTTTGAGGTCAATAGTGGAAAAGGAAATATCTTCGTAGAAAAACTAGACAGAATGATTCTCAGAAACTCCTTTGTGATGTGTGTGTTCAACTCACAGAGTTTAACCTTTCTTTTCATAGAGCAGTTAGTAAACACTCTGTTTATAATGTCTGCAAGTGGATATTCAGACCCCTTTGAGGCCTTCGTTGGAAACGGGATTTCTTCATATTCTGCTAGACAGAAGAATTCCCAGTAACTTCCTTGTGTTGTGTGGATTCAACTCACAGAGTTGAACTTTCATTTACACAGAGCAGATTTGAAACACTCTTTTTGTGGAATTTGCAAATGGAGATTTCAAGCCCTTTCAGGCCAAAGGCAGAAAAGGAAATATCTTCGTATAAAAACTAGACAGAATCATTCTCAGAAACTGCTCTGCGATGTGTGCGTTCAACTCTCCGAGTTTAACTTTTCTTTTCATTCAGCAGTTTGGAAACACTCTGTTTGTAAAGTCTGCACGTGGATAATTTGACCACTTAGAGGCCTTCTTTGGAAACGGTTTTTTTTTCATGTAAGGCTAGACAGAAGAATTCCCAGTAACTTCCTTGTGTTGTGTGCATTCAACTCACAGAGTTGAACGTTCCCTAGACGGAGCAGATTTGAAACACTCTATTTGTGCAATTTGCAAGTGTAGATTTCAAGCGCTTTAAGGTCAATGGCAGAAAAGGGAATATCTTCGTTTCAAAACTAGACAGAATCATTCCCACAAACTGCGTTGTGATGTGTGCGTTCAACTCACAGAGTTTAACTTTTCTTTTCATAGAGCAGTTAGGAAACACTCTGTTTGTAAAGTCTGCAAGTGGATATTCAGACCTCTTTGAGGCCTTCGTTGGAAACGGGATTTCTTCATATTCTGCTAGACAGAAGATTCTCAGTAACTTCCTTGTGTTGTGTGTATTCAACTCACAGAGTTGAACGATCCTTTACACAGAGCAGACTTGAAACACTCTTTTTGTGGAATTTGCAAGTGGAGATTTCAGCCGCTTTGAGGTCAATAGTAGAAAAGGAAATATCTTCGTAGAAAAACTAGACAGAATGATTCTCAGAAACTCCTTTGTGATGTGTGCGTTCAACACACAGAGTTTAACTTTTCTTTTCATAGAGCAGTTAGTAAACACTCTGTTTATAACGTCTGCAAGTGGATATTCAGACCCCTTTGAGGCCTTCGTTGGAAACGGGATTTCTTCATATTATGCTAGACAGAAGAATTCCCAGTAACTTCCTTGTGTTGTGTGTGTTCAACTCACAGAGTTGAACTTTCATTTACACAGAGCAGATTTGAAACACTCTTTTTGTGGAATTTGCAAGTGGAGATTTCAAGCGCTTTGAGGCCAAAGGCAGAAAAGGAAATATCTTCGTAAAAAAATAGACAGAATCATTCTCAGAAACTGCTCTGCAATGTGTGCGTTCAACTCTCAGAGTTTAACTTTTCTTTTCATTCAGCAGTTTGGAAACACTCTGTTTGTAAAGTCTGCACGTGGATAACTTGACCACTTAGAGGCCTTCGTTGGAAACGGGTTTTTTTCATGTAAGGCTAGACAGAAGAATTCCCAGTAACTTCCTTGTGTTGTGTGCATTCAACTCACAGAGTTGAACGTTCCCTTGGACAGAGCAGATTTGAAACACTCTATTTGTGCAATTTGCAAGTGTAGATTTCAAGCGCATTAAGGTCAATGGCAGAAAAGGAAATATCTTCGTTTCAAAACTAGACAGAATGATTCTGAGAAACTCCTTTGTGATGTGTGCGTTCAACTCACACAGTTTAACCTTTCTTTTCATAGAGCAGTTAGGAAACACTCTGTTTGTAAAGTCTGCAAGTGGATATTCAGACTTCTTTGAGGCCTTCGTTGGAAGCGGGATTTCTTCATATTCTGCTAGACAGAAGAATTCTCAGTAACTTCCTTGTGTTGTGTGTATTCAACTCACAGAGGTGAACGATCCTTTACACAGAGCAGACTTGAAACACTCTTTTTGTGGAATTGCAAGTGGAGATTTCAGCCGCTTTGAGGTCAATGGTAGAAAAGGAAATATCTTCGTATAAAGACTAGACAGAATGATTCTAAGAAAATCTTTTGTGATGTGTGCGTTCAACTCACAGAGTTTAACTTTTCTTCTCATAGAGCAGTTAGGAAACACTCTGTTTGTAAAGTGTGCAAGTGGATATTCAGACCTCTTTGAGGCCTTCGTTGGAAAAGGGATTTCTTCATATTATGCTAGACAGAAGAATTCTCAGTAACTTCCTTGGTGTTGTGTGTATTCAAATGACAGAGTTGAACTTTCATTTAGAGAGAGCAGATTTGAAACACTGTTTTTGTGGAATTTGCAAGTGGAGATTTCAAGCGCTTTGGGGCCAAAGGCAGAAAAGGAAATATCTTCGTATAAAAACTAGACAGAATCATCCTCAGAAACTGCACTGTGATGTGTGCGTTCAACTCTCAGTGTTTAACTTTTCTTTTCATTCAGCAGTTTGGAAACACTCTGTTTGTAAAGTCTGCACGTGGATATTTTGACCACTTAGAGGCCTTCGTTGGAAACGGGTTTTTTTCATGTAATGCTAGGCAGAAGAATTCCCAGTAACTTCCTTGTGTTGTGTGCATTCAACTCACAGAGCTGAACTTTCCCTTAGACAGAGCAGATTTGAAACACTCTATTTGTGCAATTTGCAAGTGTAGATTTCAAGCGCTTTAAGGTCAATGGCAGAAAAGGAAATATCTTCGTTTCAAAACTAGACAGAATCATTCCCACAAACAGCGTTGTGATGTGTTCGTTCAACTCACAGAGTTTAACCTTTCTTTTCATAGAGCAGTTAGGAAACAGTCTGTTTGTCAATTCTGTAAGTGGATATTCTGACATCTTGTGGCATTCGTTGGAAACGGGATTTCTTCATATTCTGCTAGACAGAAGAATTCTCAGTAACTTCCTTGTGTTGTGTGTATTCAACTCACAGAGTTGAACGATCCTTTACACAGAGCAGACTTGAAACACTCTTTTTGTGGAATTTGCAAGTGGAGATTTCAGCCGCTTTCAGGTCAATGGTAGAATAGGAAATATCTTCCTATAGAAACTAGACAGAATGATTCTCAGAAACTCCTTTGTGATGTGTGCGTTCAACTCACAGAGTTTAACCTTTCTTTTCATAGAGCAGTTAGGAAACACTCTGTTTGTAAAGTCTGCAAGTGGATATTCAGACCTCTTTCAGGCCTTCGTTGGAAACGGGATGTCTTCATATTATGCTAGACAGAAGAATTCCCAGTAACTTCCTTGTGTTGTGTGTGTTCGACTCACAGAGTTGAACTTTCATTTACACAGAGCAGATTTGAAACACTCTTTTTGTGGAATTTGCAAGTGGAGATTTCAAGCGCTTTGAGGCCAAAGGCAGAAAAGGAAATATCTTCGTATAAAAACTAGACAGAATCATTCTCAGAAACTGCTCTGCGATGTGTGCGTTCAACTCTCAGAGTTTAACTTTTCTTTTCATTCAGCAGTTTGGAAACACTCTGTTTGTAAAGTCTGCACGTGGATAACTTGACCACTTAGAGGCCTTTGTTGGAAATGGGTTTTTTTCATGTAAGGCTAGACAGAAGTATTCTCAGTAACTTCCTTGTGTTGTGTGTATTCAACTCACAGAGTTGAACGATCCTTTACACAGAGCGGACTTGTAACACTCTTTTTGTGGAATTTGCAAGTGGAGATTTCAGCCGCTTTGAAGTCAAAGTTAGAAAAGGAAATAACTTCCTATAAAAACTAGACAGAATCATTCCCACAAACTGCGTTGTGATGTGTTCGTTCATCTCACAGAGTTTAACCTTTCTTTTCATAGAGCAGTTAGGAAACACTCTGTTTGTAAATTCTGTAAGTGGATATTCTGACATCTTGTGGCCTTCGTTGGAAACGGGATTTCTTCATATTCTGCTAGACAGAAGAATTCTCAGTAACTTCCTTGTGTTGTGTGTATTCAACTCACAGAGTTGAACGATCCTTTACACAGAGCGGACTTGAAACACTCGTTTTGTGGAATTTGCAAGTGGAGATTTCAGCCGCGTTGAGGTCAATGGTAGAAAAGGGAATATCTTCGTATAAAAACTAGACAGAGTGATTCTCAGAAACTCCTTTGTGATGTGTGCGTTCAACTCACAGAGTTTAACCTTTCTTTTCATAGAGCAGTTAGGAAACACTCTGTTTGTAAAGTCTGCAAGTGGATATTCAGACCTCCTTGAGGCCTTCGTTGGAAACGGGATTTCTTCATATTCTGCTATACAGAAGAATTCTCAGTAACTTCCTTCTGTTGTGTGTATTCAACTGACAGAGTTGAAGTTTCATTTAGAGAGAGCAGATTTGAAACACTGTTTTTGTGGAATTTGCAAGTGGAGATTTCAAGCGCTTTGGGACCAAAGGCAGAAAAGGAAATATCTTCGTATAAAAACTAGACAGAATGATTCTCAGAAACTCCTTTGTGATGTGTGCGTTCAACTCACAGAGTTTAACCTTTCTTTTCATAGAGCAGTTAGGAAACACTCTGCTTGTAAAGTCTGCAAGTGGATATTCAGCCCTCTTTGAGGCCTTCGTTGGAAACGGGTTTTTTTCACATAAGGCTAGACAGAAGAATTCCCAGTAACTTCCTTGTGTTGTGTACATTCAACTCACAGAGTTGAACGTTCCCTTAGACAGAGCAGATTTGAAACAGTCTTTTTGTGCAATTGGCAAATGGAGATTTCAAGCGCTTTAAGGTCAATGGCAGAAAAGGAAATATCTTCGTTTCAAAACTAGACAGAATCATTCCCACAAACTGCGTTGTGATGTGTTCGTTCAACTCACAGAGTTTAACCTTTCTGTTCATAGAGCAGTTAGGAAACACTCTGTTTGTAAAGTCTGTAAGTGGATATACTGACATCTTGTGGCCTTCGTTGGAAACGGGATTTCTTCATATTCTGCTAGACAGAAGAATTCTCAGTAACTTCCTTGTGTTGTGTGTATTCAACTCACAGAGTTGAACGATCCTTTACACAGAGCAGACTTGTAACACTCTTTTTGTGGAATTTGCAAGAGGAGATTTCAGCCGCTTTGAAGTCAAAGGTAGAAAAGGAAATATCTTCCTATAAAAACTAGACAGAATAATTCTCAGAAACTCCTTTGTGATGTGTGCGTTCAACTCACAGAGTTTAACCTTTCTTTTCATAGAGCAGTTAGGAAACACTCTGTTTGTAAAGTCTGCAAGTGGATATTCAGACCTCTTTGAGGCCTTCGTTGGAAACGGGTTTTTTTCATATAAGGCTAGACAGAAGAATTCCCAGTAACTTCCATGTGTTGTGTGTGTTCAACTCACAGAGTTGAACTTTCATTTTCACAGAGCAGATTTGAAACACTCTTTTTGTGGAATTTGCAAATGGAGATTTCAAGCGCTTTGAGGCCAAAGGCAGAAAAGGAAATATCTTCGTATAAAAACTAGACAGAATCATTCTCAGAAACTGCTGCGTGATGTGTGCTTTCAACTCTCAGAGTTTAACTTTTCTTTTCATTCAGCGGTTTGGAAACACTCTGTTTGTAAAGTCTGCACGTGGATATTTTGACCACTTAGAGGCCTTCGTTGGAAACGGGTTTTTTTCATGTAAGGCTAGACAGAAGAATTCCCAGTAACTTCCTTGTGTTGTGTACATTCAACTCACAGAGTTGAACGTTCCCTTAGACAGAGCAGATTTGAAACACTCTTTTTGTGCAATTGGCAAATGGAGATTTCAAGCGCTTTAAGTTCAATGGCAGAAAAGGAAATATCTTCGTTTCAAAACTAGACAGAATCATTCCCACAAACTGCGTTGTGATGTGTTCGTTCAACTCACAGAGTTTAACCTTTCTGTTCATAGAGGAGTTAGGAAACACTCTGTTTGTAAAGTCTGTAAGTGGATATTCTGACATCTTGTGGCCTTCGTTGGAAACGGGATTTCTTCATATTCTGCTAGACAGAAGAATTCTCAGTAACTTCCTTGTGTTGTGTGTATTCAACTCACAGAGTTGAACGATCCTTTACACAGAGCAGACTTGAAACACTCTTTTTCTGGAATTTGCAAGTGGAGATTTCAGCCGCTTTGAGGTCAATTGTAGAAAAGGAAATATCTTCGTATAAAAACTAGACAGAATGATTCTCAGAAACTCCTTTGTGATGTCTGCGTTCAACTCACAGAGTTTAACCTTTCTTTTCATAGAGCAGTTAGGAAACACTCTGTTTGTATAGTCTGCACGTGGATATTTGGACTTCTTTGAGGCCTTCGTTGGAAACGGGTTTTTTTCATGTAAGGCTAGACAGAAGAATTCTCAGTAACTTCCTTCTGTTGTGTGTATTCAACTGACAGAGTTGAACTTTCATTTAGAGAGAGCAGATTTGAAACACTGTTTTTGTGGAATTTGCAAGTGGAGATTTCAAGCGCTTTGGGGCCAAAGGCAGAAAAGGAAATATCCTTCGTATAAAAACTAGACAGAATCATTCTCAGAAACTGCTCTGCGATGTGTGCGTTCAACTCTCAGAGTTTAAGTTTTCTTTTCATTCAGCAGTTTGGAAACACTCTGTTTGTAAAGTCTGCACGTGGATATTTTGACCACTTAGAGGCCTTCGTTGGAAACGGGTTTTTTTCCTGTAAGGCTAGACAGAAGAATTCCCAGTAACTTCCTTGTGTTGTGTACATTCAACTCACAGAGTTGAAAGTTCCCTTAGACACAGCAGATTTGAAACACTCTTTTTGTGCAATTGGCAAATGGAGATTTCAAGCGCTTTAAGGTCAATGGCAGAAAAGGAAATATCTTCGTTTCAAAACTAGACAGAATCATTCTCAGAAACTGCTCTGCGATGTGTGCGTTCAACTCTCAGAGTTTAACTTTTCTTTTCATTCAGCAGTTTGGAATCACTCTGTTTGTAAAGTCTGCACGTACATAATTTGACCACTTAGAGGCCTTCGTTGGAAACAGGTTTTTTTCATGTAAGGCTAGACAGAAGAATTCTCAGTAACTTCCTTGTGTTGTGTGTATTCAACTCACACAGTTGAACGATCCTTTACACAGAGCAGACTTGTAACACTCTTTTTGTGGAATTTGCAAGTGGAGATTTCAGCCGCTTTGAAGTCAAAGGTAGAAAAGGAAATATCTTCCTATAAAAACTAGACAGAATGATTCTCAGAAACTTCTTTGTGATGTGTGCGTTCAACTCACAGAGTTCAACCTTTCTTTTCATAGAGCAGTTAGGAAACACTCTATTTGTAAACTCTGCAAGTGGATATTCAGACCTCTTTGAGGCCTTCGTTGGAAACGGGATTTCTTCATACTATGCTAGACAGAAGAATTCTCAGTAACTTCCTTGTGTTGTGTGTATTCAACTGACAGAGTTGAACTTTCATTTAGAGAGAGCAGATTTGAAACACTGTTTTTGTGGAATTTGCCAGTGGAGATTTCAAGCGCTTTGGGGCCAAAGGCAGAAAACGAAATATCTTCGTATAAAAACTAGACAGAGTCATTCTCAGAAACTGCTCTGTGATGTGTGCGTTCAACTCTCAGAGTTTAACTTTTCTTTTCATTCAGCAGTTTGGAAACACTCTGTTTGTAAAGTCTGCACGTGGATAATTTGACCACTTAGAGGCCTTCGTTGGAAACGGGTTTTTTTCATGTAAGGCTAGACAGAAGAATTCCCAGTAACTTCCTTGCGTTGTGTACATTCAACTCACAGAGTTGAACGTTCCCTTAGACAGAGCAGATTTGAAACACTCTTTTTGTGCAATTGGCAAGTGGAGATTTCAAGCGCTTTAAGGTCAATGGCAGAAAAGGAAATATCTTCGTTTCAAAACTAGACAGAATCATTCCCACAAACTGCGTTGTGATGTGTTCGTTCAACTCACAGAGTTTAACCTTTCTTTTCATAGAGCAGTTAGGAAACACTCTGTTGTTAAATTCTGTAAGTGGATATTCTGACATCTTGTGGCCTTCGTTGGAAACGGGATTTCTACATATTCTGCCAGACAGAACAATTCTCAGTAACTTCCTTGTGTTGTGTGTATTCAACTCACAGAGTTGAACGATCCTTTACAGAGAGCAGACTTGAAACACTCTTTTTGTGGAATTTGCAAGTGGAGATTTCAGCCGCTTTGAGGTCAATGGTAGAATAGGAAATATCTTCCAATAGAAACTAGACAGAATGATTCTCAGAAACTCCTTTGTGATGTGTGTGTTCAACTCACTGAGTTTAACCTTTCTTTTCATAGAGCAGTTAGGAAACACTCTGTTTGTAAAGTCTGCAAGTGGATATTCAGACCTCTTTGAGGCCTTCGTTGGAAACGGGATTTTTTCATATAAGGCTAGACAGAGGAATTCCCAGTAACTTCCTTGTGTTGTGTGTGTTCAACTCACAGAGTTGAACTTTCATTTACACAGAGCAGATTTGAAACACTCTTTTTGTGGAATTTGCAAGTGGAGATTTCAAGCGCTTTGAGGCCAATGCAGAAAAGGAAATATCTTCGTATAAAAACTAGACAGAATCATTCTCAGAAACTGCTCTGCGATGTGTGCGTTCAACTCTCAGAGTTTAACTTTTCTTTTCATTCAGCAGTTTGGAAACAATCTGTTTGTAAAGTCTGCACGTGGATAATTTGACCACTTAGAGGCCTTCGTTGCAAACGGGTTTTTTTCCTGTAAGGCTAGACAGAAGAATTCCCAGGAACTTCCTTGTGTTGCGTACATTCAACTCACACATTTGAACGTTCCCTTAGACAGAGTAGATTTGAAACACTCTTTTTGTGCAATTGGCAAGTGGTGATTTCAGCCGCTTTGAGGTCAATGGTAGAAAAGGAAATATCTTCATATAAAAACTAGACAGATAATCATTCCCACAAACTGCGTTGTGATGTGTTCGTTCAACTCACAGAGTTTAACCTTTCTGTTCATAGAGCAGTTAGGAAACACTCTGTTTGTAAAGTCTGTAAGTGGATATTCTGACATCTTGTGGCCTTCGTTGGAAACGGGATTTCTTCCTATTCTGCTAGACAGAAGAATTCTCAGTAACTTCCTTGTGTTGTGTGTATTCAACTCACAGAGTTGAACGATCCTTTACACAGAGCAGACATGTAACACTCTTTTTCTGGAATTTGCAAGTGGAGATTTCAGCCGCTTTGAAGTCAAAGGTAGAAAAGGAAATATCTTCCTATAAAAACTAGACAGAATGATTCTCAGAAACTCCTTTGTGATGTGTGCGTTCAACTCACAGAGTTTAACCTTTCTTTTCATAGAGCAGTTAGGAAACACTCTGTTTGTAAAGTCTGCAAGTGGATATTCAGACCTCTTTGAGGCCTTCGATGGAAACGGGATTTCTTCATATTCTGCTAGACAGAAGAATTCTCAGTAACTTCCTTGTGTTGTGTGTATTCAACTCACAGAGTTGAACGATCCTTTACACAGGGCAGACTTGAAACACTCTTTTTGGGGAATTTGCAAGTGGAGATTTCAGCCTCTTTGAGGTTAATGGTAGAAAATGAAATATCTTCGTATAGAAACTAGACAGAATCATTCTCAGAAACTGCTCTGTGATGTGTGCGTTCAACTCTCAGAGTTTAACTTTTCTTTTCATTCAGCAGTTTGGAAACACTCTGTTTGTAAAGTCTCCACGTGGATAATTTGACCACTTAGAGGCCTTCGTTGGAAACGGGTTTTTTTCATGTAAGGCTAGACAGAAGAATTCCCAGTAACTTCCTTGTGTTGTGTACATTCAACTCACAGAGCTGAACGTTCCCTTAGACAGAGCAGATTTGAAACACTCTTTTTGTGCAATTGGCAAGTGGTGATTTCAGCTGCTTTGAGGTCAATGGTAGAAAAGGGAATATCTTCGTATAAAAACTAGACAGAATCATTCTCAGAAACTGCTCTGCGATGTGTGCGTTCAACTCTCAGAGTTTAACTTTTCTTTTCATTCAGCAGTTTGGAAACACTCTGTTTGTAAAGTCTGCACGTGGATAATTTGACCACTTAGAGGCCTTCCTTGGAAACGGGTTTTTTTCATGTAAGTCTAGACAGAAGAATTCCCAGTAACTTCCTTGTGTTGTGTACATTCAACTCACAGAGTTGAACGTTTCCTTAGACAGAGCAGATTTGAAACACTCTTTTTGTGCAATTGGCAAGTGGTGATTTCAGCCGCTTTGAGGTCAATGGTAGAAAAGGAAATATCTTCGTAAAAAAACTAGACAGAATGATTCTCAGAAACTTCATTGTGATGTGTGCGTTCAACTCACAGAGTTTAACCTTTCTTTTCATAGAGCAGTTAGGAAACACTCTGTTTGTAAACTCTGCAAGTGGATATTCACACCTCTTTGAGGCCTTCGTTGGAAACGGGATTTCTTCATACTGTGCTAGACAGAAGAATTCTCAGTAACTTCCTTGTGTTGTGTGTATTCAACTCACAGAGTTGAACGATCCTTTACACAGAGCAGACTTGAAACACTCTTTTTGTGGAATTTGCAAGTGGAGATTTCAGCCGCGTTGAGGTCAATGGTAGAAAAGGTAATATCTTCGTATAAAAACTAGACAGAATCATTCTCAGAAACTGCTGCGTGATGTGTGCGTTCAACTCTCAGAGTTTAACTTTTCTTTTCATTCAGCGGTTTGGAAACACTCTGTTTGTAAAGTCTGCACGTGGAAATTTTGTCCACTTAGAGGCCTTCGTTGGAAACGGGTTTTTTTCATGTAAGGCTAGACAGAAGAATTCCCAGTAACTTCCTTGTGTTGTGTGCATTCAACTCACAGAGTTGAACGTTCCCTTAGACAGAGCAGATTTGAAACACTCTATTTGTGCAATTTGCAAGTGTAGTTTTCAAGCTCTTTAAGGTCAACGGCAGAAAAGGAAATATCTTCGTTTCAAAACTAGACAGAATGATTCTCAGAAACTCCTTTGTGATGTGTGCGTTCAACTCACAGAGTTTAACCTTTCTTTTCATAGAGCAGTTGGGAAACACTCTGTTTGTAAAGTCTGCAAGTGGATATTCAGACCTCCTTGAGGCTTTCGTTGGAAACGGGATTTCTTCATATTCTGCTAGACAGAATAATTCTCAGTAACTTCCTTGTGTTGTGTGTATTCAACTCACAGAGTTGAACGATCCTTTACACAGAGCAAACTTGAAACACTCTTTTTGTGGAATTTGCAAGTGGAGATTTCAGCCGCTTTGAGGTCAATGGTAGAATAGGAAATATCTTCCTATAGAAACTAGACAGAGTGATTCTCAGAAACTCCTTTGTGATGTGTGCGTTCAACTCACAGAGTTTAACCTTTCTTTTCATAGAGCAGTTAGGAAACACTCTGTTTGTAAAGTCTGCAAGTGGATATTCAGACATCCTTGAGGCTTTCGTTGGAAACGGGATTTCTTCATATTCTGCTAGAAAGAAGAATTCCCAGTAACTTCCTTGTGTTGTGTGTGTTCAACTCACAGAGTTGAACTTTCATTTACACAGAGCAGATTTGAAACACTCTTTTTGTGCAATTTGCAAGTGGAGATTTCAAGCGCTTTGAGGCCAAAGGCAGAAAAGGAAATATCTTCGTTTCAAAACTAGACAGAATCATTCTCAGAAACTGCTGCGTGATGTGTGCGTTCAACACTCAGAGTTTAACTTTTCTTTTCATTCAGCGGTTTGGAAACACTCTGTTTGTAAAGTCTGCACGTGGATAATTTGACCACTTAGAGGCCTTCGTTGGAAACGGGATTTTTTCATGTAAGGCTAGACAGAAGAATTCCCAGTAACTTCCTTGTGTTGTGTGCATTCAACTCACAGAGTTGAACGTTCCCTTAGACAGAGCAGATTTGAAACACTCTATTTGTGCAATTTGCAAGTGTAGTTTTCAAGCTCTTTAAGGTCAACGGCAGAAAAGGAAATATCTTGGTTTCAAAACTAGACAGAATGATTCTCAGAAACTTCTTTGTGATGTGTGCGTTCAACTCACACAGTTTAACCTCTCTTTTCATAGAGCAGTTAGGAAACACTCTGTTTGTAAAGTCTGCAAGTGGATATTCAGACCTCCTTGAGGCCTTCGTTGGAAACGGGATTTCTTCATATTATGCTAGACAGAAGAATTCTCAGTAACTTCCTTGTTTTGTGTGTATTCAACTCACAGAGTTGAACGATCCTTTACACAGAGCAGACTTGTAACACTCTTTTTGTGGAATTTGCAAGTGGAGATTTCAGCCGCTTTGAAGTCAAAGGTAGAAAAGGAAATATCTTCCTATAAAAACTAAACAGATAATGATTCTCAGAAACTCCTTTGTGATGTGTGCGTTCAACTCACAGAGTTTAACCTTTCTTTTCATAGAGCAGTTAGTAAACACTCTGTTTATAAAGTCTGCAAGTGGATATTCAGACCCCTTTGAGGCCTTCGTTGGAAACGGGATTTCTTCATATTCTGCTAGACAGAAGAATTCTCAGTAACTTCCTTGTGTTGTGTGTATTCAACTCACAGAGTTGAACTTTCATTTGGAGAGAGCAGATTTGAAACACTGTTTTTGTGGAATTTGCAAGTGGAGATTTCAAGCGCTTTGGGGCCAAAGGCAGAAAAGGAAATATCTTCGTATAAAAACGAGACAGAATCATTCTCAGAAACTGCTGCGTGATGTGTGCGTTCAACTCTCAGAGTTTAACTTTTCTTTTCATTCAGCGGTTTGGAAACACTCTGTTTGTAAAGTCTGCACGTGGATATTTTGACCACTTAGAGGCCTTCGTTGGAAACGGGTTTTTTTCAAGTAAGGCTAGACAGAAGAATTCTCAGTAACTTCCTTGTGTTGTGTGTATTCAACTCACAGAGTTAAACGATCCTTTACACAGAGGAGACTTGTAACACTCTTTTTGTGGAATTTGCAAGTGGAGATTTCAGCCGCTTTGAAGTCAAAGGTAGAAAAGGAAATATCTTCCTATAAAAACTAGACAGAATCATTCCCACAAACTGCGTTGTGATGTGTTCGTTCATCTCACAGAGTTTAACCTTTCTTTTCGTAGAGCAGTTAGGAAACAGTCTGTTTGTAAATTCTGTAAGTGGATATTCTGACATCTTGTGGCCTTCGTTGGAAACGGGATTTCTTCATATTCTGCTAGACAGAAGAATTCTCAGTAACTTCCTTGTGTTGTGTGTATTCAACTCACAGAGTTGAATGATCCTTTACACAGAACAGTCTTGAAACACTCTTTTTGTGGAATTTGCAAGTGGAGATTTCATCCGCTTTGAGGTCAATGGTAGAATAGGAAATATCTTCCTATAGAAACTAGACAGAATGATTCTCAGAAACTTCTTTGTGATGTGTGCGTTCAACTCACAGAGTTTAACCTTTCTTTTCATAGAGCAGTTAGGAAACACTCTGTGTGTAAACTCTGCAAGTGGATATTCAGACCTGTTTGAGGCCTTCGTTGGAAACGGGATTTCTTCATACTATGCTAGACAGAAGAATTCCAAGTAACTTCCTTGTGTTGTGTGTGTTCAACTCACAGAGTTGAACTTTCATTTACACAGAGCAGATTTGAAACACTCTTTTTGTGGAATTTGCAAGTGGAGATTTCAAGCGCTTTGAGGGCAAAGGCAGAAAAGGAAATATCTTCGTTTCAAAACTAGACAGAATCATTCCCACAAACTGCGTTGTGATGTGTTCGTTCAGCTCACAGAGTTTAACCTTTCTTTTCATAGAGCAGTTAGGAAACACTCTGTTGGTAAATTCTGTAAGTGGATATTCTGACATCTTGTGGCCTTCGTTGGAAACGGGATTTCTTCATATTCTGCTAGACAGAAGAATTCCCAGTAACTTCCTTGTGTTGTGTGCATTCAACTCACACAGTTGAACGTTCCGTTAGACAGAGCAGATTTGAAACACTCTTTTTGTGCAATTTGCAAGTGGAGATTTCAAGCGCTTTAGGGTCAATGGCAGAAAAGGAAATATCTTCGTTTCAAAACTAGACAGAATCATTCCCACAAACTGCGTTGTGATGTGTTCGTTCAACTCACAGAGTTTAACCTTTCTTTTCATAGAGCAGTTAGGAAATACTCTGTTTGTAAAGTCTGCAAGTGGATATTCAGACCTCTTTGAGGCCTTCGTTGGAAACGGGATTTCTTCATATTCTGCTGGACAGAAGAATTCTCAGAATCTTCCTTGTGTTGTGTGTATTCAACTCACAGAGTTGAACGATCCTTTACACAGAGCAGACTTGAAACACTCTTTTTGTGGAATTTGCAAGTGGAGATTTCAGCCGCTTTGAAGTCAAAGGTAGAAAAGGAAATAACTTCCTATAAAAACTAGACAGAATGATTCTCAGAAACTCCTTTGTGATGTGTGCGTTCAACTCACACAGTTTAACCTTTCTTTTCATAGAGCAGTTAGGAAACACTCTGTTTGTAAAGTCTGCAAGTGGATATTCAGACCTCCTTGAGGCCTTCGTTGGAAACGGGATTTCTTCATATTATGCTAGACAGAAGAATTCTCAGTAACTTCCTTGTGTTGTGTGTATTCAACTCACAGAGTTGAACGATCCTTTACACAGAGCAGACTTGAAACACTCTTTTTGTGGAATTTGCAAGTGGAGATTTCAGCCGCTTTGAGGTCAATGGTAGAATAGGAAATATCTTCATATAGAAATTAGACAGAATCATTCTCAGAAACTGCTCTGCGATGTGTGTGTTCAACTCTCAGAGTTTAACTTTTCTTTTCATTCAGCAGTTTGGAAACACTCTGTTTGTAAAGTCTGCACGTGGATATTTTCACCACTTAGAGGCCTTCGTTGGAAACGGGTTTTTTTCCTGTAAGGCTAGACAGAAGAATTCCCAGTAACTTCCTTGTGTTGTGTACATTCAACTCACAGAGTTGAACGTTCCCTTAGACAGAGCAGATTTGAAACACTCTTTTTGTGCAATTGGCAAATGGAGATTTCAAGCGCTTTAAGGTCAATGGCAGAAAAGGAAATATCTTCGTTTCAAAACTAGACAGAATGATTCTCAGAAACTCCTTTGTGATGTGTGCGTTCAACTCACAGAGTTCAACCTTTCTTTTCATAGAGCAGTTGGGAAACACTCTGTTTGTAAAGTCTGCAAGCGGATATTCAGACTTCTTTGAGGCCTTCGTTGGAAGCGGGATTTCTTCATATTCTGCTAGACAGAAGAATTCTCAGTAACTTCCTTGTGTTGTGTGTATTCAACTCACAGAGTTGAACGATCCTTTACACAGAGCAGACTTGAAACACTCTTTTTGTGGAATTTGCAAGTGGGGATTTCAGCCGCTTTGAGGTCAATGGTAGAATAGGAAATATCTTCCTATAGAAACTAGACAGAATGATTCTCAGAAACTCCTTTGTGATGTGTGCGTTCAACTCACAGAGTTTATCCTTTCTTTTCATAGAGCAGTTAGGAAACACTCTGTTTGTAAAGTCTGCAAGTGGATATTCAGACATCCTTGAGGCTTTCGTTGGAAACGGGATTTCTTCATATTCTGCTAGAAAGAAGAATTCTCAGTAACTTCCTTGTGTTGTGTGTATTCAACTCACAGAGTTGAACGATCCTTTTCACAGAGCAGACTTGAAACACTCTTTTTGTGGAATTTGCAAGTGGAGATTTCAGCCGCTTTGAGGTCAATGGTAGAATAGGAAATATCTTCCTAAAGAAACTAGACAGAATCATTCTCAGAAACTGCTGCGTGATGTGTGCGTTCAACTCTCAGAGTTTAACTTTTCTTTTCATTCAGCGGTTTGGAAACACTCTGTTTGTAAAGTCTGCACGTGGATATTCAGACCTCTTTGAGGCCTTCGTTGGAAACGGGTTTTTTTCATGTAAGGCTAGACAGAAGAATTCCCAGTAACTTCCTTGTGTTGTGTGCATTCAACTCACAGAGTTGAACGTTCCCTTAGACAGAGCAGATTTGAAACACTCTATTTGTGCAATTTGCAAGTGTAGATTTCAAGCGCATTAAGGTCAATGGCAGAAAAGGAAATATCTTCGTTTCAAAATTAGACAGAATCATTCCCACAAACTGCGTTGTGATGTGTTCGTTCAACTCACAGAGTTTAACCTTTCTGTTCATAGAGCAGTTAGGAAACACTCTGTTTGTAAAGTCTGCAAGTGGATATTCAGACCTCCTTGAGGCCTTCGTTGGAAACGGGATTTCTTCATATTCTGCTAGACAGAAGAATTCTCAGTAACTTCCTTGTGTTGTGTGTATTCAACTCACAGAGTTGACCGATCCTTTACACAGAGCAGACTTCTAACACTCTTTTTGTGGCATTTGCAAGTGGAGATTTCAGCCGCTTTGAAGTCAAAGGTAGAAAAGGGAATATCTTCCTATAAAAACTAGACAGAATGATTCTCAGAAACTTCTTTGTGATGTGTGCGTTCAACTCACAGAGTTTAACCTTTCTTTTCATAGAGCAGTTAGGAAACACTCTGTTTGTAAAGTCTGCAAGTGGATATTCAGACCTCTTTGAGGCCTTCGTTGGAAACGGGTTTTTTACATATAAGGCTAAACAGAAGAATTCCCCAGTAACTTCCTTGTGTTGTGTGTGTTCAACTCACAGAGTTGAACTTTCATTTACACAGAGCAGATTTGAAACACTCTTTTTGTGGAATTTGCAAGTGGAGATTTCAAGCGCTTTGAGGCCAAAGGCAGAAAAGGAAATATCTTCGTATAAAAACTAGACAGAATCATTCTCAGAAACTGCTGCGTAATGTGTGCGTTCAACTCTCAGAGTTTAACTTTTCTTTTCATTCAGCGGTTTGGAAACACTCTGTTTGTAAAGTCTGCACGTGGAAATTTTGACCACTTAGAGGCCTTCGTTGGAAACGGGTTTTTTTCATGTAAGGCTAGACAGAAGAATTCCCAGTAACTTCCTTGTGTTGTGTGCATTCAACTCACAGAGTTGAACGTTCCCTTAGACAGAGCAGATTTGAAACACTCTATTTGTGCAATTTGCAAGTGTAGATTTCAAGCGCTTTAAGGTCAACGGCAGAAAAGGAAATATCTTCGTTTCAAAACTAGACAGAATCATTCCCACAAACTGCGTTGTGATGTGTTCGTTCAACTCACAGAGTTTAACCTTTCTGTTCATAGAGCAGTTAGGAAACACTCTGTTTGTAAAGTCTGTAAGTGGATATTCTGACAACTTGTGGCCTTCGTTGGAAACGGGATTTCTTCCTATTCTGCTAGACAGAAGAATTCTCAGTAACTTCCTTGTGTTGTGTGTATTCAACTCACAGAGTTGAACGATCCTTTACACAGAGCAGACTTGAAGCACTCTTTTTGTGGAATTTGCAAGTGGAGATTCCAGCCTCTTTGAGGTCAATAGTAGAAAAGGAAATATCTTCGTAGAAAAACTAGACAGAATGATTCTCATAAACTCCTTTGTGATGTCTGCGTTCAACTCACAGAGTTTAACCTTTCTTTTCATAGAGCAGTTAGGAAACACTCTGTTTGTAAAGTCTGCAAGTGGATATTCAGACCTCTTTGAGGCCTTCGTTGGAAACGGGATTTCTTCATATTATGCTAGACAGAAGAATTCTGAGTAACTTCCTTGTGTTGTGTGTATTCATCTGACAGAGTTGAACTTTCAGTTAGACAGAGCAGAATTCAAACACTGTTTTTGTGGAATTTGCAAGTGGAGATTTCAAGCGCTTTGGGGCCAAAGGCACAAAAGGAAATATCTTCGTATAAAAATTAGACAGAATCATTCTCAGAAACTGCTCTGCGATGTGTGCGTTCAACTCTCAGAGTTTAACTTTTCTTTTCATTCAGCAGTTTGGAAACACTCTGTTTGTAAAGTCTGCACGTGGATAACTTGACCACTTAGAGGACTTCGTTGGAAACGGGTTTTTTTCCTGTAAGGCTAGACAGAAGAATTCCCAGTAACTTCCTTGTGTTGTGTGCATTCAACTCACAGAGTTGAACGTTCCCTTAGACAGAGCAGATTTGAAACACTCTATTTGTGCAATTTGCAAGTGTAGTTTTCAAGCTCTTTAAGGTCAACGGCAGAAAAGGAAATATCTTCGTTTCAAAACTAGACAGAATCATTCCCAAAAACTGCGTTGTGATGTGTTCGTTCATCTCACAGAGTTTAACCTTTCTTTTCATAGAGCAGTTAGGAAACACTCTGTTTGTAAATTCTGTAAGTGGATATTCTGACATCTTGTGGCCTTCGTTGGAAACGGGATTTCTTCATATTCTGCTAGACAGAATAATTCTTAGTAATTTCCTTGTGTTGTGTGTATTCAACTCACAGAGTTGAAGGATCCTTTACAGAGAGCAGGCTTGAAACACTCTTTTTGTCGAATTTGCAAGTGGAGATTTCAGCCGCTTTGAGGTCAATGGTAGAATAGGAAATATCTTCTTATAGAAACTAGACAGAATGATTCTCAGAAACTCCTTTGTGATGTGTGCGTTCAACACACACAGTTTAACCTTTCTTTTCATAGAGCAGTTAGGAAACACTCTGTTTGTAAAGTCTGCAAGTGGATATTCAGACCTCCTTGAGGCCTTCGTTGGAAACTGGATTTCTTCATATTATGCTAGACAGAAGAATTCTCAGTAACTTCCCTTGTGTTGTGTGTATTCAACTGACAGAGTTGAACTTTCATTTGGAGAGAGCAGATTTGAAACACTGTTTTTGTGGAATTTGCAAGTGGAGATTTCAAGCGCTTTGGGGCCAAAGGCAGAAAAGGAAATATCTTCGTAGAAAAACTAGACAGAATCATTCTCAGAAACTGCTGCGTGATGTGTGCGTTCAACTCTCAGAGTTTAACCTTTCTTTTCATTCAGCGGTTTGGAAACACTCTGTTTGTAAAGTCTGCACGTGGATATTTTGACCACTTAGAGGCCTTCGTTGGAAACGGGTTTTTTTCATGTAAGGCTAGACAGAAGAATTCCCAGTAACTTCCTTGTGTTGTGTACATTCAACTCACAGAGTTGAACGTTCCCTTAGACAGAGCATATTTGAAACACTCTTTTTGTGCAATTGGCAAGTGGAGATTTCAAGCGCTTTAAGGTCAATGGCAGAAAAGGAAATATCTTCGTTTCAAAACTAGACAGAATGATTCTCATAAACTCCTTTGTGATGTGTGCGTTCAACACACAGAGTTTAACCTTTCTGTTCATAGAGCAGTTAGGAAACACTCTGTTTGTAAAGTCTGTAAGTGCATATTCTGACATCTTGTGGCCTTCGTTGGAAACGGGATTTCTTCATATTCTGCTAGACAGAAGAATTCTCAGTAACTTCCTTGTGTTGTGTGTATTCAACTCACAGGGTTGAACGATCCTTTACACAGAGCAGACTTGAAACACTCTTTTTGTGGAATTTGCAAGTGGCGATTTCAGCCTCTTTGAGGTCAATGGTAGAATAGGAAATATCTTCCTATAGAAAATAGACAGAATGATTCTCAGAAACTCCTTTGTGATGTGTGCGTTCAACTCACAGAGTTTAACCTTTCTTTTTATAGAGCAGTTAGGAAACACTCTGTTTGTAAAGTCTGCAAGTGGATATTCAGACCTCCTTGAGGCCTTCTTTGGAAACGGGATTTCTTCCTATTATGCTAGACAGAAGAATTCTCAGTAACTTCCTTGTGTTGTGTGTATTCAACTGACAGAGTTGAACTTTCATTTAGAGAGAGCAGATTTGAAACACTGTTTTTGTGGAATTTGCAAATGGAGATTTCAAGCGCTTTGGGGCCAAAGGCAGAAAAGGAAATATCTTCGGTATAAAAACTAGACAGAATCATTCTCAGAAACTGCTCTGTGATGTGTGCGTTCAACTCTCAGGAGTTTAACTTTTCTTTTCATTCAGCAGTTTGGAAACACTCTGTTTGTAAAGTCTGCACGTGGATAATTTGACCACTTAGAGGCCTTCGTTGGAAACGGGTTTTTTTCATGTAAGGCTAGACAGAAGAATTCCCAGTAACTTCCTTGTGTTGTGTGCATTCAACTCACAGAGTTGAAAGTTCCCTTAGACAGAGCAGATTTGAAACACTCTATTTGTGCAATTTGCAAGTGTAGATTTCAAGCGCTTTAAGGTCAACGGCAGAAAAGGAAATATCTTCGTTTCAAAACTAGACAGAATCATTCCCACAAACTGCGTTGTGATGTGTTCGTTCAACTCACAGAGTTTAACCTTTCTTTTCATAGAGCACTTAGGAAACAGTCTGTTTGTAAATTCTGTAAGTGGATATTCTGACATCTTGTGCCCTTCGTTGGAAACGGGATTTCTTCATATTCTGCTAGACAGAAGAATTCTCAGAATCTTCCTTGTGTTCTGTGTATTCAACTCACAGAGTTGAACGATGGTTTACACAGAGCAGATTTGAAACACTCTTTTTGTGGAATTAGCAAGTGGAGATTTCAGCCGCTTTGAGGTCAATGGTAGAAAAGGAAATATCTTCGTATAAAAACTAGACAGAATGATTCTCAGAAAATCTTTTGTGATGTGTGCGTTCAACTCACAGAGTTTAACTTTTCTTCTCATAGAGCAGTTAGGAAACACTCTGTTTGTAAAGTCTGCAAGTGGATATTCAGACCTCTTTGAGGCCTTCGTTGGAAACGGGATTTCTTCATATTATGCCAGACAGAAGAATTCCCAGTAACTTCCTTGTGTTGTGTTTGTTCAACTCACAGAGTTGAACTTTCATTTACACAGAGCAGATTTGAAACACTCTTTTTGTGGAATTTGCAAGTGGAGATTTCAAGCGCTTTGAGGCCAAAGGCAGAAAAGGAAATATCTTCGTTTCAAAACTAGACAGAATCATTCTCAGAAAGTGCTCTGCGATGTGTGCGTTCAACTCTCAGAGTTTAACTTTGCTTTTCATTCAGCAGTTTGGAAACACTCTGTTTGTAAAGTCTGCACGTGGATAATTTGACCACTTAGAGGCCTTCGTTGGAAACGGGTTTTTTTCATGTAAGGCTAGACAGAAGAATTCCCAGTAACTTCCCTTGTGTTGTGTACATTCAACTCACAGAGTTGAACGTTCCCTTAGACAGAGCAGATTTGAAACACTCTTTTTGGGCAATTGGCAAGTGGAGATTACAAGCGCTTTAAGGTCAATGGCAGAAAAGGAAATATCTTCGTTTCAAAACTAGACAGAATCATTCCCACAAACTGCGTTGTGATGTGGTCGTTCAACTCACAGAGCTTAACCTTTCTGTTCATAGAGCAGTTAGGAAACACTCTGTTTGTAAAGTCTATAAGTGGATATTCTGACATCTTGTGGCCTTCGTTGGAAACGGGATTTCTTCATATTCTGCTAGACAGAATAATTCTCAGTAACTTCCTTGTGTTGTGTGTATTCAACTCAGAGAGTTGAACGATCCTTTACAGAGAGCAGACTTGAAACACTCTTTTTGTGGAATTTGCAAGTGGAGATTTCAGCCGCTTTGAGGTCAATGGTAGAAAAGGAAATATCTTCGTATAAAGACTAGACAGAATGATTCTCAGAAACTCCTTTGTGATGTGTGCGTTCAACTCACAGAGTTTAACCTTTCTTTTCATAGAGCAGTTAGGAAACACTCTGTTTCTAAAGTCTGCAAGTGGATATTCAGACATCTTTGGGGCCTTCGTTGGAAACGGGATTTCTTCATGTTCTGCTAGACAGAAGAATTCCCAGTAACTTCCTTGTGTTGTGTACATTCAACTCACAGAGTTGAACGTTCCCTTAGACAGAGCAGATTTGAAACACACTTTTTGTGCAATTGGCAAGCGGAGATTTCAAGCGCTTTAAGGTCAATGGCAGAAAAGGAAATATCTTCGTTTCAAAACTAGACAGAATCATTCTCAGAAACTGCTCTGCGATGTGTGCGTTCAACTCTCAGAGTTTAACTTTTCTTTTCATTCAGCAGCTTGGAAACACTCTGTTTGTAAAGTCTGCACGTGGATATTTTGACCACTTAGAGGCCTTCGTTGGAAACGGGTTTTTTTCCTGTAAGGCTAGACAGAAGAATTCCCAGTAACTTCCTTGTGTTGTGTGCATTCAACTCACAGAGTTGAACGTTCCCTTAGACAGAGCAGATTTGAAACACTCTATTTGTGCAATTTGCAAGTGTAGATTTCAAGCGCTTTAAGGTCAATGGCAGAAAAGGAAATATCTTCGTTTCAAAACTAGACAGAATCATTCCCACAAACTGCGTTGTGATGTGTTCGTTCAACTCACAGAGTTTAACCTTTCTTTTCATAGAGCAGTTAGGAAACAGTCTGTTTGTCAATTCTGTAAGTGGATATTCTGACATCTTGTGGCATTCGTTGGAAACGGGATTTCTTCATATTCTGCTAGACAGAAGAATTCTCAGTAACTTCCTTGTGTTGTGTGTATTCAACTCACAGAGTTGAACGATCCTTTACACAGAGCAGACTTGAAACACTCTTTTTGTGGAATTTGTAAGTGGAGATTTCAGCCGCGTTGAGGTCAATGGTAGAAAAGGAAATATCTTCGTATAAAAACTAGACAGAATGATTCTCAGAAACTCCTTTGTGATGTGTGTGTTCAACTCACAGAGTTTAACCTTTCTTTTCATAGAGCAGTTAGGAATCACTCTGTTTGTAAAGTCTGCAAGTGGATATTCAGACCTCTTTGAGGCCTTCGTTGGAAACGGGTTTTTTTCATATAAGGCTAGACAGAAGAATTCTCAGTAACTTCCCCTGTGTTGTGTGTATTCAACTGACAGAGTCGAACTTTCATTTAGAGAGAGCAGATTTGTAACACTGTTTTTGTGGAATTTGCAAGTGGAGATTTCAAGCGCTTTGGGGCCAAAGGCAGAAAAGGAAATATCTTCGTATAAAAACTAGACAGAATCATTCTCAGAAACTGCTGCGTGATGTATGCGTTCAACTCTCAGAGTTTAACTTTTCTTTTCATTCAGCAGTTTGGAAACACTCTGTTTGTAAAGTCTGCACGTGGATATTTTGACCACTTAGAGGCCTTCGTTGGAAACGGGTTTTTTTCATGTAAGGCTAGACAGAAGAATTCCCAGTAACTTCCTTGTGTTGTGTGCATTCAACTCACAGAGTTGAACGTTCCCTTAGACAGAGCAGATTTGAAACACTCTATTTGTGCAATTTACAAGTGTAGTTTTCAAGCTCTTTAAGGTCAACGGCAGAAAAGGAAATATCTTCGTTTCAAAACTAGACAGAATGATTCTCATAAACTCCTTTGTGATGTGTGCGTTCAACTCACAGAGTTTAACCTTTCTTTTCATAGAGCAGTTAGGAAACACTCTGTTTGTAAAGTCTGCAACTGGATATTCAGACCTCTTTGAGGCCTTCGTTGGAAACGGGATTTCTTCATATTCTGCTAGACAGAAGAATTCTCAGTAACTTCTTTGTGTTGTGTGTATTCAACTCACAGAGTTGAACGATCCTTTACACAGAGCAGACTTGAAACACTCTTTTTGTGGAATTTGCAAGTGGAGATTTCAGCCGCTTTGAGGTCAATGGTAGAATAGGAAATATCTTCCTATAGAAAATAGACAGAATGATTCTCAGAAACTCCTTTGTGATGTGTGCGTTCAACTCACAGAGTTTAACCTTTCTTTTCATAGAGCAGTTAGGAAACACTCTGTTTGTAAAGTCTGCAAGTGGATACTCAGACCTCCTTGAGGCCTTCGTTGGAAACGGGATTTCTTCATATTATGCTAGACAGAAGAATTCTCAGTAACTTCCCTTGTGTTGTGTGTATTCAACTCACAGAGTTGAACGATCCTTTACAGAGAGCAGACTTGAAACACTCTTTTTGTGGAATTTGCAAGTGGAGATTTCAGCCGCTTTGTGGTCAATGGTAGAATAGGAAATATCTTCCTATAGAAACTAGACAGAATGATTCTCAGAAACTCCTTTGTGATGTGTGCGTTCAACTCACAGAGTTTAACCTTTCTTTTCATAGAGCAGTTAGGAAACACTCTGTTTGTAAAGTCTACAAGTTGATATACAGACCTCTTTGAGGCCTTCGTTGGAAACGGGATTTCTTCATATTCTGCTAGAGAGAAGAATTCCCAGTAACTTCCTTGTGTTGGGTGCATTCAACTCACAGAGTTGAACGTTCCCTTAGACAGAGCAGATTTGAAACAGCCTATTTGTGCAATTTGCAAGTGTAGATTTCAAGCGCTTTAAGGTCAACTGCAGGAAAGGAAATATCTTCCTTTCAAAACTAGACAGAATCATTCCCACAAACTGCGTTGTGATGTGTTCGTTCAACTCACAGAGTTTAACCTTTCTGTTCATAGAGCAGTTAGGAAACACTCTGTTTGTAAAGTCAGTAAGTGGATATTCTGACATCTTGTGGCCTTTGTTGGAAACGGGATTTCTTCATATTCTGCTAGACAGAATAATTCTCAGTAACTTCCTTGTGTTGTGTGTATTCAACTCACAGTAGTTGAACGATCCTTTACAGAGAGCAGACTTGAAACACTCTTTTTGTGGAATTCGCAAGTGGAGATTTCAGCCGCTTTGAGGTCAATGGTAGAAAAGGAAATGTCTTCGTATAAAGACTAGACAGAATGATTCTCAGAAACTCCTTTGTGATGTGTGCGTTCAACTCACAGAGTTTAACCTTTCTTTTCATAGAGTAGTTAGGAAACACTCTGCTTGTAAAGTCTGCAAGTGGATATTCAGCCCTCTTTGAGGCCTTCGTTGGAAACGGGTTTTTTTCATATAAGGCTAGACAGAAGAATTCTCAGTAACTTCCTTGTGTTGTGTGTATTCAACTGACAGAGTTGAACTTTCATTTAGAGAGAGCAGATTTGAAACACTGTTTTTGTGGAATTTGCAAGTGGAGATTTCAAGCGCTTTGGGGCCAAAGGCAGAAAAGGAAATATCTTCGTATAAAAACTACACAGAATCATTCTCAGAAAGTGCTCTGCGATGTGTGCGTTCAACTCTCAGAGTTTAACTTTGCTTTTCATTCAGCAGTTTGGAAACACTCTGTTTGTAAAGTCTGCACGTGGATAATTTGACCACTTAGAGGCCTTCGTTGGAAACGGGTTTTTTTCATGTAAGGCTAGACAGAAGAATTCCCAGTAACTTCCTTGTGTTGTGTGCATTCAACTCACAGAGTTGAACGTTCCCTTAGACAGAGCAGATTTGAAACACTCTATTTGTGCAACTTGCAAGTGTAGTTTTCAAGCTCTTTAAGGTCAACGGCAGAAAAGGAAATATCTTCGTTTCAAAACTAGACAGAATGATTCTCAGAAACTCCTTTGTGATGTGTGCGTTCAACTCACAGAGTTTAACTTTTCTTTTCAAAGAGCAGTTAGGAAACACTCTCTTTGTAAAGTCTGCAAGTGGATATTCAGACCTCTTTGAGGCCTTCGTTGGTAACGGGATTTCTTCATATTCTGCTAGACAGAAGAATTCTCAGTAACTTCCTTGTGTTGTGTGTATTCAACTCACAGAGTTGAACGATCCTTTACACAGAGCAGACTTGAAACATTCTTTTTGTGGAATTTGCAAGTGGAGATTTCAGCCGCTTTGAGGTCAATAGTAGAAAAGGAAATATCTTCGTAGAAAAACTAGACAGAATGATTCTCAGAAACTCCTTTGTGATGTGTGCGTTCAACTCACAGAGTTTAACCTTTCTTTTCATGGAGCAGTTAGGAAACACTCTGTTTGTAAAGTCTGCAAGGGGATATTCAGACCTCTTTGAGGCTTTCGTTGGAAACGGGATTTCTTCATATTCTGCTAGACAGAAGAATTCCCAGTAACTTCCTTGTGTTGTGTGTTTTCAACTCACAGAGTTGAACTTTCATTTACCCAGAGCAGATTTGAAACACTCTTTTTGTGGAATTTGCAAGTGGAGATTTCAAGCGCTTTGAGGCCAAAGGCAGAAAAGGAAATATCTTCGTTTCAAAACTAGACAGAATCATTCTCAGAAACTGCTGCGTGATGTGTGCGTTCAACTCTCAGAGTTTAACTTTTCTTTTCATTCAGCGGTTTGGAAACACTCTGTTTGTAAAGTCTGCACGTGGATATTTTGACCACTTAGAGGCCTTCGTTGGAAACGGGTTTTCTTCATGTAAGGCTAGACAGAAGAATTCCCAGTAACTTCCTTGTGTTGTGTACATTCAACTCACAGAGTTGAACGTTCCCTTAGACAGAGCAGATTTGAAACACTCTTTTTGTGCAATTGGCAAGTGGAGATTTCAAGCGCTTTAAGGTCAATGGCAGAAAAGGAAATATCTTCGTTTCAAAACTAGACAGAATCATTCCCACAAACTGCGTTGTGATGTGTTCGTTCAACTCACACAGTTTAACCTTTCTTTTCATAGAGCAGTTAGGAAACACTCTGTTGGTAAATTCTGTAAGTGGATATTCTGACATCTTGTGGCCTCCGTTGGAAACGGGATTTCTTCATATTCTGCTAGACAGAATAATTCTCAGTAACTTCCTTGTGTTGTGTGTATTCAACTCACAGAGTTGAACGATCCTTTACAGAGAGCAGATTTGAAACACTCTTTTTGTGGAATTTGCAAGTGGAGATTTCAGCCGCTTTGAGGTCAAAGGTAGAATAGCAAATATCTTCCTATAGAAACTAGACAGAACGATTCTCAGAAACTCCTTTGTGATGTGTGCGTTCAACTCACAGAGTTTAACCTTTCTTTTCATAGAGCAGTTAGGAAACACTCTGTTTGAAAAGTCTGCACGTGGATATTCAGACCTCTTTGAGGCCTTCGTTGGAAACGGGATTTCTTCCTATTCTGCTAGACAGAAGAATTCCCAGTAACTTCCTAGTGTTGTGTGTGTTCAACTCACAGAGTTGAACTTTCATTTACACAGAACAGATTTGAAACACTCTTTTTGTGGAATTTGCAAGTGGAGATTTCAAGCGCTTTGAGGCCAAAGGCAGAAAAGGAAATATCTTCGTATAAAAACTAGACAGAATCATTCTCAGAAACTGCTCTGCGATGTGTGCGTTCAACTCTCAGAGTTTAACTTTTCTTTTCATTCAGCAATTTGGAAACAGTCTGTTTGTAAAGTCTGCACGTGGATAACTTGACCACTTAGAGGCCTTCGTTGGAAACGGGTTTTTTTCATGTAAGGCTAGACAGAAGAATTCCCAGTAACTTCCTTGTGTTGTGTGCATTCAACTCACAGAGTTGAACGTTCCCTTAGACAGAGCAGATTTGAAACACTCTATTTGTGCAATTTGCAAGTGTAGATTTCAAGCGCTTTAAGGTCAATGGCAGAAAAGGAAATATCTTCGTTTCAAAACTAGACAGAATGATTCTCAGAAACTGCTTTGTGATGTGTGCGTTAAACTCACAGAGTTTAACCTTTCTTTTCATAGAGCAGTTAGGAAACACTCTGTTTGTAAAGTCTGCAAGTGGATATTCAGACATCTTTGAGGCTTTCGTTGGAAACGGGATTTCTTCATATTCTGCTAGGCAGAAGAATTCTCAGAAACTTCGATGTGTTGTGTGTTTTCAACTCACAGAGTTCAACGATCATTTACACAGAGTAGACTTGAAACACTCTTTTTGTGGAATTGGCAGGGTGGAGATTTCAGCCGCTTTGAGGTCAATGGTAGAAAAGGAAATATCTTCGTATAAAAACTAGACAGAGTGATTCTCAGAAACTCCTTTGTGATGTCTGCGTTCAACTCACAGAGTTTAACCTTTCTTTTCATAGAGCAGTTAGGAAACACTCTGTTTGTAAAGTCTGCAAGCGGATATTCAGACCTCCTTGAGGGCTTCGTTGGAAACGGGATTTCTTCATATTATGCTAGACAGAAGAATTCCCAGTAACTTCCTTGTGTTGTGTTTGTTCAACTCACAGAGTTGAACTTTCATTTACACAGAGCAGATTTGAAACACTCTTTTTGTGGAATTTGCAAATGGAGATTTCAAGCGCTTTGAGGCCAAAGGCAGAAAAGGAAATATCTTCGTATAAAAACTAGACAGAATCATTCTCAGAAACTGCTGCGTGATGTATGCGTTCCACTATCAGAGTTTAACTTTTCTTTTCATTCAGCGGTTTGGAAACACTCTGTTTGTAAAGTCTGCACGTGGATATTTTGACCACTTAGAGGCCTTCGTTGGAAACGGGTTTTTTGCATGTAAGGCTAGACAGAAGAATTCCCAGTAACTTCCTTGTGTTGTGTGCATTCAACTCACAGTGTTGAACGTTCCCTTAGACAGAGCAGATTTGAAACACTCTATTTGTGCAATTTGCAAGTGTAGATTTCAAGCGCTTTAAGGTCAATGGCAGAAAAGGAAATATCTTCGTTTCAAAACTAGACAGAATCATTCCCACAAACTGCGTTGTGATGTGTTCGTTCACCTCACAGAGTTTAACCTTTCTGTTCATAGAGCAGTTAGGAAACACTCTGTTTGTAAAGTCTGTAAGTGGATATTCTGACATCTTGTGGCCTTCGTTGGAAACGGGATTTCTTCATATTCTGCTAGACAGAAGAATTCTCAGTAACTTCCTTGTGTTGTGTGTATTCAACTCACAGAGTTGCAGGATCCTTTACACAGAGCAGACTTGAAACACTCTTTTTCTGGAATTTGCAAGTGGAGATTTCAGCCGCTTTGAGGTCAATGGTAGAATAGGAAATATCTTCCTATAGAAACTAGACAGAATGATTCTCAGAAACTTCTTTGTGATGTGTGCGTTCAACTCACAGAGTTTAACCTTTCTTTTCATAGGGCAGTTAGGAAACACTCTGTTTGTAAAGTCTGCAAGTGGATATTCAGACCTCCTTGAGGCCTTCGTTGGAAGCGGGATTTCTTCATGTTCTGCTAGACAGAAGAATTCTCAGTAACTTCCTTGTGTTGTGTGTATTCAACTGACAGAGTTGAACTTTCATTTAGAGAGAGCAGATTTGAAACACTGTTTTTGTGGAATTTGCAAGTGGAGATTTCAAACGCTTTGGGGCCAAAGGCAGAAAAGGAAATATCTTCGTATGAAAACTAGACAGAATCATTCTCAGAAACTGCTCTGCGATGTGTGCGTTCAACTCTCAGAGTTTAACTTTTCTTTTCATTCAACAGTTTGAAAACACTCTGTTTGTAAAGTCTGCACGTGGATATTTTGACCACTTAGAGGCCTTCGTTGGAAACGGGTTTTTTTCTTGTAAGGCTAGACAGAAGAATTCTCAGTAACTTCCTTGTGTTGTGTGTATTCAACTCACAGAGTTGAACGATCCTTTACACAGAGCAGACTTGTAACACTCTTTTTGTGGAATTTGCAAGTGGAGATTTCAGCCGCTTTGAAGTCAAATGTAGAAAAGGAAATATCTTCCTATAAAAACTAGACATAAGGATTCTCAGAAACTCCTTTGTGATGTGTGCGTTCAACTCACAGAGTTTAATCTTTCTGTTCATAGAGCAGTTAGGAAACACTCTGTTTGTAAAGTCTGCAAGTGGATATTCAGACCTCCTTGAGGCCTTCGTTGGAAACGGGATTTCTTCATATTCTGCTAGACAGAAGAATTCTCAGTAACTTCCTTGTGTTGTGTGTATTCAACTCACAGAGTTGAACGATCCTTTACACAGAGCAGACATGAAACACTCTCTTTGTGGAATTTGCAAGTGGAGATTTCAGCCGCTTTGAGGTCAATAGCAGAAAAGGAAATATCTTCGTAGAAAAACTAGACAGAATGATTCTCAGAATCTCCTTTGTAATGTGTGCGTTCAACTCACAGAGTTTAACCTTTCTTTTCATAGAGCAGTTAGGAAACACTCTGTTTGTAAAGACTGCAAGTGGATATTCAGACCTCTTTGCGGCCTTCGTTGGAAACGGGATTTCTTCATATTCTGCTAGACAGAAGAATTCCCACTAACTTCCTTGTGTTGTGTGTGTTCAACTCACAGAGTTGAACTTTCATTTACACAGAGCAGATTTGAAACACTCTTTTTGTGGAATTTGCAAGTGGAGATTTCAAGCGCTTTGAGGCCAAAGGCAGAAAAGGAAATATCTTCGTTTCAAAACTATACAGAATCATTCTCAGAAACTTCTCTGCGATGTGTGCGTTCAACTCTCAGAGTTTAACTTTTCTTTTCATTCAGCAGTTTGGAAACACTCTGTTTGTAAAGTCTGCACGTGGATATTTTGACCACTTAGAGGCCTTCGTTGGAAACGGGTTTTTTTCCTGTAAGGCTAGACAGAAGAATTCCCAGTAACTTCCTTGTGTTGTGTACATTCAACTCACAGAGTTGAACGTTCCCTTAGACAGAGCAGATTTGAAACACTCTTTTTGTGCAATTGGCAAGTGGTGATTTCAGCCTCTTTGAGGTCAATGGTAGAAAAGGAAATATCTTCGTATAAAAACTAGATAGAATGATTCTCAGAAACTTCATTGTGATGTGTGTGTTCAACTCACAGAGTTTAACCTTTCTTTTCATAGAGCAGTTGGGAAACAGTCTGTTTGTAAATTCTGTAAGTGGATATTCTGACATCTTGTGGCCTTCGTTGGAAACGGGATTTCTTCATATTCTGCTAGACAGAAGAGTTCTCAGTAACTTCCTTGTGTTGTGTCTATTCAACTCACAGAGTTGAACGATCCTTTACACAGAGCAGACTTGAAACACTCTTTTTGTGGAATTTGCAAGTGGAGATTTCAGCCGCTTTGAGGTCAATGGTAGAAAAGGAAATATCTTCGTATAAAGACTAGACAGAATGATTCTCAGAAACTCCTTTGTGATGTGTGTGTTCAACTCACAGTGTTTAACCTTTCTTTTCATAGAGCAGTTAGTAAACACTCTGTTTATAAAGTCTGCAAGTGGATATTCAGACCCCTTTGAGGCCTTCGTTGGAAACGGGATTTCTTCATATTATGCTAGACAGAAGAATTCTCAGTAACTTCCTTGTGTTGTGTGTATTCAACTGACAGAGTTGAACGTTCATTTAGAGAGAGCAGATTTGTAACACTGTTTTTGTGGAATTTGCAAGTGGAGATTTCAAGCGCTTTGGGGCCAAAGGCAGAAAAGGAAATATCTTCGTATAAAAACTAGACAGAATCATTCTCAGAAACTGCTCTGCGATGTGTGCGTATAACTCTCAGAGTTTAACTTTTCTTTTCATTCAGCAGTTTGGAAACACTCTGTTTGTAAAGTCTGCACGTGGATAATTTGACCACTTAGAGACCTTCGTTGGAAACGGGTTTTTTTCATGTAAGGCTAGACAGAAGAATTCCCAGTAACTTCCTTGTGTTGTGTACATTCAACTCACAGAGTTGAACGTTCCCTCAGACAGAGCAGATTTGAAACACTCTTTTTGTGCAATTGGCAAATGGATATTTCAAGCGCTTTAAGGTCAATGGCAGAAAAGGAAATATCTTCGTTTCAAAACTAGACAGAATGATTCTCAGAAACTCCTTTGTGGTGTGTGCGTTCAACTCACAGAGTTTAACCTTTCTTTTCATAGAGCAGTTAGGAAACACTCTGTTTGTAAAGTCTGCAAGTGGATATTCAGACCTCTTTGAGGCCTTCGTTGGAAACGGGATTTCTTCATATTCTGCTAGACAGAAGAATTCTCAGTAACTTCCTTGTGTTGTGTGTATTCTACTCACAGAGTTGAACGATCCTTTACACAGAGCAGACTTGAAACACTCTTTTTGTGGAATTTGCAAGTGGAGATTTCAGCCGCTTTGAGGTCAATAGTAGAAAAGGAAATATCTTCGTAGAAAAACTAGGCAGAATGATTCTCAGAAACTCCTTTGTGATGTGTGTGCTCAACTCACAGAGTTTAACCTTTCTTTTCATAGAGCAGTTAGTAAACACTCTGTTTATAAAGTCTGCAAGTGGATATTCAGACCCCTTTGAGGCCTTCGTTGGAAACGGGATTTCTTCATATTATGCTAGACAGAAGAATTCTCAGTAACTTCCTTGTGTTGTGTGTATTCAACTCACAGAGTAGAACGATCCTTTACACAGAGCAGACTTGAAACACTCTTTTTGTGGAATTTGCAAGTGGAGATTTCAAGCGCTTTGAGGCCAAAGGCAGAAAAGGAAATATCTTCGTATAAAAACTAGACAGAATCATTCTCAGAAACTGCTCTGCGATCTGTGCGTTCAACTCTCAGAGTTTAACTTTTCTTTTCATTCAGCAGTTTGGAAACACTCTGTTTGTAAAGTCTACACGTGGATATTTTGACCACTTAGAGGCCTTCGTTGGAAACGGGTTTTTTTCCTGTAAGGCTAGAGAGAAGAATTCCCAGTAACTTCCTTGTGTTGTGTACATTCAACTCACAGAGTTGAACGTTCCCTTAGACAGAGCAGATTTGAAACACTCTTTTTGTGCAATTGGCAAGTGGTGATTTCAACCGCTTTTAGGTCAATGGTAGAAAAGGAAATATCTTCGTATAAAAACTAGACAGAATCATTCCCACAAACTGCGTTGTGATGTGTTCGTTCAACTCACAGAGTTTAACCTTTCTTTTCATAGAGCAGTTAGGAAACACTCTGTTTGTAAATTCTGTAAGTGGATATTCTGACATCTTGTGGCCTTCGTTGCAAACGGGATTTCTTCATATTCTGCTAGACAGAAGAATTCTCAGTAACTTCCTTGTGTTGTGTGTATTCAACTCACAGAGTTGAACGATGGTTTACACAGAGCAGATTTGAAACACTCTTTTTGTGGAATTTGCAAGTGGAGATTTCAGCCGCTTTGAGGTCAATGGTAGAAAAGGAAATATCTTCGTATAAAAACTAGACAGAAGCATTCTCAAAAACTCCTTTGTGAGGCTTGTGTTCAACTCCCAGAGGATAACATTGCTTTTCATAGAGCAGTTTTGAAACATTCTTTTCGTTGAGTCTCCAAGTGGACATTTGGAGCGCTTTCAGGCCTGTGGTGGAAAAGGAAATATCTTCACATAAAAACTAGAGAGAAGAATTCTCAGTAACTTCCTTGTGTTGTGTGTATTCAACTGACAGAGTTGAACTTTCATTTAGAGAGAGCAGATTTGAAACACTGTTTTTGTGGAATTTGCAAGTGGAGATTTCAAGCGCTTTGGGGCCAAAGGCAGAAAAGGAAATATCTTCGTTTAAAAACTAGACAGAATCATTCTCAGCAACTGCTGCGTGATGTGTGAGTTCAACTCTCAGAGTTTACCTTTTCTTTTCATTCAGCGGTTTGGAAACACTCTGTTTGTAAAGTCTGCACGTGGATATTTTGACCACTTAGAGGCCTTCGTTGGAAACTGGATTTTTTCATGTAAGGCTAGACAGAAAAATTCCCAGTAACTTCCTTGTGTTGTGTGCATTCAACTCACAGAGTTGAACGTTCCCTTAGACAGAGCAGATTTGAAACACTCTATTTGTGCAATTTGCAAGTGTAGATTTCAAGCGCTTTAAGGTCAACGGCAGAAAAGGAAATATCTTCGTTTTAAAACTAGACAGAATCATTCCCACAAACTGCGTTGTGATGTGTTCGTTCAACTCACAGAGTTTAACCTTTCTGTTCATAGAGCAGTTAGGAAACACTCTGTTTGTAAAGTCTGTAAGTGGATATTCTGACATCTTGTGGCCTTCGTTTGAAAAGGGATTTCTTCATATTCTGCTAGACAGAAGAATTCTCAGAAACTTCCTTGTGTTGTGTGTTTTCAACTCACAGAGTTGAACGATGCTTTACACAGAGTAGACTTGAAACACTCTTTTTGTGTAATTTGCAAGTGGAGATTTCAGCCGCTTTGAGGTCAATGGTAGAATAGGAAATATCTTCCTATAGAAACTAGACAGAATGATTCTCAGAACCTCCTTTGTGATGTGTGCGTTCAACTCACAGAGTTTAACCTTTCTTTTCATAGAGCAGTTAGGAAACACTCTGTTTGTAAAGTCTGCAAGTGGATATTCAGACCTCCTTGAGGCTTTCGTTGGAAACGGGATTTCTTCATATTCTGCTAGAAAGAAGAATTCCCAGTAACTTCCTTGTGTTGTGTGTGTTCAACTCACAGAGTTGAACTTTCATTTACACAGAGCAGATTTGAAACACTCTTTTTGTGGAATTTGCAAGTGGAGATTTCAAGCGCTTTGAGGCCAAAGGCAGAAAAGGAAATATCTTCGTATAAAAACCAGACAGAATCATTCTCAGAAACTGCTGCGTGATGTGTGCGTCCAACTCTCAGAGTTTAACTTTTCTTTTCATTCAGCGGTTTGGAAACACTCTGTTTGTAAAGTCTGCACGTGGATATTTTGACCACTTAGAGGCCTTCGTTGGAAACGGGTTTTTTTCATGTAAGGCTAGACAGAAGAATTCCCAGTAACTTCCTTGTGTTGTGTGCATTCAACTCACAGAGTTGAACGTTCCCTTAGACAGAGCAGATTTGAAACACTCTATTTGTGCAATTTGCAAGTGTAGATTTCAAGCGCTTTAAGGTCAATGGCAGAAAAGGAAATATCTTCGTTTCAAAACTAGACAGAATCATTCCCACAAACTGCGTTGTGATGTGTTCGTTCAACTTTCAGAGTTTAACCTTTCTGTTCATAGAGCAGTTAGGAAACACTCTGTTTGTAAAGTCTGTAAGTGGATATTCTGACATCTTGTGGCCTTCGTTGGAAACGGGATATCTTCATATTCTGCTAGACAGAATAATTCTCAGTAACTTCCTTGTGTTGTGTGTATTCAACTCACAGAGTTGAACGATCCTTTACACAGAGCAGACTTGAAACACTCTTTTTGTGGAATTTGCAAGTGGAGATTTCAGCCGCTTTGAGGTCAATGGTAGAAAAGGAAACTATCTTCATATAAAGACTAGACAGAATGATTCTCAGAAACTCCGTTGTGATGTGTGCGTTCAACTCACAGAGTTTAACCTTTCTTTTCATAGAGCAGTTAGGAAACACTCTGTTTGTAAAGTCTGCAAGTGGATATCCAGACCTCTTTGAGGCCTTCATTGGAAACGGGATTTCTTCATATTCTGCTAGACAGAAGAATTCTCAGTAACTTCCTTGTGTTGTGTGTATTCAACTGACAGAGTTGAACTTTCATTTAGAGAGAGCAGATTTGAAACACTGTTTTTGTGGAATTTGCAAGTGGAGATTTCAAGCGCTTTGGGGCCAAAGGTAGAAAAGGAAATATCTTCGTATAAAAACTAGACAGAATCATTCTCAGAAACTGCTCTGCGATGTGTGCGTTCAACTCTCAGAGTTTAACTTTGCTTTTCATTCAGCAGTTTGGAAACACTCTGTTTGTAAAGTCTGCACGTCGATAATTTGACCACTTAGAGGCCTTCGTTGGAAACGGGTTTTTTTCATGTAAGGCTAGACAGAAGAATTCCCAGTAACTTCCTTGTGTTGTGTGCATTCAACTCACAGAGTTGAACGTTCCCTTAGACAGAGCAGATTTGAAACACTCTATTTGTGCAATTTGCAAGTGTAGATTTCAAGCGCTTTAAGGTCAATGGCAGAAAAGGAAATATCTTCGTTTCAAAACTAGACAGAATGATTCTCAGAAACTCCTTTGTGATGTGTGCGTTCAACTCACAGAGTTTAACCTTTCTGTTCATAGAGCAGTTAGGAAACACTCTGTTTGTAAAGTCTGTAAGTGGATATTCTGACATCTTGTGGCCTTCGTTGGAAACGGGATTTCTTCATATTCTGCTAGACAGAAGAATTCTCAGTAACTTCCTTGTGTTGTGTGTATTCAACTCACAGAGTTGAACGATCCTTTACACAGAGCGGACTTGAAACACTCGTTTTGTGGAATTTGCAAGAGGAGATTTCAGCCGCGTTGAGGTCAATGGTAGAAAAGGAAATATCTTCGTATAAAAACTAGACAGAATGATTCTCAGAAACTCCTTTGTGATGTGTGCGTTCAACTCACAGAGTTTAACCTTTCTTTTCATAGAGCAGTTAGGAAACACTCTGTTTGTAAAGTCTGCAAGTGGATATTCAGACCTCCTTGAGGCCTTCGTTGGAAACGTGATTTCTTCATATTCTGCTAGACAGAAGAATTCCCAGTAACTTCCTTGTGTTGTGTGTGTTCAACTCACAGAGTTGAACTTTCATTTACCCAGAGCAGATTTGAAACACTCTTTTTGTGGAATTTGCAAGTGGAGATTTCAAGCGCTTTGAGGCCAAAGGCAGAAAAGGAAATATCTTCGTATAAAAACTAGACAGAATCATTCTCAGAAACTGCTGCGTGATGTGTGCGTTCAACTCTCAGAGTTTAACTTTTCTTTTCATTCAGCGGTTTGGAAACACTCTGTTTGTAAAGTCTGCACGTGGAAATTTTGACCACTTAGAGGCCTTCGTTGGAAACGGGTTTTTTCATTTAAGGCTAGACAGAAGAATTCCCAGTAACTTCCTTGTGTTGTGTGCATTCAACTCACAGAGTTGAACGTTCCCCTAGACAGAGCAGATTTGAAACACTCTATTTGTGCAATTTGCAAGTGTAGTTTTCAAGCTCTTTTAGGTCAACGGCAGAAAAGGAAATATCTTGGTTTCAAAACTAGACAGAATCATTCCCACAAACTGCGTTGTGATGTGTTCGTTCAACTCACAGTGTTTAACCTTTCTTTTCATAGAGCAGTTAGGAAAC